>NC_000014.9:32035955-32338985 GCF_000001405.40 Homo sapiens
TGGCTAATGCAGAGTAAAACAGATCATTAGAAGTTTCACCCCTCACTCTTTTTTTTTTTTTTTTGAGACAGAGCCTTGCTCTGTCACCCAGGCTGGAGTGCAGTGGTGCCATCTCAGTTCACTGCAGTCTCCGCCTCCCAGGTTCAAATAATTCTCCTGACTCAGCCTCCTGAGTAGCTGGGATTACAGGCACGCACCACCATGCTCGGCTAATTTTTGTATTTTTGGTAGGGACGGGGTTTCACCATGTTGGCCAGGCTGGTCTCGAACTCCTGACCTCAAGTGATCCACCTACTTCAGCCTCCCACAAGTGATCCACCCGTCTCAACCTTCCAACGTACTGAGATTATAGGCGTGAGCCACCGCACGTGGCTCCACCCCTTCTTTTAAAATTCTCTTTACCTTTTCCGGTGATGTCATCAACAGCCAAAAAAAAATAAAAATAAAAAAGATGGTAGAAGGTCTAAGACAGAGAAAATAACTAGGGACCCAAGTAGACAGTGCCTGGAAATACTGATCTCTGAATATCCACCTGTTGATGTCCCTTGTTCTCTCTCAATCTGTAGAAGAATGTAAGAAACTCTTCTTTGACATGCAGATTCCTAGGATCCACCTAGGAATCTCTAGAGAGTTTCTAATACAGTATATCTAGGGGTGGACCAAGGAATCTGCACTAATAACAATCCCCTTCACTCCCCCAAACAACCCTATGATTTTTTTATAAATGGCCCTCAGGATATACTTTGAGAAACACTCCCCTGGTTAACGTAGAGCCTTGAAACTCAGTGTGGTTCCTGAGTCAGCAGCATCAATATCAACATCCCCTGAGAGTTTTGTTAGGCCTGTAGAATGTTAGCACCCACTCCAGGCCTGTCAATCAGAATCTGCATTCATAGGGCACCTTCAACTTTAAAAAGTGCTGGTCTAGAGGAGGCATCTTCTTCCCTTTTTGCATCCTTGAACATATCAGTTTTCCCCACAGCATTCTCCTCGTAAATAGCCCAGGATTGCTTAGGTCAACGGTTCTCAAGGTGGTCCCCAGATCTACTGGGTCAGAAACTCTTGGGGGAGGACCCAGCAATGTGTGTTCTAGCAAGCCCTCCAGTCCAGGTGATTCTGATGAATGCTCAAGTGTGAGAACCACGGGCACAATAAATACTATTGGTCCGCATTTAAAAATGAAGTTCACCAGGATACTCAGTATATTCTGGTGTGAATAACCAATAGGCCAATGTCCCCAGATGTGGAACAAATCACACAAACCCTTGCTTCATATCGTCAACCCCCCAGAATCAGTTGATCCTACAATATCTCTATCTACCGCTTCACTGAAGAGGATGCCTTGTCAAATCAAAGTGTAAGAGGCAATCATCTCTTGTAGTAATTAATGAAATGCCAGGATCTGAGAGCAACCAGGCATATGTGCTACATAATTGTGTCGGGGATGAGTAGCTCAGGCTGTTGAGTTTTCAAATGAAAAATAACTTCCTGATCCAAATATCTGTGAGGTTATAAGTTAGTATTCTTCACTCACTGGAGACTGACCTGACTGGAACATCATGAGTGAAAACTCCAAGTTTGGATGCTGCTGCTCAGAAGAGAGACCCTGAGCATGAACAGAAGGCACAATGTGGTGAAATGTCGGGGAAAATATGACTGGCCCTCTGAGCGAATCAGTTTCAGCTGAGTACATCCATCTTCTTTTCACTGTTTCTTGGATTTCCCAGTAGAATATTACACTCAACTCCCAACCTAACACTAACTAACTCTACATTAGAAGTTTTAATTCTCTCTCTGCACCTCTTTCCACATCATCTGTCTTGGGCTCTCTCTGCTTCTCTATCTCTCCCCCTTGTCTCTGTGTCTATTTCTCTCTATCTCTTCATCACAGTCTATGTCCTCTGAATCGATTTCTTCCTCCTTCCCTATTCCAATCTCTTTAATGAAAAGATCCAACATACCTCCCAGGGGATGGGGGTGGTCAGGAGGATTTCAAAAGGGACAAAAGCAAAGAGGCTGCCAGTAAGTTTTTGTTGTACTGTTGATTATTTTTTCTGATGCTGGAGAGTTCTGTGTTATCCAGCTATTTGTCTCTTTTTTAAAATTTGCGCGTGTTTGCCATAGATTATTATCATGCTATTTCTCGATGGAACTGGAGTACTAGTTTGTCAAAATGTCAGCATAAAGACCAAAAGTCAAGCAAATTTGCTGCAATAAGGAAAGACTATAAATTTGCTGTCAGTTAAGAAATCCCCTCTAATTCAAAGTGCAAGCCCAGCTGAAAGCATTTTTTTAGTAATTGTGACGGAATGAGTGTGAAGTTAGCTCAGTGTGTGTGCACTTTGATCTTGTGCCTTGTTAAATTTCTCAGTTTTAATAATTGGGGCCATTATTTATGCCATGATTCCAGAAGCTATCAGGGAATACCTAAAATATTAAATCAGGTTCATATTGCTAATTTCATTTGTTGAAACTCACATCTATCCCCCTTTTATTCTTTTGGAATGTAAATAATGATGTACCCTGGAATAATTTTCTTCTTCAAGTCTTAATTATAGTTTGGTTGAAAAACTCAACCATTTAACATTGAAAATATTTGGCAAATACGCTTAAGAAAAATTTTATGAAAATTCTTATCATAATGTCTTTGATATAAGCACAAAGAGATGACGCACATGGAGAAAGACCTCTACCTCCTTAGAATGTTAAGTCTTTTTGCAGTAGACTGTGATTCCATACAACAATGGAATCACAGAAGAAAAAAAAGATTTCCTCAAATCTAATTATCAAAAAGCAATTTATCTTGCTTGAGTATCTCAATCAATGTATCCCTGAAGCCACTTTCTCACTTCACCCTCCTGTCTGGTATATGGATTTTTTTGTATGTGTTATCATTTGGTGAAACCTCTTAGCATATGGTGGGGGAAAAATGCTGTTTTGCTAATTTTATATTTTATATTTTAATGACCTACTTATCTGCAGCAGCTTTAGTGGAGTGCTTTAAGCTTGGTCTGATTTTTTTCTTTTTTTTTTTTTTTTTTTTGTGAGTCCTTTACTCGGTGGCAGTGACTCAGCTGGGATACAGCCAAGATGTTTACATGATGGGGTGGGGGGGTGGGGGGTATGCAGCAGCCTCAGCTTTTGCTGCTTTTGCAGAGAGCTTACAAATTGTAGACACTCAGAATAAGTGGTATCATTAGTGGGCATAAAATGCCCTAAGGGTATGGGAGTGATTTAGAACTCTGGGATTCAGCAAAGAGAGAAACTAGGGGCTCAGGTGTCAGAGGGAACTGGATCCAGAAGTAGCACTGAAATGTGACCTTGGGTAAATCACTTGACCTTGATTCTTCACCTCTAAAATAAGGTGAATATATTTTATTGAAATGCTGCAAGTTATCAGGGCAGTATTTGCTAAGCACTTGGAAATCTTTTCACTTTAAGAGAATTATTTTAGGTTAGGTTTTGCAAAAGATTATTTAACATAGGTAGCTTCCCATCTAAAATTCTGTATGAATTGTGTGTGTCATAGAGGACTTCAGCTCCTAACTGAAGGGGTCATTGACAGAATAATTATTGCGTTATCCTAAAAAGGAAAGATGGGCTTGGCTTTTTGGAAATTTGATCCTTCAAGACCAAAGTTAAAATTGGGTGAATGATTTAATCAATCAGTAACTTGTAGCCTAGGTCAAAAGATCATGCCCACATTAGGTTTTCCATCAAATGTGAAACCCCTTGGTGAATCAATAAAACAAAACACAAGTACTCAACAAAGTTCCTCCTATGTAATCATTGGGTTGTGCGCTGCTGGGTTTCCAGAGCTTTAGCTATAGTTCTTGCCCTTGTTTACATTTTAGACAAGCACTCAATAGAACTTTCTATAGCGAAGGAAATGCTCAATAGTGGTGCTATCCAATATAGCTGACACTAGCCGTGGGAGCACTTGAACTGTGGCTAGCGTAACTGAGAAAGTGATTTGTTTGTTTGGTTTTTTTTTTTTTTTAGACGGAGTCTTGCTCTGTCACCTAGGCTGGAGTGCAGTGGTGCCATGTCGGCTCACTGCAACCCCTGCCTCCCAAATTCCAGCGATTCTCCTGCCTCAGCCTCCTGAGTAGCTAGGATTACAGGTGCCCGCCCCATGCCTGGCTAATTTTTGTATTTATAGTAGAGCTGGGGTTTCACCATGTTGGCCAGGCTGACCTCAGGTGATCTGCCCACCTCGGCCTCCCAAAGTACTGGGATGAGCTACCGTGCACAGCAAGAAAGTACATTTTTAATTTCATTTCATTTTAATCAATTTAAGTTTAAATAACTACATGAGGCTACAAACTACTTTATTGGATGACCATTTTAATCAAAGACAAAATTAATGCCGATGAAACTATTTGTGACCACTTAGAAAGAAGTATACGAAGCAATGTTGTTTTGGATGGAGGAAAACTTGAACTGAGCCTTGCAGGCTAGGGTAAGACAGAAGGTGAAAAAGAGAAGGGAGGATGTTCTGGGCTGAGGGAATAATACACCAGTGATCCTGAGGCAAGAAGAGCCTGGTGCTGTTACTGAACAGTTAAGAAATCACCTTGATGGAAGCTGAAGGTCCTTGCTACACCCAAAGAAGAAGACTTGGGGCTGGGGTGTGGGATTAACGACAACACTTATTATGTACCAGGCACTTCACATATATAATTTAATCCTCCTAACCAACTGATGAAGTAGTTACTACTATTATCCTTATTTTATTCTCAGGAAACAGACTCAGAGAAGATAAGTAATTTCCCCAAGACCCCACTACTAAAGGGAGCCAAGCTTTAGAATCCAGGCAGCTTTCCTCCAGATGCTGTGCTCCTTAACCACCTCACTTCACTACAGTGGTTGAGAATTTAGACTCTGAAATTATCCAGCTTCTGTCTCTGTTAGCTTGTGACCATGGGCATCTATAAATTGAGGACAGAAAAACTACAACATTTAAGGTTGCTGTGTTAGAGATGCATAAGATATTGCACGTAGAACACCTAGCAGTGCCTAGCACATGTAAGGGCTCAGTAAATATTTGCCTAATCTTATTAGTATGTCAGAAATAGACTCAAATGGCAGCAAAGAAATTAGGGGTTGCTTGAAAAGGCATTTGGCAACAGTTGCAGCTTCTTGAACTCATGGACTGATATGTTGAAATCATTGTAAAGGATAAAGGACAGGAGGGAAAAAGGGGAGGGAAACTGGTATCCAAGAGTCTCCCAGAGGCAGTTGCCGTCTTCACTAGGTCTGGAGGCTCACATTCAATATATGAAAGGAACGCAACTTTATTTTCCCCATAGAAACGAAAATAATACCTATTGATTGGGAATCATTTTTAAATTCCAGGAAAGGACAAGGAAGAAAATTAAAATCATGAGTAATACCATCTCTAAGAGATAATCACCATCAGTATTTTGATATATATCCTTTTATGTTTGTATCTGCGTGTGCTAATTCACTTTTTAAGTTTACTGTATTTACTTACGGTAAAATTCACACTTTTGGGGTACCATTCTATGAGTTAGGCAAACACATATATGCTGTCATATAAGCACCAGCACAATCAAGATACAGAACAGTTCTATCACCCTTAAAACATTCCTTTTGCTGCCTTCGTAGTCAAGCCCTGCTCTTATTCCTACTTTCAGCCGCCTGGTGACCAACCAATCTATTTTCTGTTCCTAAAACTTTGCCTTTTCTGGGATGTCACATAAGTGGAATTATACAGGATGTAGCCCTTTGAGTCTGGCTTATTTCACTTAGCATAAGGCATTTGAGATCCATCCATATTATTGCACATATGAGTAGTTCATTTCTTTTTATCACTGAGTAATATTTCATTGTATACATGTTCCACAGCTTGTTTCCATTTGCCAGTTGAAGAACATTTGCATTGTCTCCGGTATTTAGCAATTATGAATAAAGCCACTACAACAATCAAGTAAAGGTTTTGTGTGGAAATAAGTTTTCATTTCTCTTGAGTAATAGGAATATGATTGCTGGATCATATGTTAAGTACATGTTTAATGTCAAACTGTTTTTCAGAGCAGCTTTACCATTTATATCCCACCAGCAAGTATAGAGTTTCAGTTGTTCCACACCCTGACCAGCACTCACTATGATCATTTTTTAAAAAGCAATTCTAATAGGTATGAAGGAATATAATATGGTAGTTTTAATTGCATTTCCCCTAATAACTAATATCATTGAACATCTTTAGATGTGTTCATTTATCTTCAGACAAAATTGTAGTATTTCCAATCTACATGCATTTATTTTTTTTCTTACCTTATTGAATTGGCTAGGACCTTCAGTATAATGTTGAACAGAAGTGGTGAGAGTCTTTATCTGGTTTCTGTTCTTGGGGGAAAAGCATTTAGTCTTTTACCATTCAATATGATGTTAGCTGTAGGGTTTTTTGTAAACACCCTTTATTAATCAATAAAGGTTAAGTAATTTCCCTTTGCTTTCTAGTTTGCTGAGAGTATTATGAATGGATGTAGAATTTTCTCAAATGCTTTTGTATGAATATTGAGATGATCATGTGATTTTTCTTCTTTAGTCTGTTGATATGGCAAATTATATTAATTAATTTTTCAGTGTTAAACCAGGCTTGCATTCCCAGGATAAATCCCACTTAGCCATGATATATTATCCTTCTATATGTTGCTGTATTTGACTTGTATATATGTGTATTTTTTCAAACCAAAAACAGAATGGTACTGTATATACTGATTTGTAATCTCTTTTTGAAAAAACATATTTTTTAATCTAAAAGAAATTCATAGTTGTAAGAAAAGTTCTTTCTGATTATGCCAGTAGATTTATTTCTTCCCTGTGCTTTCTTATAATAGGGGATTAGATAGTTGCTATGCATATTTTGGTTCAAGTTCATTAAATTCAAAAACTGGGATGAGAAATTTTCAACCCCCACACACCAACTCTTCTAATTAGCTGATAAACTCTGAAATAAATTATTTGTATCTTTGACAAAATGTGAAGAGGAAACTGCTCTGAGTTTTGAAGGTCATTATAAATGCTAAGAGGAAAGGGGTGAGCACCAATCTTCGAAATCCAGGCACTCACTCATCAGATGTCTGGTGAGTCCAAAATCTCTGTCTTATGATGATAACCTTAAGTAACAACCTTAAATATACATCAGATAGCTCTGATATTTGTAAAGAAAGTTTTCTTTCTTCCATTAAAAAATACTGTATAGGTAGATATAGATGTGTGTGTATACACAAACACTCACACACACACACACATACGGAGAGACAGCATTAACAGTCTTTTGAAAACTTTTATTTTGAAACATTTTTTGTTGTGAGGTGTTTCTTCCCTGGACAAGTACATCTTTTCTTTTCTTTTCTTTTTATATAGATATATGAGTTTTCCCTACTCCAGAAACACGCATTCAAGATTGATTCTCTCTAGGTACCCACTTAAGGCTTATTTTTAGAATTCCAGCAATCTAATTTTTTTTTTACCTCCAACTTTTATTTTGGAAAAGGCAATCTACTTATTCTTCACATCCTCATAAGGAAATGGACATTGCTTTATTTTATATGTGAGCCAGAGCTCGAGATAATGATAAATCTTGCCAGAGGCCTCAAGGATACTAAGCATGAACTCTGGGAAAAAAATTTGTGTTTGTTTTGTTTTTGGAGGGTGTCCCTCATTCCCAGCCTTGGGTTAAGATGATTCTGCTTTTCTCAAAATGTTTGAATGACAGGATGAACTTCAATGTTTGCATCATTTCCCCTGTTTTATACTCTCCTCGCATAGACCACAGCTGAGAGTTTTAGAGAAAAGGCGCTTTCGGCAAGTGCAAAGTGGTATTGTCATGTTGCTACTGGAGCTGTCTGTGACAGCCAAGAAAATAGGACAGAATCAAAAGGAAGTAAAATAAGTCATAGTGAAACCTTCTCCCTTAGAGGAAGGAAAGCAAACATTGAAATATTGCTTTTTTTCTTGGCTACTTATTAAAGGGGAGATTTGCCTGCTGTGCTGGAAGAGTCTTTTATTCATCGTTTTGTTGATGGGAGGTATCCAACTTGAGGTTTGTTTTTGTCTGTGTAATCCATTCTGTTTTTAAAGGTGAACTCTACTGAGATAAGTATTGAACAGATTCAGCATTTCTCTGATTAGAAAATATGTTGATTTGCTATAATCATTCAATAATTTAAACTGGACCCAATTTCCCAAAACAGTTCAATTTAAGTGTTTGCTGCAAATCAATTCACATTTCTGAAATATCTGAAGTCATTATTTATATGAGAGTCTTATTTTACTTCTAATATGGCTCAGTTTGTTTGCAACAAGATGCTATTTGGATCTTTTGTGGAACTTACATTGTTTGGTCACTTTCAGAAATGTTTAGGTTCAGGGTATTGTAAATTAATCAACAAATATAAAAACCTAGAGTTTATAGGTATAGAATTATAGTGCAACATTATCCAATTAAATACCCCACATCCTATTTTCATAAGTCCAAGGTCATTGGTCTAAATTACAATTATATGATTTCTGTTATGATTGTTAGTGATTGCTATAATTTGACTAATTATTGCCTAAACAATGAAAGTTGGCTGGGACCCAAATTGCAACAAATGCTTTTTTATGTGAGGAGAACAAGGAAACTAAATGCTTTTTTCTTTCGTCATTCATTCATAGGGGCTGCAATTAATCATAAATATTGCACGGGACCAGGGCATGGAGAGTAGAAAGCTTCCTTTATTTTCCAGAATTATCTTTCTTGAACGGTATGGAAGGCAACCCTCCAGAGAAAAATAAATGATCATGTTTAGAGAAACATCATTTTGACTAATTGGAAGGATAGTGGAAAAATCCCACAGGAAATGGTCCGGAGCCTGTGACTTTTATAGTCAATACTCTTCTTAGGTAGAGCAAACATTGTATTTAAATTGAAGGTACCATCTGCCCAACCTTCTAATCTGACCACAGGTTCAAGAAAAGTCATTGCCAGATAAGGAAATAATGTTTCATGAAATATAGGCTGAACTTGTGTCTAGACAATAAGAACGTGATTAAAAACAAGGATGCTATCTTTTGAAAAGGCACATGCGCTTTTAGGCAATTTAATATATTACATAATTTATAAAACGTTCTTAAGCTTTCCAGCCTTTTTCAGTCATTTCTTTGTCTGTTTGACCACAAGCTTTAAATGAATGGATCATAAGAGAAATTGGTCATTGTCACTTTTCAAAGCTTGAGATCTGTGTGATTGCAGATAACACAGAACCCCAAAATTCAGAATAGAAAGGCTGGGGAAGAAAATAGTGTGCACTGTTTAGCTGTGCCCCTAAGATGTTAGGAATTGCACAGGGTTCCTGGGATTCCTTAGCATCTCTACTCAGGCTGAGAAACACTGGTCCTTAAAGGTGAGGGGTGGACTGTAAGGGTCCCACTGCTGAAGGAGTGCTGCTGGGATATCCCAAGCTCCCTAGTCAGAGTTGGCAAGAAATTTCTTCTAGGCATCTCCAGGCAGTGAGATTTTCCCAGTCAGAGTCATATGAAAGAGAATTCTATTTGTCTTATGGCCAATTCCCCCACATTTTAGATAGAGAGTTGCCCTGTCTTCCCCACCCCTTCGCAAGGAGCTTTACAACTTGAAATGTGTTCACGGAGGCTGTAATTCCATGCCCCCAAATTTTGGAACCTCGGTGCTAGAGAAATATCTATCAAAAAGAGTAACAGATTGAATAGGACAAGTAAGGAATCCCAGGATTCCTTAGCTAATTTCACATTCCAAAATTAATAGTATGGCTTCTGAAGTACTGAATGAAATAAATTGCCTTTAGTAAAGCACAATGTAGCATAAACTAAAAATATAAGTTTCTTATTTAAATCTCATTTGAACATTTTATGATGCTTACCTTGGAGATTGTCTCATTACTTTGGCTACTAATGATGTGTAGGCAGAGATAAGCTAACTGTTGTAGAGCTGGATTTATGGAAACAGAAGAGGAATTTCCTTTCTATTCTTCACTTCTGGAAGGTAGTATGTCATACTTTTTAAACATATCAGATCTGGAACCCAGCTGCCTGGGTTAAATTCTGATTCTGGGCTGGGTGTGGTGGCTCATGCCTATAATCCCAGCACTTTGGGAGGCTAAGAAGGGAGGATCGCTTGAGCTCAGGAGTTCGAGACCAGCCTGGGTAACATAGGGACATCCCTGTCTCTACAAATAAATTAAAAATTAGCTGGGTGTGGTGGCAAGCACCTGTAGTCCCAGCTACTTGGGTGGCTGAGGCAGGAGGTTCACTTGAACCCAGAGAGTTGAGGCTGCAGTGAGCTAAGATCATGCCTCTGCATTTCAGCCTGGGTGGCAGAGCAGGACCTTGTCTCAAAAAAAAAAAAAAAAAAAAAGCTGATTCTGCTATTACCAGATGTGAATCCTTAGACAAGCTGCTTAACTTCTTTGAGCCTCAGTTTCCTTCTCTGTAAAACAGAATATATACTTATCCTTAGCTCAAAGGATTACCATTAGGATTAACCAAGATCATTCATGTCAAACATTTGATAAATTTTAGCTGCCATTGTAATTAATACATTTTATCTACTTTGATAGTCCTTCTTCCTTCTTCTGGCCTTTCAGACACCAGAGTTATTCAGAATTATGCTTCAGAATTACTTCGTCTACCAATTTACAAAATAGACACATTACCAACTGAGGCCTGTCTCTCTGTTTCCCTCAACATTGATAGGATATCCTTAGACCATAATTATACCCAAAATTGTTTAAGTGGGCCAGAGTCTCTAAGAAATTAGGTAATTAAATGCAAATTTTGCAGGCCAAGTTGCATTCCAATGATTTCTGAAAATCATAATTATAGAAGTCCTTGGTCCACAGGGGGCATACTCATCTAATTTGACTTGGTAAAGAGAGCTCTGCAGTTCCACCAGCCCCTTTCAGGCTCACAGAACTGTTTTCTCACTTTAGAAGATGCAGAAAAATGTGAAGGAGGAAGGTGCTTAAGCATCTACAGAGCCTGGTGCCTCGCTGGCCTTTGACGGCTTGTCAGTGGTTTGGTTCTGGTGTTTCATATTTTAGGTTGTGTGTGAATTAGAGGTTATTGGCTGAAATTTTTTTAAGTCAGAAATGCACCAGTTCCTTTGGATTTTTAAGGCATAGAATTCATGGATGTTATTAAAGATGAGTATACATATTTTAAAAATTGTTTTTCTTAGAATTTTTGACCTAAAACAGTAACATTTTCATTTTGACTTCTGAGCTTACCTTACAAGCAAATAGACTGTAGCAATATTATCCTCCTTAGCTGCAGCAGAAACATTTTATCTTTCTTGGACGCTGCAAAATCATAAACTGAAGAAGTCAAAGTCAATTTATGAACTCTCCAAGATCTTGCTAAAGAAATAGCTAGAAAATACATAGAAAAAGTATATTTATCCCTGTGATACATGCAAAATAATCTCAGTACACTTCCCTAAATGACTCTACTATGCTATACAGGCTATGTAAGATTATGAATGCATTGAGTTTACTTAATACATTGCTTTTGGGAATGTGGTATAATTGAAAGCTTTGGAGATAAAACTGGCATTGATTGAGTTGAGAAGTTCCTTTTTAAATAAGAGCTGTTAAATTATACTGCAAAATGTTGGAGGAAATATTATACACTATCTAAATGTGAAATTAATGTTTTTCTCAACATTGCTGTAAGTAGTGCATCTTAACTTAGTTCACAATTGAGTGAATTTTTTCTTTTGTTTCTAGTGATTCAGAATTCCTATGTAATAATACATTTTTTTATTGTCTCTTTCTGCAACCAAATTCTGCCGCCAAATTAGTGTGTTTGAAGAAGCAAATTAGTGGCTTCTGGGAAGGTATTAATAAGTCACAGAGCAAAGAGGAATATTTCAAGGGAGGTAAATATATATACAATTTTCTGACGGTACAACAAGTTCACTTTGTGGTTTTCCTCATTGATTTAGAACTATGTATTTTTTGCATCAGTGGCCTTCCTTCTCATTTATAACTTGTGACTTCATTTGTGTGACTCATTTCATTAAGTTTGTCTCCATGAACACTAACCACCCAATATGCCATACTGTGAGCATTTTTCTCTAAGATATAAATCAGCAATTCTTAACCTGTGCTTTTAACATCCAGTGGTATATTAATATAAATCAAGGGGTATCTTTAGTTTTTTAAAAACAAGCTCAAAATAGCTTTAAACTTCAAGATACTATTGAAAATTAGAACGAATTATTATGCAAAAACTTGATTTTTTTTGCCTTTTTAAATTTTTTTTATTTCATGCAGGATTTTGTTTTTTGTTTCTTAAGATGAACAAAAACTTGATTTTTAAGATTGGAAATACCATATACTTGAAACATTCTTAGTTACAGGTGCAACTACCCGATTGAGGAAATCCATTGCTAAGCAAACAACGGAATTGCCTTAATGATATAATTTAAGTTATATCTGCTTCCATCTTTGGATTCCCATTTCCTTCTCCCAAATGCATGATATTTGGAAGCACTTTGTTGATATTACAAATTTATAAATAAAGTAGACTTTGCTTCTTACATGTCACCATTGAGATGTTTAGGCTCTATAGATTGTTATTTAAAAATTTGGCTTACTTCAGCCAAATAAAATCATAGGTGTATGAAATGCTTAATTTTACATGTGAGGAAAAAAAGCCCACCAAATTCAAATAAATTATTTGAGTTTTCCCAACTTGTTAGCAACAGAGTTTTACCTAGAACCCTAGGCTTCTTTACGCCAGTGTTGTATTTTTTTCAGCTACACTAGACTATCAAATTGACAAAGCTTCATATACATTAGAATGAAGTGGTTGAGGCAAAGGAATGGTAAATTGAGAATTCACAATTTGGGGTAAGGTCAAAGTATGATCTGAGGATCGCCTTTGTTAATCACATGGATGCTTTCTGAAAATGTAGATTCCTAGACTCTTCCTAGGTTCCCAGACAGATTGAATCTCAATCTCCATGGGTGGGACCCAGGAATATGCCATTTAAACAAGTTCTCTAGATAACTTTTATGTACACTAAGGTTTACATTCCATAGGCCAATGATATCCTATATATTCCTCTAGAATGTTATTTAATATGTTTTAAACTGAGGTGTTAACATTTTCCCATTTGGGGAATTTGTACTGTTTTGCACTAGATTCTAAGGACTGGTACAGAGGAGACCTATGGTGAAAGTGAAGGGCATTGAATCTGGGTTCCATTCCAGGCTAACCTTGCTATGTGGGCCTGGGCAACTTACTTACTGAACACTCTAAGTCTTCAATTTTTCTTCTTCGAAATAACTATAATGCCACCCTTGCAGAACTGCTGAGAGATCATAGAAATAAAATACTGTGCAGGCACTGGGCCTGGCCTATTAAAAGCATGCAACTACTAATTACTGTCATTACCTAAGCTAACATAACTATTATTTTCCTCTTCCCTTACCTTGTAAAGTGGAAATACACTGAATTCCTCATTGTTTCAGACCTAGCAACTATTTGTGGATTATTCCTATCTTTCGCTCCTCCTCCTCACCTCTGTGGCTTCCTGCCTACCTCTTGGCCATTTCATTGTTCATTAGTCACCTCCACCAGAAGGAGGAAAGAGAAAATAAGAAATGCAACTCAAAACATCCATTTTCTTCATATGTTATTACTCTTAGTAAAAGATTTGATTTGAAGTGATGTGGCTGAATCACTGGCCAAAATAACATTTTTGTGTTTTCTAAGAGTTTAATTTACCTATTTTTTAGACAGTTTCCATTCCGGCTCTTATAATGAAATATCCTTGCTTAAAAACAGTGATTTTAATCAACACTGCATAAGAAAAGGATATACTAAATGAATCATTTTGAATCTTGTTTCCTTCCTCAATTTTTAGGGGAACTGAGAAGATTTGGTTGAATAAAGCTCATTAAGATCCTACAGAGATGGAATCTGAGTATGAAGTAGGTCAAATTCAGTCTCCCTGATAGTGCCCTTCAGGCATTGCCAACGTGGGCTTCTCGCTCAGCAGAGGTGGGTTGTGTGTGGATGGATTCCTAGACTGCAGCATGGGCTCTAACCTAATGAGAAGGTGCCTACACAGGGCCTGCAGCCAGAAGTCCTGATTTTCACGTAAAATGCCCTCAGTTCCTTCAAATCTTCAGATTTTTCCTCAGGTAAAGCTTTGTATCCTAGGTGCTTGGTATTAGGCATCTGCTTGTTGGAAAGTAAGAGAGCCACATCCGCAACTGCAAGAGTTGGGAGACTCCAGCGGCAGTAACAACCCAGGGGATCACACAAAGGTGAGCGTGACAAGAGGAGAATTTTTTTTCCCCTCTGGCACCCTGGTGTGGCAGGAGGGTACGGGTAGGGACTGGGGGCTGTCTAGAGGCCTGGTCTTTTCTCCTCCCCACTCTTCACCTGTTGCCAATCCTAGGTCCTGGAAGAATGCCTGACACGCATCCTCAGGTTGACTGACAATCTGATGTGTGGCATGACCAATGCAATAGAATAGCAGCTTCCTGAGGGCAGGTGTTTTTGGCTGCTTTATTCACTGCATTTGGAACTGGGTCTGTCCTGGAGTAGGTACCCAGTAAATATTTACTGAATAAATAGATGAAGTAAACATCAGGGTTAAAAGATACTCATTGAAAGAAAGGAAGAAGAGGGGACAAACTGAAAGAGGGAAATCAAATCATGGAATGATTATTGGCTTGATTGAGCCAATCTGATTATCTGAAGAAAATGCCCTTTTCAGATAAAAGAAGATACTTCTTTGGGCAAAGGCATATGAGATTCCTGCTATGGCTACACCCTCCAAACAAGGTGTTAGGGTCTACCCCGGTAGTATTAATGCTAGTCTATTTGAAAAGTAATGATAATGATAATGATGGTGAGTAATAAAAATAGCAACAGGAGCAACTAACAGTTACATGGCACTTACACCATGTGGATTATCTTCCCCAATCCATTTGTGAAACTTAATGAATGATAATAGAAGTGTAATGGCACTTTGCCACAGCAATGTGAAACTTGATATACTGTGGTATCAAGGGCATTCAGTCACAGGAATATGTTCTTGCAAACAGGTCTTAAGGGCAGTGGGCTAGTATGGTTTCCCTAAACAGACACTGTGTGTATGTGCACATGCAAATGCTTTTGTGTGTGTGTATATACATATGCAGATAAATGCACACAGCCTATTCAAAATCATTTTGGTAATAACTTTGATTCTGGGAGTTGGGTGCTAGGTAAAGCTAAGTGTAATTTTTGCTCCAATGCCACATCCTTTTATTCAAATCATAGTTTTCTTGGAAGTTTCCAAAACCGCTAATGCAAATGACATATTCATCTGTAGAAATTTCCCTTTTAGGAGGATGGCAATATGCCAACAAAGGTGAAATATAAAGCATATTTTTAAAAAGAGCTTTAACTAGTCCTGCATTTTATAGATCTGCTTTGTGACCCTTATTTTATCATGTCCATTTGCTGCTTTAGTACTTTGGCTCTTGAAGGCAATTTATTTAAATTCAGTGAAGGCAAACTGGAATGAATGGAACCATTAAATTGTAGTGTCCTTGAACATGTTCTCTGTGGAAAGGCCTTGGACTTTGGAGGAAGACAGACTTGGGTGGTTTAGATTTCACCTTAGCTAGTGATCACATATATGACCACAGATCACTTTCTTAACAATCAGATTTCTCCTCTTCAAAATAGAGAAATAAATAACTTCTTGGGGTTGTTGTGAGGATCAACTGAAATAATATATGTATAAATGCTTAGCATAATAACATGGCATGATAAGGTGTGAACATAAATAAAACTTCCCTTATTACCTAGTTTTATTTGCCCTCTCAGCATCTAGTTCTAGTCCCCAGAAGTAGAATCTCAGGTAGGCTATGGGTAAACTTGGTAGGCTAGCTGGCATTCTACATTGCTGTAACCATTATTTACACATGCGTGCACACTCACACACACACACAAATACACACACTTTAAAAAAATTAATTTAATTTAATTTTAAATTCCAGGATACATGTATGTGCAGGACATGCAGGTTTGTTACACAGGTAAACGTGTGCCATGGTGGTTTGCTGCACCTATCAACCCATCACCTACGTATTAAGCCCCGCATGCATTAGCTGTTTATTCTGATGCTCTCCCTCCCCCACTACACTGACAGGCCCCAGTGTGTGTTGTTCCTTTCACTATGTTCATGTGTTCTCATTGTTCAGCTCCCACTTAAAGCACACACACACACACACACACACACACACACACACACACACTTTTTATTCTACCTGCTTAGTTTTTTGCAGCCTAGAAGATAAAGACCAAGCTCCTTGTTGAAGCATGCAAATCTTCCACATCTGGCTTTTGGTGTATTGATTTCTTACAGATCCTGAACTGTTTCTTCAACCTTGCCATGCCCTTTTACACCTCTGTGCCTTAGCATATCTTTTTTTGACAGCCTGGAATGCTCTTCCACTCTTCTCCACCCAGTGAATTTCCTCTATTTCTTCTTTCAAGGTAGAGCTCAAATGTGGTCTCCTCTGTAAAGCATCTCTGGACTGCCTGGAAGCCAAGTCCCCTTTAGCCCTTTCGGGCTCCCACAGCTGTTTGTTTATATCACTATTACAGCAGCATCCTGTAGTAATTAAAATACAAACACACTTAGCAATGCCACTCTCTGGATGTGTGATCTTGGGCAAGTACCTAACCTCTGTTGGCTTTATTGTCCTCATTCGTAAGATGGAGACAATATTAGTATCCACCTGAACAGAGTTGTTTTATGTATTAAATAAAATAATCCATGTAAAGCACATAATACAGTGTCTATAACATGGTAACTGTGCTGACTGCTCAATGGTACCTCTACTATCATATAATAATCTCTTTGTAGGCCTATCTTTGTTAGACTCTGAGCTATTTCACTGTACACACAGTATCTAGCACAAAGCCCGGAACACAATAGGTGTTTAATATATGTTTGTTGTAAGGAAAGAAGGAAGCAGACAAAGTATCTTTCATGTATATTTAAAAAGAAGAGAAAATGTTAAACTATATTATAGTTAGGAGGAAGGTTCATTAACTGTCCTTTCTTTCACCTTTTAGTTAATACTCTTAGCTCTTCACTTTTACCAGCTATAAAATGCCAGCCCCGACTCCCAAAAAAGCTTATAAGATATAATATTCAAAAAATTACAGGGCCTTAAGACCTCTGGATACTTCTTGGCTGTAGAAACTATACCAATACTGCTCCCCAAAAAGGAAGAAAATTATCTCCCATTATAAGGATGCATATAAACTGTGAAATTAAAGAATGTTGGTAAAATGGAGATCAGATAAGCCATTTGTGTTAGTCTGTTTTGCATTGCTATAAAGGAATACCTGAGACGGCATAATTTATAAAGAAATGTTTATTTGGCTCATGGTTCTGCAGCCTGTACAGGAAGCATGGCACTAGCATCTGCTCAGCTTCTAGCGAGGCTTCAGGAAGCTTTTACTCATGATGAAAAGCAAGGAAGGCTAGCATGTCATACAGTGAGAAAGGGAGCAAGAGAGAGGGAAGAGGGAGGTCTCAGAATCTTTAACAATCAGATCTTACATTAACTAATAGAACAAGTACTCACTTATTACAGCAGTGAGAGCACTATGCCATTCAGGAGGGATCCTCCCCCATGACCGAAACACCTCCCACTCAGCCCCACCTCCAACACTGGGGATCACATTACAACATGAGATTTGGAGAGGACAAATACCCAAACTATATCATCATTCAATAGCATTTCTAGAGTCCTCTATTTTCCATATAGAGTATCAGTGCTTTTGTTCTCAGGAAAATTTAGTTACCCAATTATCAATACATTTCTATTCTGAATTAATTGTTGATAAAATGATACTATTGTCTTCTTATACTTGAAGTACAAAATAAAATGATTAAAACAAATACTGTATTTCCTTGTAATGAACTATAGCAGCCTCTTTCTGTCTGTCTAAAAGCGAGCTTTGACAACATGTTCTAGTTCAGGAGCAAGTGTTGACAAGCCAATTAATCCAGCCAAGTTTATAGTTTACCATCCTAATAGTACTGCCAATTATTTCTTAGATGCTTTGAAATTTTGTTCACATAATTTAATATTTTTGCAATTCAAGTTCCTCTTTTGCAAAAAGAAGGTAAAAATACTTATGTGAAGGTATGAAAGTTAAGTGTGAGGTTAAGTGAATAATGTACATAAAACATCTTAGGTTCAGAGCGACTGGTGCTATTAATAATAAAAAAAAAATCTAACATGGTGTGTGGCATGCCCGATTAATATTATTCTCTTTCTCATCAAGATTTTGTTTGTGACACCATGTTTTATTCAGATTCACCTGTTTACATATGTGGCTACCCCACTGCAATGTAAACTCATCCAAGGCAGGGATTATGTCACATTTATCTGCGGATTCCCAGTACCCAGCATACTACTTGCTGCATAATAGGTATTTAATACATATTTATGGAAAGCAGGAAGACAGGAAGAAAGGATAGGATGTGATATGGTTTGGCTGTGTCCCCACCCAAATCTCATCTTGAATTGTAACTCCCACAATTCCCATGTGTCATGGGAGGAACCGGGTGGGAGGTGATTGAACAATGCGGGCGGGTCTTTCCTGTGCTGTTCTCATGATAGTGAATGAGCCTTATGAGATGTGATGGTTTTAAAAACAGGAGTTTCCTTGGACATTCTCTCCCTCTGCCTGCTGCCATCCATGTAAGATGTGACTCGCTACTCCTTGCCTTCCACTATCGTTGTGAGGCCTCTGCAGCCATGTGGAACTGCAAATTCTCCATTAAACCTCTTTCTTTTTCTTCCTAGTCTCAGGTATGTTTTTACCAGCAGAGTGAAAACAGACTAATATGGGAGGGGAAAAAAAAGAAGAAAAGGGAGGAAATGAGGGAATTAAGTACTAGGTACAACTGAGTACAATGGAACAAAAATCCCTACATAAAATGTTATTATAGTTTAGTTATTTATGTATTATCATATTAATTCCATTAATTCTAAGAAATGACCAGCATTATACAGTATATAGTTGAATACTCCTTTACAATTATGAATGAAAAAAACTGTTATATGTCTCCTTTTGTTTTATGCAAGTATACATGAACAAGCATTACTGAATGAAAATTGCTTGTCAAAAATGTAACAAATGTGAGATGGGGCCATGATTTTGATGGTATGTGTCGTTCATGTCAGAAAAATAAGAGAAGTGTCACTAAGTTTCAGGGCTCTTACATGGCACTTAGAAAACTCTGCAGTATGCAATCTACTTCTTCTGTGACCTAGTCAAGGTGATTTATCACAGGTAAAATGCATGTGTTTTATGACTTTTCAGTGACATACTTGACACATAGTACAAAATGATGCAATCTGTATAGTATAAAGTTGCAATGCATACCAAATCAGAGATGTTATGCTTTTGGGTTACCTAATTCAATGTTTGAAAGTACCTTATCTGATAGCAAGAAAAGAACAAGAAGCTGCTACCAAGATAGTTTTCAACCTTTTCCAATAGACTTCTAGTACGCCTGCTCTAATGTATGCTATGGACCCTAACTTTCTTTATTTTAGGCTTTTTGTTACTGTTGTACTGTTTTGTTTTGTTATTATTATTATTTTTTTTAATAGAGACAGTGTCTCACAATGTTGTCCAGGCTGGTGTTGAACTCTTGGCCTCAAGCAATCCTCCCACCTTGGCCTCCCAAAGTGCTGGGGCCAGTTTGGTTTTTTTTTTTTTTTTTAACAGATTTTAAAGCAGAGCTCTGGTCTATACCCTGATGTGTCACTGAGTCTAAACTAGACTCTATTCATTCATTTCCATTTATCAGTTGGCTATTGATTTTTTTTTTTTTTTTTGAGACGGAGTCTTGCTCTGTCACCCAGGCTGGAGTGCAGTGGCACGATCTCAACTCACTGCAAACTCTGCCTCCCAAGTTGAAGCAATTCTCCTGCTTTAGCCTCCTGAGTAGCTGGGACTATAGGTGACAGGCGCCTGCCATCACACCCAGCTAATTTTTGTATTTTTATTAGAGACGGGGTTTCACCATGTTGGCCAGGCTGGTCTTGAATTCCTGACCTCAGGTGATCCAACTGCCTTGGCCTCCCAAAGTGCTGGGATTACAGGCGTGAGCCACCGCGCCCAGCCTGATTTTTTTTTGAGACAGGGTCTCACTCTGTCACCCAAGCTGGAGTGCAGTGGCACAATCACACCTCACTGTAGCCTCTACCTCCCAGGCTCAAGTACCTCTCTGTCTCAGTCTCCAGAGTAGCTGGGACTACAGACACAAGCCACCATATCCACTAATGTTGTTCTTTTCTCTTGATTAATAATTGATGCATACTGGTTTGGTATGTTTTGTTTTTTCTTCCTTTCTTTCTTTCTTTCTTTCTTTCTTTCTTTCTTTCTTTCTTTCTTTCTTTCTTTTCTTTCTTTCTTTCTTTCTTTTCTTTCTTTCTTTCTTTCTTTCTTTCTTTCTTTCTTTCTTTCTTTCTTTCTTTCTTTCTTTTTTTTGAGATAGGGTCTTGCTATGTTGCTGAGGCTGGAATGCAGTGGTGTAATCATGACTCCCAGACTTGGTTGGTTTTGTTTTATGTTTTTTAATTTTAAACAAGCTTTAATCATAAAAATTTAAACAGCATAAAAGCCTAAGTTACAAATTCTTCTTTGCCATCTCCTTACCCCTTTTCCTTGCACTCTATCCACTTTCCTCTGCAAGTGTGCATCTATCCAAACCTTTTCCCATATATTAAATTTATAGATATATGTACATATACATATACTTACTCATATAAATGGTTAAAGGACATACCAATTTTTTGAGTGCCACTTTGAACTGTCTATTGCAACACTTAATAATAATAGCCCTTTGTTTTGTTATTCTTCCCTGTTTAATAGGAGGTTGGAACTCTACCCTGGTTTGACTGATCCCTCAAATACATTCAGATGTCATCATAAAGAAGCTTTAGCTTCATAAAGAAGGAAGACAAAGGAAAAATTGTGCCACTTCTGTTAATTTAATCAGAAAGTTTTAATGATGTCTTATTACTTGGGTTTTTATCATAATGATTTGTTTTAATGCTGAGTTCAGTTTCAGTTTTATATTTGTTCTATCTTGTGCAACGTCCAAGGATAATTTAACTATTCAAATGAAGTAGTCCCTTAAAAAATTATCCCATGGCATGGATTTGAAGAGGCAGGCAAAAATGGAATAAAGTACTTTTCAGTAGATTAGACAATTGCAATCCAGTTCTATTGAAGCCCCACGACAGGATTGCTGCTAAATTTGATGTATATTTTCTGTTTTTTTGTTTGTTTGGTTGGCTGGTTGGTTTTTGTTTTTGAGACAGAGTCTTGCTTTGTTGCCCAGGCTGGAGTACGATGGCACAATCTCAGCTCACTGCAACCTCCACCTCCCAGGTTCAAGTGATCCTCCTGCCTCAGCCTCCTGAGTAACTGGTATTACCAGCTCATGTCATCATGCCAGGCTAGTCTTTTGTATTTTATTAGAGACGAGCTGGTCTCGAACTCCCAAGATTAGGCAATCCACCTGCCTTGGCCTCCCGAAGTGCTGGGATTACAGGTGTGAGCCACCTTGCCCATCTTGGGGTTTAAAAAAAAATGCTTCCATGATTTCACTTCTAATGGATAAAGAGAGACATCTAAGAAGTCTGACGTTTAAAGTGTTGAAAAAATGAGACATTCAGGCTACAACTGTAGTGGTCATGTTTTGAATTGTGTTTTTAAATGGGCATGGAGTTTTCTAAGAATGGGGATATATTGCAACCTCTCACATGGAAAGTTATAAATAATGTTCAAAGGGGATTGAGGAACCAGGGCCATAGAGTTTTGGAAAAATATTGGAAGATGACTTAACTGTCGGCCATTTGACCATGCTTCCTGGACTTCCTCCTGTATTATCCCTGCACCCTCTCCTACCTAACCTGTCTGCTATAGTCACAAATGCAAGTTAATCTTCTTTATCACTTTTATTGTTAGGCCTGTTCTACAGCTTCAAAAATCAGAAAATTTTAAAGTGGAAAACGGGTCTTTGGAGACTACCGACTCCTTTCCCTGGCCTGAAGCAATAAAACTATGAGCTGAAGTTCAGTGCAGTCACAGTTCAGCTTTCCAAATGCTTCCTACTAAGTTTATTTCTTTTAACTTTTTTTTCATTAAAAAGGATGGATAATAAGAACAGAATGAAATTAAATCAAAACTAAAAATTGCCCCCTCTCTATACCCTCTAGACAAGTGCCTGTCCCTTGGCTCTTCCCTACTCTGTTCACTGTGATGGCTCTCTCTCCTCCTTCAGACTCTGGCTAGTCTTCATCTCCTCAGGGAGGCCTTCCTCAGTGCATCTTCACACCCAGTGAAAAGTGTTCTAGCGTGATTAACACTATAGTTTGATGTTCTTCTGTTTGCCTCTCACATTAAACAACGAGGGTAGGGGATTTGTCTCTATCTTAATATCTTCAGCACCAAGCACAATATCCAACACTCAGTAAATATTGGTTAAATGAAAGGATGAATGAACAATTGATTGAGTAAACTAATTGGACAAACAGTTCTTTCTCAGATGTCATACGTGTGTTTCAACCTAGAGGAAGAAGGATGGTTTAGAGGTCCCTGTCTGAATCCATATTAAAGCTATAGTCATTTTATTTATACCTTTTTAAGACTTTGTGTAGAGGGAAATAACCATTACTTTGGAAAATGACTTCTGCATGATCTAGTGATTGCTGATGGGCCAAAAGGCATCATGACAGCAATTGTCCGTCCATCATTTGGTAATTTGTCGGATTCCCCCTCAGCCCATAGAGGTGATTCCAGAGGCTTATTGCAGGGTCCTCTGATTAATTGGACTGGGCCAAACTGATGTATAAAAATTTTCTGGGGCACCTGTACCAAGAAGCATTTCAAAATTTGTGTGTGATTGCGTTTAGGTTTGATTGCCCTTTTTATTTGTTAGGATGATTATAAGAATGATAAGTTCTGTATCAGAACTAAATATGTTGTGAAAACTGCTAAACAGTGACATTTGGAAAACATGGTTAAGTGTGTGTACTTTTGTAAAAGTGATTAAAGTAAAACAGGATTAGCAAAAATTTGGGGTTCAAGATTAGCATAGAAATTAATTTCTGAACAAGCAAGTTGTCTTGTTTCATTTAATTGCTTCCTGTGTGATTATATAAAGCTGAAGTTAATTTCTGATCTTTCTTTTAGTCTTTAAAACTATAGTAGTGTTTCTCAACTAAAGAATTGAGAAGTTGTATTTGTGTCTATGTCTAGAATCCTGTTTGGCTCCTCTTCATCGTGCAGTGGCCAATCAACGCCTATTTATACCCTTGTGAGTTTCTAATGAGTTGCTTCTGACCCTAATCATGTCATGCAGCGCTTTCCAGTTTGTATCTCAACCATTCCCTACTCAGTATATTTTTGAAGAAAATCCTCCTCTGCTGATTCCACCAAGCAATCCTGGGAAAGCTTCTCGAAGAGACTGCTCAGCAGCCTTAAATCTGCAAGTGCTTAATCAGTATGCAAAGCTTGCTCCTCTGGTTTGAAGAGTCAAGTTTCCATAAATGCATCTATCTCCACACAGCAGGGTGACTGTGAAGGGGGCTGACCCCTTATAGGGCCTACAATGTGGTCCAGTCTTTCTACTTCATTCAGAAATGAGACAAGGTAAAAAGAAGGGCAGGCTGAGGTGACAGATGTCTCAATGCCATACTCCCTGGCTTTGTGGAATTGTTCTAGGTTTAAGTTCCTCATTTCTTAGGCTCTATTTTTCTCCTTGCCATGGCCAGCTAAATCCCTGGACCTTTGTCATGCTTATCTTAGCTTGACATGACTTCTTAGCTTCGTAATGCAATGTTTTATACCTGGGTGAAATATAAACACACTAAGCTCTTGTTAAACTGGTACTGGTTTATTCTGGACAGTAGTTCCATTGCTCCAAATTGAAAGCTACTCTTCTTCCTGGAACAGTGAGTGCTCAGGTGCTTTTAAAACGCTGTCTATCCCAAATTTCTGAGTAGAAATCCCTTCATTTCTAGACTCCCAGTATTTTAAGACAAACATGTTTTCCTGTAATTAGGTTTTACAATGATACAGTAAATTTATTCCTGTGGCTACCTGAATATCCACTGAGAGTACAAAATGATCAAGAAAAAGAAGAAATCTGTGCATGGCATTTAGATATTAAATATGTGTGTTTGTGTATAAAGTCATGCTGGTTTTGTATATAAACACACTTTAGGAGAAACATGGTCAAAAGGATAAAGTAAATGCTAATGATAACTCTGGAATCATATTACTGAAGGAAAGTGAACATATCAAATAGCTCTATAAACATTAGAATTAAATGTGACTTGATATTTTTAAATTAAAAAGTATAATAATTTGTTGAAATTTACTGAGAAAGCACTTATTAGAATTTTAGGAACTCATTTACTCCCAAAATTTTCTTGCAGATGCTATTTACATAAGTAATAATAATATTAAACAATATTTTAAGGTATAGTTCAACCTCAATGTTTAAAAAGCATAGACAAACCTTGATACAGCAATTATAATATTTTAATCAATTATAATCAAATAGCACAAACTAGGAAAATGCTGTGTTAATAGTAATCAGTAATTATGAAAGTGTTAATTTTAGAGAAGAAAATCACCAATTATTATTTCAATAATTTATTACTAAGAAGAGAGCATAAACAGATTATTTTAGCATTCTTTGCAGAAATTACTTCCTAATGAGAGCACTGTTATGATTTCTGTCACTGACTTCCTGTGTAATCTTTTGGACAGACTTCAATGTTTCCATATAAAATATAATGATAAAAATGTTGAAACCTAATTTTAAGATGTACTGACTGCTATGGTCTGATGTTTGTGTCCCCTCAAAATTCATATGTAGAATTAAGTAGTGGGTCCTTTTGGAGGTGACTAGTTCATGAGGGTGGAATCCTCATGAATGGGATTAATCCCCTTATAAAAGAGGCCCAAGAGAGCTTGTTTGCCCCTTCTGCCATGTAAGGACACAGTGAGAAGGTGCCATCAATGAGGAATGAGCTCTTATCAGACACCAAATCTGCTGGCATCCTGATCTTGGACTCCCCAGCCTCTAGAATTGTCAAAAATAATCTGTTAATAATTATCCAGTCAGTGGTATTTTTGTTATATTAGCCCAAATAGACTAAGACGTTGCCTAAATGAAATATAAAAGATAAAACATTGTTTAGGAATAGTCATGCTTGGCCAGGCAAGGTGGCTCACTTTCAGAGGCCAAAGCAGGCAGATCACTTGAGGTCAGGAGTTCAAGACAAGCCTGGCCAACATGGTGAAACCCCATCTCAACTAAAAATACAAAAATTAGCTAGGCATGGTGGTGCACACCTGTCATCCCACCTACTCGGGAGGCTGAGGCAGGAGAATCTCCTGAACACTGGAGGCAGAGGTTGCAGTGACACGAGATAGTGCCACTGCACTCCAGCCTGGGTGACAGAGCAGACTCCATCTCAAAAAAACAAAATAGAACAAAACAGCAACAAAAAAGAATAGTCATGGTTAATATTTATAATGGGTTCACTAAACATAAATGTATAGGAATATTGATAGATTTTTAATAAGAACAATTTCCCTAGCATGAAAATCATTAATATTGCCACATATTGACATTTACATCCACTTATGACATTTAAATTCACTGCTTGTGGTTGCTAAATAAAGGGCTTGATATAATCAAAGAAATTTTAGAGCTCAAAGGATTCTGAAAGAGCAGCTAGTCCATTCAACCTCCTTATTTTATGGATGAGAAAATTAAGATTCAGAGAGAAGATACGTTCATATGTGTTCAGGGAGTTACTGCAGATCCAGGTCTCCTCAGCTCCGGGTGTTATTTTGAACCTGTTAATCCAGATCCCTGAGACTTTTGCTAGGAATCCTTATATATGCATACCAAGCGTTGTCTGGAGACCTCACATACAGTGTCCCACAGGCACTATTTTTCAAATGTACCTAAATGCCACTAGAATGAACAAAATCTGCTCATTTTAAAATGATAAGAAATTTGTGGAGTTTTTTTTGTCATTTTGTATTTGTCCCACATTTTGTCAAAACACGAAATACCACATGGAAACTACTGACATTTCTGGAAGTGAATATGAAAAGTTTGGTAGGCATGGCACAGCATCCCTTCTCCTGCCTATTTATTAAACTTTGGATGATTCAAAATGTCACAAATATGTTGTTATCTGAGCAGGTGTAGGTTTTTTTAAAAAGTTACAAATATGGAACGGGATGATGACTTAATCCCTCATTTATTATTATTATTTATCATTATTATTATTAACTATGGGAATAGAGGACCTGTAGTACTGTTGCAAAGATTAGTCTGAGACCAAGAACTCAGACAAATAACCCAATGAAATGTTATAATATGACAAGTACTTTGATATCGGTATGTACAATGTGCCACTAGAGCACTATTTCCCACGAGCTCATACCAAGTGAAATGTAATCTCCTTGTTTTATAGGCATGTTAAGATACATTGAACATTTGGTTTTAATGGCATTTTTCACTTAAGTATCTATCATAGGAACATATACCGTCTTTTATCCTGACTTACCAGCAGCACACCTGACTTTCTCTGATTTTTTTAAACACCTCTAGAGAAGCCTACAAAATGCTATGGAGTCTAATTTTTATACTTAGCACTGTCAGGACATTCTTTTTTTCTTTTTAACTTTATGGGAGTGTAAGCTCATTTTCTTTTGTTCATCACAGCATCCTTTATATGCTCAAAAATAGTCTTCTTTTTCTCAAGCAAAAGAATTCAAGTCACTCCAGTTCTTACAGAGCATACTTCCCATAATTTAGTGTACTCAGAAGTATTTGTATTAAATTGTCTTCAAGTCTGGGTGCGATGGCTCACACCTGTAATCTCAGCACTTGGGAGACCGAGGGTCAAGGATCACTTGAACTCAGGAGTTCAAGGCCAGCCTCAACAACATAGTGAGACCCTCATCTCTACAAAAAAATTAAAAATTAGTTGTGGTGGTATGCACCTGTGGTCCCAACTATTTGGGAGGCTGACATGGGAGAACCACTTGAGCCCAGGAGGTCCAGACTGCAGTGAGCTATAATTGTGCCACTGCACTCCAGACTGGGCAACAGAGCAAGACTCTGTCTCAAAAATAATAAAAATAAATTGTGTTCAGTGAAGAGACAGTGAGCAGCAGCATATCACCATAATAAAACATCCTGCCACGAGCCTGCACAAAGACAGAATTGGAAAAAACATGCCAAGGCTTTTTCCCAGATGAAACGAGGACCAGAATAAAACACTTATTACCATTCAGCAAACCAACTGGACAGTCACAATCAGAATGTTCTCAGTGTCTCCTCTGCTATTATATTCTGTGGGTTCTATGCTCGCCTTGATGTATATGCCTCATAACCATTAATTTTCCTGAGTTTAACTAGCACATCAGAAGAGACTGGCTCCCGTATGGGGAGCTGCCATTAGCGGAATTTCTCAGGAAACAAGATGCCGCAGGAGTAATGTTACATTGAAATATAGCCAGAGTTTTCTTTTTTCTTAATTAAAAAAAATTTTTTTAAGTGACAAGGTCTCACTCTATTGCCCAGGCTGAAGCTCAGTGGTGTAATCATAGCTCACTGCAGCCTTGAAACATGTGGGGTCAAGAGATCCTCCTACCTCAGCCTCCTGAGTAGCTGGGGCTACAGGCATACACCACAGTACCCAGATAATTTTATTTATTTATTTTATAGAGATGAGGGGGTCTCACTTTGTTGCCCAGGTTGGTCTCAAACTCCTGGCCTCAAGCGATCCTCCCACTTTGGTCTCCCAAAGTGCCAGAATTATAGGTATGACCCACCACACCAAGCCAAGGTCTTATTTAAGGCTTTCTCTCCATAGCAGAATCTGTCCCTCAGTTTCTCTTTGCGTTGATTGAGACAGAGTCTCAGTCACCCAGGTGGGAATGCAGTGGCACTATCATGGCTCACTGCAGCCTCGACCTCCCTGGGCTCAGGTGATTCTCCTGCTTTAGCCTCCCAAGTAGCTAGGACTACAGGTGTGCACCACCACACCTGACTAATTTTTGAATTTTTTGTACAGACAGGGTTTCACCATGTTGCCCAGGCTGGTCTTGAACTCCTGCGGTCAAGAGATTCTCCCACCTAGGCCTCCCAAAGTGCTGGAATTATAGGTGTGAGCCACTGCACCTGGCCTCTCCTTGCATTTAAAATGTTTAGAGTGCCGATAAATTTTTGCACTTAAAAGAAAAACAGGCTGGGTGCGGTGGCTCACACCTGTAATCCCAGCACTTTGGGAGGCCGAGATGGGCAGATCACCTGAGGTCAGGAGTTTGAGACCAGCCTGGCCAACATGGTGAAGCCCCGTCTCTACTAAAAATACATAAATTAGCTGGGTGTGGTGGTGTGCGCCTGTAATCCCAGCTACTCGGGAGGCTGAGGCAGGAAAATCGCTTGAACCTGGGAGGTGGAGGTTGCAGTGAGCTGAGATCACATCACTGCACTCCAGCCTGGGCAACAGAGTGAGACTCTGTCACACACACACACACACACACACACACACACACACACACACACACAGAAAAGGAAAGAAAAACAGATTTTGTAGGCTAAAAATTGGGGAACATAGAAAAAGAGTTTTTCTTTAAACTGAGAAATAGCACATACTACTAAAGAATTATGAATATTACTTGTATTAAATCAACCAATACATGTACAAGTGTTGATATTTTTAATTCTGGAATTTCCTAAAGTCATTTAAAAGGGTTGATGTTTTAAGTGTTTGACTATATTATGATTTTTATTTTTATACTACTATTACCACTGATTCTGCTGCTACTACTGTACTGTTAATACCACTAGGAGGACTTGTGGACGAATTCTGTGTTTTGCTTGTCTTAAAACACCTCCCTTCATAACTTTTCTTGGAATGTCCTGCTAAAAATTTAGTTACATTGAAAGAAATGGAAACAGTATATGAAGGAGGGATGGTTGTTAGGAAATGGAATTTGTGGAATACTCTTATTTTGGATGAGTTGCAGACTTTCAAATTCCACAGAAACCCAAATAAAAACAGTTATATGCCAGTTAAAACAATATTTCGCTCAGTCTCAGAATGGCCTGTATGTCATTTGGTGGCATGGCGCTAACCTTAACGACTGCAAAAAACAAAACCATGAGTCTACAAATCTGACAGTAGAAAAGAAAAACAACAGAGTTGATTCAAAGTGCTTCTAACATTCAGAATGTGAGTTTTGAAAACACACTAATCACATAAGTAATTTGAGCAAGTTAGTTGGTCAATTTGATAAAGTATTATTTTCTGTTCAAATTTGTCACTCTCCAAGACTCTATTATCTATCTATCTATCTATCTATCTATCTATCTATCTATCTATCACCTCTTTTTATTATGCTTGTCATGTTTAAAATGAGAAATTGTAAATGATGAAGCTATTATACTGTAACAGAAATGTAATCTATGGGCCAATTTCTCAGTTAAGATCCAATCCTAGAACATGAAAATGAGCTTGTTGTAGGCAGGCATCGTGCCTTTCATCTTTATGTATCTGGCTGGAGCATTGTCTTTGGCACAGAGTGGGTGCAAATTGATGGTTGTTGAATGAGAGAATGTCTCAAAGTAGTACTCTAAAGAGAAAGTCTACGTAGGATTCCTAACTCGTGTTTTTATTCTACCAATCATTGTAATTTTGAGGAATATTTTAAATGAGAAGACATGATTAACATGTGCAGCATTAAAAAACACCTTCTTTTTTAAATTCTAAAAAAGTATAAAGATGTATAAGAACATATATATATAAGAAGGTAAAATGAATATATAAGACAATATATAAGGTGAATATATTTTAAAGAAAATTACCCAGAGATAGCCACTGTTAATATTTTGATATATTTCTTTCCAGGCTATTTAATTTTTTTTTTTTTTTGAGACAGGGTCTCACTCCCATAACCCAGGCTGGAATGCAGCGGCGTGATCTCAGCTCACTGTAGCCTCAACCTCCTGGCTCAAGTGATCCTCTTACCTCAGCCTCCTGAGTAGCTGGGAGTACAGGCATGCACCACCACTCCCGACTAATTTTTATATTTTTTTGTAGAGATGGGGTTTTGCCATGTTGCCCAGGCCATACTTGTTTTTAATATTTGTATAAATTTGGGACCATATGGAATTTCCAGAATATATAAAACCACATGTAGATCTCATATATAAAATAACGCAGAATAAACTAAAATGAATCACCCTGTTACCAGCTTATACTTAACACATACCACTTTAAAACAAGAGCTCTCAACAAAATTAAAGTAAAAACTAAAACTAAGATCTGGATCAGTGTAATAGGACTAAGGGGACTGAGGAGTGTTCCTGGAGCTCTAGATTGTCAGTATTCCCAAAGCGTTGCTACTTTGTAGCAAGACTCCACTTTCAAATGAGGACGTTTCCTCTTAGTAACTTACGGAGTACTTATTCTCTGAGTTTTAGGAGAGTTTGATAGACAAGAGTTTTCAGTAAGTTGCAGGTGTACATAATGGCAGCCGATCAAAAAATACCTTTGCAAATATCTGTTGTGATGATTTAGCTAAAAATCTGAATGGTGGATTGCAACAGTTGATTACACTGAGTTAACTGATGAGGTGACTAGTGGAGAAGTGGGGTAGGGTGAGGAGTTTTACCCTCAGGTAAATTCAAAGAATTGTCAGCAGCCTGTTCCATTACAAAGCAAACATACAGAATACTGTCAAAACCAGAGCTCTTTTATTAGAATTAGGATGACGCTTGGGATGCTAACCACAATAATATGAACCTGTGGGCCACACTGCAGATGTACACACAGTAAATCAGAACTGAGTATCCAAACTGCAGTAACCTCTTTTCTTTCTAATTCCTAAACCACTGTGGCACATGATTTCTTTGGGGCCAAGAAGTTGCCTCACACCACAAAATATTAAAAGGCATGGCATTATTTTGAGGTATCAAATGAAAAGATCACTTTGAACTACTACTAAATTTGTATTCTGTTGGCTTAAAAGAGTTAACTCACTTTCAGAGACATTTACTAACTGAAAATGAATTAGGCACCAAGGAAAAGAAGGTTAATAGTAGTCACTCAGTTTTGATTGATATGCCTAAAAAGTCCCGCTCAAGGCTCATGTTATTGAGATGGAGAATCCACTTGTAAGTGGATCAGGTAGCGTATTGCTCACTGTTTAATAGTTCTTCACCTAGATTTTCTGATAGAATGAATGCACGGCTTCTACAACAAAATCAAATAGGATAACTGGCATGAAGCTATCCTGTTTGAGGAAGGAAGAATAAGGGAAGGTCTAAACAACCACATGTTACCAGTGAAATAGAATGACTGTAAGAATGCCCTCAAAGAGAGTATTTTACTCAATGACATTTTATCTTTAATAACTTTTTGCAATTTGGGAAAAAGAAGTACTGCTAATGCAAGAAAATGATTCTTGGGAAGTGGTACAGGGAAAATATTAAAATAAAGTCATCTGCCGGGCGCAGCGGCTCACGCCTGTAATCCCAGCACTTTTGGAGGCTGAGGCGGGCAGATCACTTGAGGTCAGGAGTTTCAGACCAGTCTGGTCAACATGGTGAAACCCCGTCTCTACTAAAAATACAAAAATTAGCCGGGTGTGGTGGTGTGAGCCTGTAGTCCCAGCTACTCCAGAGGCTGAGGCAGGAAAATCGCTTGAACCTAGGAGATGGAGGTTGCAGTGAGCTGAGATCACACCACTGCACTCCAGCCTGGGCAACAGAGCAAGACTCCATCTCAAAAAATAAAAATAAAAATACAAAAAAAGTCATCACTGCATTAAGAAAAACATTTTAAGGATTTGTTTTAAAAATTCAATCAAAGAATTTGCAATTCAAGGAAGCCCAGCTCAATTATAAGACTGATTTCCCAATTTTAAAATGGGCAAAAGATTTGAATGGATAACTTATCAAAAAAGAGATACCAATGGCTAATAGTCACATAAAAAGATGCCAAACATCATTTGTCATATAGGGAAATATGAATTAAAACTACAATGAGAGGCTGGATGCTGTGGCTCACACCTGTCGTCCTGGTACTTCGAAAGGCTGAGGTGGGAGGATCACCTGAGGCCAAGAGGTCAAGACCAGCTTGGGCAACATAAGCGAGACCCTGTCTCTACAAAAAATAATTTTTTTTTTAATTAGCCAGTTGTGGCAGCACATGCCTGTAGTCCTAGCTAATCAGGAGGCCAAGGTGGAAAGACCACTTGAGCCCAGGAGTTTGAGGCTGCAGTGAGCTATGATCATGCCACTGCACTCCGGCCTGGGCAACAGAGGGAGACCCTGTCTCTAGATAGATAGATACATACATACATAGATAGATAGATACATAGATAGATAGATAGATAGATAGATAAAACTACAATGAGATACCACTTCATATCCACTAGAATGGCTATCATAAAAAAGATAGACAACAACAAGTGTTGGCCATACTATATTATAGATTATAGAGAAACTAGACCCCTTATACATTGCTGGCAGTCATATAAAATGATACAGCCATTTTGAAAACATGTTTGGTATTTTCTTATAGGGTTAAACATAAATTGACTATAGGATCCATCAGTTCTACCTGTAAGTATCTACTCAAGAGAAATTAAAACATATGTACACAAATATTTGGTTGCTTAGAGCAACATAATCCATAATTGCCAAAAAGTGGAAACCAGCTAAACATCAGTTAAGTGGTGAATGGATATACAAATTCTACATATCCATGCAATGGAGTACTACTCAGCAATGAAAAGGAAGGAACCACTGAAGCATCCTAAAACATTTATGAACCTCAAACACATTATGCTAAGTAAAATAAGCCAGATCCATAAGATCACACATATTGTATGATTCAGTTTATACAAAATGTCCAGAATAGGCAAATTTCTCGAGACAGAAAGTAGAGTAGTGGTTGCCTGGGGCTAAGGATGAAAATGGGACTAGCTATAAACGTGCATAAGGGACAAAAGGTATGGCCTGAATAGATTACTAAACAGGGTTATATAGGGGGCCTAGGATGGGCTGTTGGATGCTCTCGATTGTACTGCTGGGGCGGGGTGAGGGGGCAAAGTGATGAATAAATTTAGAAAATTGAAAGAACCATGGGCTTAGAAAGTACAAGGCAACCTTTTGGCAAGGAGGGTCCAGAATCACTGGCTTTATAACGTGAATGGGACAGGTTTATTGTGGGAACTCCGGAGATCCAAATCGAATGAAATAGACTTTAGGTATGGGATTTGGATGAATATCAATTTACTTGGTTTCATGCATATGGCGATAAAAAATTATCTTTGTGGAGGGGGATGGGGTAAGGGCCGTAGACAAAACCAAAGGTGGAGCAAAAGGTAACAGCTTTGTTCTAGGTGTGGTGGTGGGTACAGGTAGGTGCTAAATTTAGGGTAAACCAGGAAGAAGGAAGCCTGGTCTTTGGGCAAAATCACTTCAAACTAAATAATGTTAGAGCAGCAAAGGGGCCATTTTGTGGATGAGGAAACCAGCTCAGGGAGATTCAGTGACTTCTGAAGATCACACAGTATTTGCATTTGAAGAAAATGCAGAAATGTGAATTGGCAAAACAAGTATTTACCATCTATCGTAGCTTAAAATAATAGGGAAAACGAACAGAGACTTAACTGTGAAGTGATTAGCCACCTAGCCACCACTATCTCAGGTTTCAGAACCTGAGATAAAATTCAGGTTTCTTGACTCCCCAGTTCAGTGGTCTTTCCACTACAGACTACTGTGTACATAATAATTACTTTGCACTTTAGTCAGACAGTTTTACCTTTTCTTTAAGCTGGTAATTGATTGTGCTCTGCTAAGGAGAATGTAGTAGATAGAGGAGGAGCTCTACTAAAGAAATGCCCCAACTTGGAAAAGCAACCATTAGTTACTGATGTGGTGGAATTCGAAGGTAACTCAAGTGTCAACAAATCCAGATGGGACACATTTTATTATAAACCTTGTGGTCCAAAAAGGAAAGACTAAAGCAGGTGGAAAGATCAGCTCAGCTTTATCAGTACTGGAGAAAACTACCTATTGTCTATATCTGAAAGCTTTTCAACACAGTTGCAGTGAGACCACCTACAATATAGGCAATGCTACTGATTGGCACATTTACATAATTAAAAATAAAAGGATAATAAAATGTATGTTCTTTGCTTGGTATGTTTTGCTGTAAAAGAACTTTTTAAAAGGTCATTAAAGTCAATACAATCCAGTGGCGGCAAGAAGATGTTTGCATAGACCATTTCATTCCAGGCAATATCACAGACTGCCACAAACGGAACCAGGCAATACCTAATGTGGCCTGTAAGAGGCCCAAGAGATAATTAAGAGAGAAGGAAAAGAAGACAGAGAATTAAAAAGTAAAAGGAAAGGAAAAAGGAAAAAACACCTAAAGTAAGAGTAGGAGGGGGTAAAAAAAGAGAGAAGAAAAGAGAAGCGTAAAAGAGAAAATAGAGACATACATGGTAGGCAGCCAGTTGCTTCAAGACAATTTACCTTATCCTGCCTTGTACAGTGTCTCTTTGCCTTTCTCAATTTTCAACCCCACTATAATTCAAATTTTTATAGTACAAGAAATACTATGTTCATTGTAGAAAATTAGAAAACACAGACAGAAAAAAATAAACATTAGCTATAATCTCACCATCTAGTTAAAATCTCTAATAACATGTTGGTCAATAATATTGTCATCTTATTTTCAGACATTTTCTTTTTATAAGAATCATACAGCTTTTAAGGCCGGGCACGGTGGCTCACGCCTGTAATCCCAGCACATTGGGAGGCCGAGGCAGGCGGATCACGAGGCCAGGAGATCAAGACCATCCTGGCTAAAATGGTGAAACCCTGTCTCTACTAAAAATACAAAATTAGCCGGGTGTGGTGGCGGGCGCCTGTAGTCCCAGCTACTTGGGAGGCTAAGGCAGGAGAATGGCGTGAACCCATTGGGAGGCGGAGCTTGCAGTGAGCTGAGATCAAGATTGAGTCACTGCACTCCAGCCTGGGCAACAGAGTGAGACTCCATCTCAAACAGCAACAACAACAACAGCAACATACAGCTTTTATTGCTTTGTACCATTTTTTCCCACATAAAGTATTATGACTATTTTTCTACCTCAATAAATACATGCTTCTAAAATATCATTTTAAATAATTGCTTCCTTTTAAATTTAATTCTATAAGAATTTAATTTATAGGATACATATAGCTCTTTATATGCTTTTGCTACATCAGTTTTACATTATTGTCATGTTTGTAAAATCTCAGAATAACTAATATAAATATTTTGTGGCATAGCATAAAAAAGTTATTTAATGTCTATTCCTATAAGAATTAGAACCAGAAACAAATGATGTATGTGATATAGGCCTGTCCTGGGCTGTGCCGAAGAGGAGTAAGAAGCCTAGTTGGAGAAAGAAGGTGAGTATTCTTATTCCTCACTGTATAACAGATGTATATGAAAGAAGCTATGTGTTCATCAAAAGAATCACATTGTAATTTGAGACATACAGAAGTACAGATGCACCTCAACTTATGATGGGGTTACTTCCCAATAAACACATCATAAATTGTAAATACTGTAAAGTCAAAAATGCATTTAATACACCTAACCTACCAAACATCATAGCTTAGCCTAGCCTAACTTAAACATGCTCAGAACACTTACATTAGCCTACAGTCAGGCAAAATCATCTAACACAAAGCCTAGTTTATAATAAAATGTTGAATATTTCATGTAATGTATGGAATACTGTTCTGAAAGTGAAAAAAAAATGGTCGTATGGGTGCTTAAAGTACAGTTTGTACCGAATGCTGTCACTATTGCTTTCGTACCATCGTAAAGACAAAAAACCTTAAGTTGGACCATCGTAAGTCAGGGGCCTTCTGTATTTAGAAGTATGTATATATTTATTGAACTAGAAAAATAGTTGTATTTTTGCCTTTTTGAAGAAAATGCAACATGTGAATTGGCAAAATAAGTATTTACCATCTATTTTAGTTTAAAATAATAGGGAAAACCGACAGAGACTTAATTGAGAAGTGATTAGCCACTTTATCGTTGGTTTCAGAAACTATACTGCACCAGTTCTTTAGAATGTTTCCAGATGTTTCAGACCTATAGTTATTTGTTGTTAGTAACTCACATTTACCTACTAGAGAGATGTTATGTGGAAATATGTCGATTGTACTTGAGGAAGGACATCTAACTCAACTTTCACAGGTGAATTCAGCGATTTCTTTAAATGATTTGTATTTTCCAAAGTGATTATCTCAGCTGGCACTTCGAAATATAATCTAAAGCCTTCTGTTAGCCACAAATCCACAGAAATCCATAAAACCTAGAGTGTTTCATGTTATTATTATCAAACATTTATTGAACTTTCTACTAATGATCTTCTAGTTATTATATAGAGCCAAACATTCATTTTGTTATTCCTATGTAGAGAGACTCACAATCTAAATTTGGTCTAAATAGAGTGGGAAATTCACAAAAATTATGTTCATGAGGTTAAATAGTCAAGCAATACAAGTTCCTGTTTCCCATTGTAATGATTTACAAATGACAGTGGTAACAATCTCAAACAGAGAATTCAAATCCTTCAGTTAGCAATTCTTGCAATTATTTTTTAGCTTTATGGGGTTAACTTTATTGGGGTTGATTAAATTCAAGCTGTGATCTTTCATAAAAACTCAATAGAGAGTCCAGATGGCCCAACAATACCTCCTTTTGTGAGAGGAAATAACTTGAAGATTTTGTCTAATTAAAGTATTTGTGCTGGTGGGATCTGAATGAATTGTTTTTCCTTTAAAAGGAGTCTGCATTACAAATAATCTTTACAAAATACGAATTATTTAAAAATAGTGTGCTGCTTTCAGTATTTCAGTTATGTCCTAGGACTAGAGTTTCATGAGCATGACATTTTAAAGCTAGACTCTGATACCATCTTTGGGATTTCAGTCTGAAAATACAGTTCTGGAATATCAACAGAACAAGGCTGTGTGGAACAAAATGCCAAGAAGGTCAATGCACTACTTTCCTCCTGTTCCAGTCCCATGCTCACAATTACCTTAACTCTTGTCAAAATATTTTCTACAGTAACAGCCAAGACATAATTAGCACCTTTTCTTCATGTTGAAAATATCATTGGTACCCATAAAACAAATTTGGGGAAAGCCCTTAAGCACCTTAATGCAGCAAATGGCTACTGTGGATTGATACACCATTATTTGCCTAGCTGAAGGATTAATATCCCATCTTATCCTGCCTTCTTCCTCCCCTCAAGTAGGCCTAATTGTATGAGATAGAGAGAAAAAGAGAAGTCTAGGCAGGAGATGGGGATAAGGTAAAGAGTGGAAATACAGTTGGAAATTAAGCAAATATCTTACAAGTGTTTTGGCTATTTAGCTATTTACATCATTATTCTCCATCCTCTTTGTGTATTTTGTCTGTAATCAAGGTGATATTCTGACATAGGTTGTTCTCCAAAAGCCTGTCTTGTATCAGACAGGCTAAAGTATTGGTCAATTCTGTCATGAGTGGTAAGGCCCTTTATTTGGCTTTTCATATGTTCCTGATTGAGACTACAGAAGCCAAAGTTGTTATGATCAAAGATTTCCAGCAGGGGGTGTAGCTGCCTCTATAGGGTAAGTTCTTTTGAAGCCACAACATATGAAACATTTGAATATTGCAGTATTACCACTAATGGTAGAAGCTGGAATTATGATAACTTTTTTTATGACTGTCATGTCTTTTGATCTCAAAAAGACCATGCATATTAATACTTTATTAGGATGTGATGAAGAACTAGAGATTTATGAAGAAAATTTAAATTAAAAACCGAAAATGCCTGACAAATCTTATTCTAATTTTTTCAAAGTAAACGAGGAACAAAGAGTCCAGTTATTTTAATTATCCAGTACAGCAGAAGAGAGGCTTAACTTTTTTATTCTAGATAAGAAGAGTAGTTGATTTGAGAGGGCTTGTTAATATTTATTCCATTTCCATTTCTGTCCGATATTTGTGCGCGCGCATGTGTGTGTGTGTAAATAAGTTACCTATTTTCTTAAAAATTATCCTTTTGAGTAGGGAGGGTGGGTGTTTTAAAGCTTTTTCTCTGAAGTCTTGGCTCCTGATCAATTTTTAAAGATGCCATCTTACATATTTTTCCTCCTGCTCTTTGATGCCTTTTATTTATGGATATATAGGCATTATTAGCCACAGAATTGTGGCCCCCATTTCAGATTTTTATTGATACAGAAAACTCTATTTTTTGAGAAGAGCAAATTACATACAATAACTTATTTGTACTGGTAAACACCTTTAGACTATTAGTATTAATAAGAAACGAAGTCCTAAATTTCCAGGCTCCCTAAATCAAGATAAAGAACTGAAAATAATGTCGACTATGAAAATCATTGTTTGGAAATCGTGATCTTTTTTTTTTTTTTAACGTCTTCTGGTGTCTTCATTATAAGAAAATAAATGAGATTTCAAGTCTTCCCTGCCTCCAGTATCATGTCCTATAACTGAACATTACACCTTTTTAACGTTTTCTTTAGAAGCCCTGATTTATTTGGCTTTGGTTTATGTTGATACATGTCCATGATTATTAAAATTTCTGATTATTTAGGACATAATTTTTAAGGTATCTTTAGGGTGTACACTCTATAGTACTTAACATCTTATTCAGGTTATGACTTTGAACTGCATCATTATAACACTAAAAAGCAACCTTGGCTAACTTCAGTACCTTACGTAACATAAGAAATAAAGAATAACTTGAACTTAAAATACTTTTTATATGTTTACTTCGGGTATTCTTAAGGGCTTTCAGTACAAAGATAAAAACATGCGTTGGAATGCATCAACATTCCAACTTACATAAGTGGTGTAGATACCTATGGCATTAGTACCACATTTTGATGGTTGGACCACCCACCAAATTCCCTTCTCTCCTTTTTTACTTCTTTTTCTTTCTGTTTGCTTTCCTTGCAAGTTTCCTTCCGCATCCTTCTTTCCCACCTACAATTTGTAACTGAAAGAAAGAAGTAGCTACAGACCTTACCTAACCTACTCTTAACCTACTTGGTAGGTAGGGTTCAGATGCAAGGGAGTGGCTCGAATAAAGCATTTTAGTTATGCCTTTTAGAAATTAGGGAGCAAGAGATATATAGAAAAATTAGAAATGTCTCTTCTACCTTTATTAAGTCTACCTTTGAGAAATATGAAGGGCAGGAAGACGGAAAAACGAACAGAACTTCTGCTGGAATATTGTGACAAATTTACTGACAAATATTTTCTAATAGATTTTTACCAACAGGCAGTTTTTGTTTTCTTTACTGACAGACCGTAAATGTACTTCTGGTTGGCAGCAGCTGCATCATTATAACACAAAAGCAACCTTGGCTAACTTCAGTACCTTATGTAACATAAGAAATAAAGAATAACTTGAATTTAAAATACTTTTTATATGTTTACTAACATTAAACTATTTTCAATGCAGGAAATAAATATTTCCCCAAAGAGGAATCCCCCCTCAATTACTTTCTTTCAGACTTAACAAATTGGAGTAGATGTGGTTTTGCTCATTCTTTTATCTGCTGGCAACTATTTTAAGTCTCCTGTGCAAGGCAGATTCCGATGACCTCGGGAAAGTCACAGGACCTCAGTTTCTTCAATGGTAAAAGCAAAGGCAGTGGTTTCTACCGTCCTTTCTCACTGCACCATTCAGCGTCAGTGCCCTCATGAGAAACACACCCAAAGCCCAGTGTGCTCTACCCCAAAACTTGTGAAATTTCTAGAGTCTCAAAAAAGTGAATATGTTTAAGGCAGTATAATAAAAGCCAGGTGGACGACAGTTCCTAAAGTTAGGCTGGTAGTGGCGTGAACAGGGGTCTTTTGGGCCACCCTGAGACCCGCCCCACGGGGCTTCTCGATCCACGTCTTGGCTTCTCGCTCCACTTTCACAGAACGTACTGAATCAGGGGCCTGCATCCCCGTGCCGTGCCGAGCCGACGGAGAAATGGACTCCTCTTCTCGCTCCTGTGGAGTTTCGTCTTCTGGGTGAGTGTGGCACCGGGTCCTGGGCGGGTGATGTCTGTAGTTGGCGAGCGATCCTCAGCCAGAAAACTGGCTGCGCACACAGGCGCAGACACGCGAACATGTTCCTGCGAACGAGCTTGGGCGCATGTTTTCCTCCCTTGCTTTCTTTAATGCTCAGAGACCATAAGGGGATTTATCGAGAAGCATTCGGTGCCCATGCCCGGTTTGGAACCGCGAGCACAATATCTGGTTCCTTTGCAGTACGGTGGTTTGCTCTTGAGTTACGACCAGAAACCGGAACAGAAGGAAAGGGAGAAGCAGGGGAGGTTCGGGGACGACGGCGCTCCGGGCAGTAAGGCAGTAGCTTCCAAAGCGTGGAGGATGGGACTGAGGAGGAGCAGAATACGGAGAAAGAGGGAAGCTGAGGAAAAATACTCACGCCAATGGGTAAAAGGGAAAAGGTGAGAAGGAATGGAGTAGGGGAGGGAACCAATGGTGGGAGAGGCGGAGGAAGAAGGGGGAGGGGTAGAAGCCAATGGGGGAGTGGAGGGGAGGGAGAAGCAGAGGGGAGGAGGGAGCGGGGACGCGAGCGAGGACGCGGCCCCGCGCGCTCGTCCCCCTCCCTCCGACTGGATAGCTCGCGCCTTCCCAGGCTCCCGGGAGACGAGGGCAGGGGCGGGGCCGTGCCGGGTGCGCGGCGCGGGAGGCGTCGCGAGGTGAAGGGGCGGGGACGGGGGATTGTGGGGAGGGCAGCGCGGGTTCGCGCGCGCGCGCGCGTCCCGTCCAGGCTGCGCCGCCGCGCCGCCGCTCCGCCCCCGGTCGGGTGTGTGGCTGCGCGCGCCGGGAGAGATGCTGAGGTAAAGTTCGGGAGAGAGGGAGAGAAATCCGTCAGCGCGAGGGAGCCCGAGTGGCCGCCATTACTGAGCCCGGCGCGGCGGCGGGCGCTGGGGAAGGGGGGAGGGACGGGCCGCCGCTGGTGGCGGGGAGGGAGGGAGGGAGGGTGGGTGAGCTGGCTGCGGGAGCCGTGGGGCTCAGGGTTTCGGGGCGTGTGTGTCGGGGAGGGCGGGGGGAGGTGGCTGAAGGGACGCGCCGCTCGGTGAGCGCGCCGAGGAAGAGAGGCGAGCGGAGAGTGGAGGAGGAGGCGGCGGCGGCGGGAGCGGTCCCCAGGAATGTCGCTGCCGCCGCCACCGCCGGGGCCGCTGCCGTTGAGGAGGAGACGGAGGAGACCGACGTTGTTAGGTAGGACCTTGCGGACCCCGCTCCTCCAAGCCTGCCTGCCCCCTCCCGGACGGGGACCCTCCTGCGGCTAGCTGCCCCGCTCGGTCGCCGCTGCCGGTTGTAACCAGTTGAAGGGGCTGGGGCCCCGCGGCCGCCGAGGGGAGCCTGGCGCTGCGCTCGGTTTTCGCAGGCCGGGCGGGCAGCAGCTGCAGCGTTAGGGATACGTTCGGCGTGAAGGGCAGAGAGGCCGGGGGAGGGGGTGCTTTCTCCACAGGTGACGGGGCCAGGGTCGGCGGAGGCCTGATGCTGGCCGGGGATCGCCGGCCCCGCCAGGCGTCCGCTCTCGCCCGCCGCCTCACTTGCTCGAGTCTCGGGTGGTCCGTCGAGAGGGGAGGTGGCGGTGTCCGTTGGCCGGGTTGCTGCTGTTAACGAGTTCCACCTGGAAAGGGTACACGGGGCGGGTGCAGATTCGCGGAAACACAGTCTCGGTTGCAAACTTAAACGCCTTGTAGGGGGGATCGGCCCTTTCACTTTCCCTCATCTCCTCGACTCCTCCCTGGGTTCTCTTCACCAATTTTCCATCTGCTTTGAAGCTTGGAGTAAGATATGAGAAGTTGCACTGCGCATCCAGAGCCCAGAGTCCTATGGGCTGACTGCGACTGGGTTGAGGCTTTGATACTGAGTTTTCGCTAGAATAACCTCCAGATTCTTCCTCTCTTTCCACTAAAGAAAAGTATCGGGGTGGGGGTGGGGAGCCGCGCGGGAGCGCGCGCGCACTTATCCACACAGAAATACTCCCTCTCACCCTCCCTCTTCAGCGTTATTAGAAATGCAAGAGAGCTGGAGGCTCGGGGTGTAGCTGAGGTTGAAAGGTGCACGGAAGTAAGGGCAAACTGTTATTAGGCCGTTTAGTAAAATCCCGAAAAAGTTGTAGGGGAGACGCTTATACTTCTACCATGTGATAGAAATTCGGATTTGGCCATCGCTTAATAAATGGGAATTCAAATATTTTGAGATAGAGCAAGATAGGCATATAGATGGGTTTGTGCTTACGTTTTAAGTTTAAATTCTTATCGATCATTTATTTTTTCCTTTGTGATAGGCAGGAAACTGAATTTTTTTTTAAATGTTCAGGTGTAAAACAGCAAAATGCTTCGCTGTATTTACTAGTACTTGCTTATGTTGCTTTCTACAGGTAGGGGCGGGGGGCGAGTTTGTCAATTCCACTTAAATCCAGAACCAGTATTCAGTTAGAATGTTAGGTGGTGTTTATCCGCATGAAGGATCTCGTTCACTTCATGGGAGCTTGCTCTACATTTCCACTTAAAATGGTTCTCCTAACAAAAATTTCATCTAGATGCAGCGATTAGACATTTGGAATAATGTTTGGTTTAAAAATACGTTAATGAAACCTTTTGCTGTCAATTCTAGTTTATTTGTACTGTAATACGATAAAACGGTATTCTTATTCAGTGTTTGTAGATAAGTATTACTAACCGTCTAGGTAACCTACTAGATAGTTTCTTGAGTAAGATTTTGCTTTCATTTTAAATTCCTTTCTCATTTTTTGCTTTCATCTATCCTTTGTATACTAATTGACCTCCATTACCTTTATCTGTAGTACAAAGAGCGGTAAGTATGTGTCACCAAAAACTTGCAAAGACACTGGAGCAATTTATGACTAAACGCACTGGAGTGAAAGGCTGCGCATACCTATGCTTGTAACTTTCAAGAAATAGCACTATTGATCTAATTGACTTAAAGCAGAATCAGACGGTACAGATGATTAAATAACTATTGATTTGGTTGTCTTGTGTAGGCTGTGTTTTTAAACCTAGATCAACATGTCTTATTTTGCCATTCTTTGTACATTAATTATTAAGAGTACTGGGGAGTGAGGTGGGTTACACTTTGATGTAAGAATTGCGGCAGAATTCTGTTATCTTTATGAGTTTTGTAGTGTCCCTCCCCATTTAAACGACCTTAGCAATTTTTAAAATGTGTTGCAAAATTATTACCTTAATTCTGTCACAAGATACTTATCCTAAATGTTTTGAAAACCGTCTCCCCTTCTTATTTGTGTTTGAAAAGCATATTAGCACAGTCATTTTTTTGGAGAGTTATTTTGACCTTGAAAGTTAAGATTATTTAAGGAATGAATATTGTATTTGCATTCCTTTTTTGGATTTGAAGTAGCGATAATAAGTTTTCTAACTCACTTTTTTTAATTGAAGAAAAAGTTAGGTCTCATAAAGACTTTACTAAACTTTACCAACATTGGCAGGATGTAAGATGAGTGTTGGCCTTTAGTGGTCACTTCTTAAATATGAAATGGCATAATAGAGATTTTCTTGGTAGCTACAGAATAAGTTTTGTCGCAACTGTAGTTTCCATAGATACTATTTTAAGAACTATTTATTTGGGTTGTATGGTCCACAGTTTTTTCTTTGCATACCAAGAAGGTGTGTAGTAATATAATTGGCTGAAGAAGCATTGTACAGTGTTGTTTTAGTGATGTCTATGTTCCTAAAAGATACTTGTATTATATATTTAAAGTACACCAAGGGAATTTAATTTCTAAAAGACCTGTGAAGAAACATCAGTAGATTCATCATTCAGTAATTTGAGTAATCAGGCTCTTGTTTTAAGTGCAGGCTTTTGTCGATTATTTTATTGAAATAGGAAAAACCATATTAGAAATTAAGAAAAATGCTTCAATGCTAAGAATTTTAAGTATGAACTTTAATTGGTTTTCAAACTCTGTTCCTTGGATTCCTGTGGGTTTTTTTCCTAGATGCCTTGAGACTTCCTATGACAACCCACCCTCCCAAACCAGGACAGCTTCTATTTTCATGTATTAAGTGTATTGTATTTAAATATAAGAATATTTAACTTAATTAAATATAAGAAAAATATTTATTATTTAAATATAAGAAAAATAACTAATGGGTACTAGGCTTAATACCTGGGTAACAACAAACCCCCTTGACATGAGTTTACCTTTAAAACAAACCTGCACATCTACTCCTGAACTTCAAAGTTAAAAAAAAAATTCCCCTTAAAAAAAAACAAAACTGATCTGCATTAATTTTTTTTAAGTCTCTGATTCGTTATTCATTAGTTCAGATTACTTTTATTTAGCACTTACTATGTGCCTAGCCCTGGAAATACCAAGATAAATTAGATATAGGTATAATAGCTCAAGCTGTATAAAGGAGTAAATAGTTAAAAGTATTAAGAGGTGCAGGAAAGAGAATGCCTGTTTTCCTCAGGACCTCTGGGAATCATTCATAGAAGAAGAAACATTTTGAGTTTTAATTGCAAGCAGGAGTTTAGATGTAAGAGAGACCAAAAAGGATAATTTTTTTTTTCCCCCCACTGTGTTTTGGAAGCTGTCTACAGTACTTTAGATTTGCAGGGAAATGAAACAGATTGTTGATGCTTGGTCATATCTGTGTTTTACTTCATAGAATTATTACTTGGGAAAAAGAGCATAACCTTGTAATTTTGTGGTTAAAATGACTAGTATGTTACTTGCTTAGAGTCTCAAGCTTTTCATCATGAAGAGTTAATGGTAAAAATGGATATTCATTTTTCTAGTGTTAGATTAGATTTAGCCTATTTTATTATCCCTGACCAATATTTTATTGAGCAGCTAGGCACTGAGTGATACAAAAAGTATAAAATATTGCTCCCTTAAAAGATCTTTTAACTTCTGTGGAGAGACAGCAAGCATGACACTTTAAGAATTTGAGGTATATTTAGGGAAGTACATACTGATTTAAAAGTTAGTAGAAAGGAATTTAGCTAAAGGAAGTGTTACTTGGATTACATACTGATTTAAAAGTTAGTAGAAAGTTATTTAGCTAAAGGAAAGTATTACTTGGAAGTAGCATACAATTGGGATAATGAAGGGGGAAAAAGACATTTAGGGAAGTTAATGACAGTGTGGACTGAAAGCACAGGTAAGTAGAGGACAGATTAGCAGATGGGAAGAAAATATAAAAATGTGTAGTCCTAGCTACTTGGGAGGCTGAGGCAGGAGAATGGCGTGAACCCAGGAGGCGGAGCTTGCAGTGAGCCGAGATCGCGCCACTGCACTCCAGCCTGGGCGACAGAGCAAGACTCCTTCTCAAAAAAAAAAAAAAAAAAAAAAAGATGTAAGAGCATCAGTTTTGTACCTTATGAGCCAGAGTGAAAGATTTGGAGAAGGTATTAATGCAAGAGTGATAGAAGGGGTGATGTAGAAATAAACACGTAACGTTGGCATAACTATTTGTCTAGTTACTGTATTTGGTTTGTCAAACAGCCTTGGAAAAACTCTCACCTTGGCTTCTGATATGGCATAATTTGTTCATTTTCTTTCTGTTGATCATGTTCTTTTACTGATTCAAAATTGTTTCTTTTTATACTTACCTTTTCAGAGCCAAGGTAATATCTCTTTTAGAGAACTAGTAAAAAATTAACATTACTATAATCTAGAGCAGCGATCCTTTTTGGTACCAGGGACTGGTTTTGTAGAAGACAGTTTTTTCACGGAACCGGGGGCATGGTTTTGGGATGAAACTGTTCCCCCTCAGATCATCAGGCATTAATTAGTTAGATTCACAAAGGGAGCAAGCAACCTACAGTTCTTGATCCTCTGAGAATCTATCGCTGCTGTGGAGGCGGAGCTCAGGTGGTAATGCCCGCTTTCCAGGCCACCCCTCACCTCCTGCTGTGCAGCCCAGTTCCTAATAAGCCACAGATGGTTACCAGACCGGGGTTGGGGACCCCTGATCTAGAGAATTTAAGATCTAGATTTCTACTCTTCTGTATTAACCAAGTATCTAATTCTTCATATGTTTTCTTTAGAAAATAAGAGTATTACACCAAATGGTCTCATAGGTAATTTTCTGAAGTTTATGATGCTGAAATTTATGTTAATAATCCTGAACTTGCCTTGTTTCATTACCGAGGTTTCATTTGTCTTTGGAAATAACACCTGAAAGTGAAATGAACCACCATCTATTGCTGAAACTGATTAGTTTTTCATTAAGAAACACTGGCTTAATGTGTTGCCTTGTATTTCTTATGTCTAGTAGCCAGTTACCAAGCTCTCTTTGTCTTGCATTGCTCTTTTATTGATTAATTAATTAATTTTTTTTTTGAGATGGGGTCTTGCTCTGTCACCCAGGCTGGAGTGCAGTGGCACTCAGCTCACTGCAGTCCGCCTCCTGGGTTCAAGCTATTCTCCTGCCTCATCCTCCTGAGTAGCTGGGATTACAGGCACACGCCATCACGCCTGGCTAATTTTTGTATTTTTAGTAGAGATGGGGTTTCACCATGTTGGTCGGGCTGGTCTCGACCTCCTGACCTCAAGTGATCTGCTGGCCTCTGCCTCTCAAAGTGTTGAGATTACAGGCATGAGCCACTGCACCTGGCTGGATTGCTCTTTTAAATTCTGTGATAGTTCACGTGCATTTAGCCTGTAGTATTTGTCTATCTCTTGGGCTCTGTGCCCAGTCTTGTATTCCTCCTCTAGACTAATCTGTAGTGGCTTCTCTATTGCTTATGACAAAGTCTAACTCTTGTTTTCCCTTGAGACCTAGGGTCATAACTTATATGTTCAAAACAGTATTTCTTTCCAACATGGGTACTGTGGTCAGCCATTCTACCCTAATTGTACACCTGGAGAGACGACTTTACAATCCAAATCTCGTCTATTTTTTAAGGTTCACTCAAATCCTTCCTCTTCATTGAAACCATTCATCTGTTTCAGGGGTCTGCAAACTATGGCCTCTGGGCCAAATCTTGCCTACTCTCTATTTTTGTAAAATGGCTTTCTACATTTTGAAATGGTTGGGGGGCAAATTAAAAGAATATTTTGTGATATGTGAAAATTACATGAAATTCAAATTTTCCTAAGTAAAGTTTACTGTAACATAACCATGATCATTCATTTAAGTACAGTCTATGAGTGCTTTTGCAGTATGACAGCAGAGTTGAGTAGTGTGACAGACACTGTGCAGCATGCAAAGCCTAAAATATTTACTGCCTGGCCCTTTACAGAAAAAGTTTTCCAAACCCTGAGTTATTTCAACTTGTACTTTCATTTCTTTGAATTCCTGTTGCATTTATTAGTACCATGGTATAGCACATTGCCTTTATCTCCTTGGCTATGGTACTGTTTATTATTATGCTTTTTAATGTAGTGTGGAAAGTGCTTTTCAGTCTTTTTTTCCCTTAATCCATACTTCCTTTAAAGCTTACACCTCTTGTTGATATTCTTATTCAATCAGGTGCTCTCATTTTAAAAATTGTTAAGCCGTATCTAAAGTTGTTTGTATGATGAAAATGACGGTTCCTCTACTATATGGCATTGTAATATTGCATATCAAATTATGCCCTTCTCCCCACTTCTTGGTTCTCCAAGGTGGAGAGAAAAGGACTCAGACACTGGAAGGAAGGTGAACTACCAAGCCATAGTTACTGGCTTGGTAGACTTTCCTATATGTACCTTTATACATTGAAAATCTCTGACAAAGTTAAACTGATAGTAGCTAAGCACAGTAAATAAATACTTATAGTTGTTTACCTAGGTTGATGAACATGGGATGACCTTTGATCCTTCTGTTTCCCATACAGAAATGAAAGAATTTAGAATGACTTGCACACCAAGGCCTCAGGGAAATAACATGTTATCAGAGTAGGGTGTACATTAAATAATAGGGTAGAAGTTAATGTGTTTGGGAATAGTTTTGGTCATTGGTTTTTCACATATTTTCAGCAGTGAAGTTTTTTTCAAACAAATTGAAATATCAGAAGATAAAAATGGTTAAAAGCAGAATTACCTTTGCTGCGTGGGTTTGCGGAGCTCCCAGAGTACTGCCTACTTGGACCCTCCTTGAAGTACTACACACCTTTAGACTTACTGTTTATATACCCCTATTGTGTGTTAATGATCACATTATAGTCCTGGGGAAAAAAACTGGACTTTTTATGTTAGTATATTTTGCTGTACTAGATGTAATGGGCCCAAAGCAGTACATAATTTTTGTTAATTGTGTTTACAAGTGTGACTTCAGGATTACCCAGCGGTTTGGAAGCTGATTATTCTTAGTCTGGAGATTGAGTCATTTATTCATGAAATATTTACTGAGCCCTCACTGTGTATCAGGCACTGTTGCTGGAGATTTGATTCCAAAACAAAATCCCAATGCTTCTACGTTATTTAGTCACCACGTAAATTGTTCAAATTTTTAATAGGTTGGTTCTCTCTTCATTTGCCTGATTATATTCTTGTTTCAAGACTAATTCATAGGAATAATGACTTTTTAGGGCTCATTTCACATACAAATTGTGTGCTTTCTGGTATAAACTGTGGTTCAAAGATGAAGTATTATTTCGAGTCCAGGACTTTGAGACCACAACATAGTGAGACTCTCTACAAAAAAATTTAAAAATCACCTATGTGTGGTGGTGCACATCTGTAGTCGCAGCTGCTTAGAAGGCTGAGGAAGGAGGATCATTTGAGCCCAGGTGTTTGAGGCTGCAGTAAGCTATGATCCTGCCACTGTACTCTAGAATGGGTGACAGTGACACCCTATTTAAAAAAAAAGACAGATTATGGGATATGAGTTACTCTCCTACAGGTATTACATTGTTGAATTACTTAGCTATTTTATGTGTGTTAGAATGACTTTTTGATTTCTTCTCACTTTTCACAGCATTGATAAATTTACCAGAAATAGCAACATTAAGAAAAGGCAGGCTGGGAGGTGGCTCACGTCTGTAATACCCATACCTTGGGAGGCTGATGGAAGAGGATTGCTTGAGCCCAGGAGTTTGAGACCAGCCTGGGGAGCATAAGGAGAACCCCTCTCTACAAAAATAATTTTTAAATATTAGCTGGGTGTGGTGGTGCATGCCTAGAGTCCCAGCTAGACAGGAGGCTGAGATGAGAGGATCACCTGAGCGCAGGAGTTCGAGGCTGCAGTGAGCTATGATCATGCCACTGCATTCCAGCCTAGATGACAGATTAGGAGACCTATCTCAAAAACAAACAAAAAACAGTAAAGTAATGCATCAGTACTACACTCTGTTCATCTTTTTGTTGTTGTTTTCTATTGCTGCTGAACAAATTATTCATCTTTTAGTGTGCAGTTGTTTTTTTATTCTTCAGCTGCTTGCAAAAAGTTTGCCTAAGATTGTAGAATATATGATAATCTTTGGGCTTTGTTCTTGTTTCTTTTGAATATTTGTTTACATAAGGGATAGTTATTTGATTTAAAGAAGATAGAGCATGTAATTACAAAGTTCCCTCTGTGTGATTAGGTCTTGGAAATATAATTTCTTATCATAAATTTTGTGATTTTACTAAAGTCTTTAAACAGCCAAAAATTTTGAATTAACTATATTTGGGGTTGTACTCAACTTCACTTTTGAAAAAAAATTTTTTTAAGATGTCATAAAATTAGATTGTTATGCTGGCTAAGTACATTATTATAGATTGTAGTTAGCTTTCATTCTCATGGTTTCATTTTTGACTAAATATTTGAGTTTAAATTAGGATTTATGCATTTAATTAGTAGCTGTTATGTGGGAGGCACTGTTGTAGGCTTTTGATATACTGGTGAAATAAAGATTTGTGCCTTGTGACTCTTTTATTAAGAGTGGGATGCGGAGAGGGATAGAGTTAATGACATAAATAAGGTGTATAGTAAGTTAGGAAGGTAAAGAGTTAGCAGTGGGGATCTTTGGGGATATTGTGAAAAGTTAAGTGCAAAGAACATGCCTTAGCATGTTGTCTTCCTCCAGTGTGATTGAAGCAGAATGAGAAAGGTAGAATAGTATTAGGGGAGGCCAGAGAGGTGAGAGAGGGTTGGAGAAGATCTTGTAAGCCATTGACAGGACTTGCTTTTTATTTTTAGCAGTACTCGAGAGTTTTAAACAAAAGAATGGGAAGCTCTGATTTATGTTTTAAAAGGAGCACTCTGGCTGCTCTGATATGAATAGACTGGGAAAAGGGAGCAGAAGTGAAGCAGAGGAGTTAGTTTAGAAGACTTTGGAGTAATCTTGGGCCAGAGATATTGATGGGTGAGAGCAGTAAAAGTAGAAAAAACTGAAAAGTTAAGGATATATTTTAAAGATAGGACCATTAGGAATTTCCTGACATGGTATAATTTAAAAGCATAAAATATTTTTAAATATATACCTTTTATTAATGAATGCATCAATTTTGTGAAAAGGTACATGTTTTAGTTCTGATTTATTGAGATTTTATTTTTTTAGATTCCTTGTAGAACTTTTTTTTTCTTGATTTGCAAAGGAGGATGCAGTGTTTGAATGGTCTAGTAAAATACCTTAGAAAACTTAGTTGTGAACATAGTTTTGTTTTGACACAATTTTAATTTCTATAAGGATATAGATAATTTCTATAAGATTATCCTAAAGACAATCTTAAAGGCAGAATGAGAGACTGCATTGCAAGCTATTAAAAGCAGCACTATTGCTTAAAAAAGTAAAAGATTGGGAATGAAGAGATTTTCCTTCTAACCTTATAATTTCTAGTAGGTTATTGCTACTTTTGTCTTGGTTTCTTCATCAGTAAAAATAAACATGGTGCTAGATATCATAAGAACAAGTTGCATGAAAGTAAGCCTACATCAAAAATAGATGTGCATGATTGACATAGATATTAAGACTGAAAGGAATTTTTAAGTTAACTCAAACAGCCTTCATATCATTGAAGACACTGGGCATTAGTTTATTAGTGGGAGCATGAAAAAAAACAATAAATTTTTTTTGTTCTTAGCACTGAAAAAAAAAATTGCTTGGCTAATAGAGGACAGTTTTGATCTGGTTGTAAGGGGCCAATGGATAATTTGTATATATATATGAACTATCTCAGTGTTTGAAATGAAGTTCCCTTAAAACCTGTTAGAGCCAACTTCATGAGATCTTTTGTCCATTGAGGTGGTAATACCATACTCATCCAAACAAATAGCCAAACCCTTTTGAGGGCAAGGTGACAACAGTTTTTTTTTTTCTATTTTGGGGTTTCTCAAACTATTCCCCCGCCCGCCCTCCCCCGCTTTTTTTTTTTTCAAACCAAAGCCTCTTGAATTAAGTAAACCTATAAATCAGATAAGGAAGGCACTCCTCTGGTGAGAGTTGGAAGGATTCTTCCAACACCCTTCCCACATCTAGGTGGAAGAATTTTTCTGTCACAGTTTGAAAATCACTATATGGTGACTCATGACATAAGCTCTGGAGTTGATTTCAAAATACCAGCAGGTGGTCTGCCTAACAGCCTTGTTAGAAGAATAAGGATGTTCCTCCCTGTATCTAATGGGCATTTTACTGTGAATTGTTGTGGAAACCATAGAAGTCATGTGAAATTACCTTATTTTTAAACTTGAACATTTAAGATTCATATTGCCACTGTCAAATTAATTAGGATGTGTTGAAGCCTTAGTATTAAATTTTAGCCTCATTATAGTTTTATTTCTGTCAAAAAGCTTTCCAGTTTTCAGTGACCAATGAAAGGGTCATGACTTAATGCCTCCACTCTTCATTTAAGACCCTTTTGTTTCTGAAACCTTAAAAATACATTTTATGATAGAGTGTTTTCATTTCTACTTTACCTTTCTATCTTAACATATAGAGTATATCTCAGTATTTTGGGGTTTATGCTATTGGAGAGCAGAAGTGAGTCTTAATGAGTAATAGTATTCAGAATTATATTATTTGGGTAAGCATATATGACTGGAAGACAAGGGACGGTTTTACTTTTATATGTCTTTGAATTACTCTTGGTTTTCAGAATAGATGTTTGTTTAATAAAGAGTTATATTTCATTATGTAACTGTAGTGTTTTTACTGTACTGTAAAAATTCCCCGAAGTAATCACCAGATAAGTCTTCTTTTGATGTACATTTTAAAGTATATCATCTGCAGGTTTTGCTTTTCTAATAAAAAAAAAGAATAGATCTTGTATTCTCTTGTGTTTTCAATATTTTCCTTAATTGTTAGATATGGAATCATTGTGCTGTTTTCCATACTAAGTTCCATTTCTATCACTGTGTATATAACTTTGTTGTCTAGAATATACTATGTTTTCTTCTCTGTAAATATCCATAAATAAAGTGTTCACTTGTTCTTTTACACAGTTCAGGTAAAGAACATTAAAGCTGATGCTAGGTACAGATTTTCAGTTGGGCCAGATTAAGATTTGTAAACATTTTACTTAATAAAAAAAGTTAATAGGATTGAACGGGACTGCCCTAGTTTCCTTTATTACATGTATACACTGCTGCCACATAAATATTTGTAAGTCACAAGCCTCATCACATTATTTTTCATAAATCTTAAGCAGCTTCCCATGGTTCCAAGAATCAAATAAAGAACTGGAACTAATATTTATTAAGCCCCTTGGCTAGGCACTTCACATTTTAAAAAATGATTTATAGATATAGCTCTGTTTTATAGATGAAGGAACTGTCTTAAGAGGTGTAGGGCTTTACTGTTGTCATCAACTAGTAAATGATAGGAGTCGGATTTTGAAATTAGTTGTATTTACACGTGGTTTCTACTTCCTTGTATTGCCACTTCAATATAGTAATATTTATTACAAAAGTGAACCTAATATATATTTTGTTTGACTGTCAGATGGCTGACTGTTAAAGTTAATATTTAGTTGAGGTTGATGGAATAAACTTCTAAAATATGAGAATAAATCTGAAATTTTATTTTTAAAAATTATTTTATCAGAAATGTTAGTCAAGATTTTAAATTATGAGCACAGTTTATCTTCACCATTAGTTAGTGTAACATATGTTCGGTGTAATTGAAATAGATGTTTACTTGCAACAGAGGTCAGTGGACAAGCAGGTATTTGTGGGAGAGGGGAGGAAGTGGTCTTTTCTTACTTTTCTTAGATTTTTTTTGTTCTTTATTTTGTCTGGATTGAGGATACTTTTCATATGTGCTGATGTACGTTGCTAGTGATTTTTTCCTATCTTATGAAATTTGGAGGTGGTGGAAATGATGCAGTTCTTTTAATTTGGCCTCAAAAGAATGTGAAAAATCTCTAAAAACTTTTTTAAAAGACCAATTTATTACCTACATGAAAACAAGTAATCAAAATTAAATTTTATGCAATTCTTAAAAGTTATCTTGTGTTGCTAGTATATCAAATAATTCTAAAAGATTGTCTCAGATATATCATTTTAAAATTATTTAGCTTGGTGCTACTCAAAATGTGGTCTTTGTGCCCTTTGTAACTATTATGAGAGGAAGTATATCCAGAAATTAAGAGCGTTTAGGAACAGTTTGGCAGTTTTAAGTTTCTTGAATCTAATAAAAAATCAAGGCTTCGATGTAAAAATAAATTTCGTTATATTTTGCAGTTGGTCTTATAGGTTTGAAATAAAATTTGGTCCTTAGTTTAAGAAGCAGTGATCTATGTAAATGCTATCATTATTTGTATTAAGTGTTCACTTATTTCTGTTTTCTCTTAAGTATTTAAATATTCTTAATTTTGGGGGGGTATAACATTTGGTAGATTTTTTAAAAAAGACTTGAAATTTATTGCAAAAAATTTGTATATTCTAAAATCTTATCAAATTCTTATGAAATTCTGTTTTAAGGAATAAGTTTTAAGGAACCCTATAATGTAAAAAGCAGGTTGTTTTGTATTTTTAAGTTGTGAGGGAGTTGCAAGTCAACTAGTACATTTTAGTTATCACCAGCATCGCCTCCAGTGACAGAAGGCAGGAAAATTAAGGGAGTGGAAAGGACTAGCTGTTTCTTCAAACTCATAGGAAGGGGTAATTAGAGGTAAAATGCACATTTGGTTTAATAGAGGTTTATTTTAAAGTTTGTGAGACATTATGTTAGATTTTGTATTTTGTTAGGTTTGCCTTAAATTTTGAGGTCATCTTGTATTTATAACAGTAAATCATAAACTGTTTATGTAGTTACCTCTTAAAATACATGTATCATTATTATTAATTTGTATGGTGCTTTGTTGTAAACATCTTTATTGTAATTCAGTGTATGTAATTTGTGATTAAGATTTGTTCTTTTTCTCCCCTCTCTATAGGAAGATGATCCCTATGATCTTGAAGATGTTTCTGCACAGAAATGAGGGAAATACAAAGAACCAAATACAGTTCTGAAATTTGGGATCTGTATTTTGAGATGATTTTATTTTCAGAATGAGAAGCATATCTGGTTACCTTTATGAATGTAGAGACATGAGAAGAGAGTTATGATGGCAAAAAACAAAGAGCCTCGTCCCCCATCCTATACCATCAGTATAGTTGGACTCTCTGGGACTGAAAAAGACAAAGGTAACTGTGGAGTTGGAAAGTCTTGTTTGTGCAATAGATTTGTACGCTCAAAAGCAGATGAATATTATCCAGAGCATACTTCTGTGCTTAGCACCATTGACTTTGGAGGACGAGTAGTAAACAATGATCACTTTTTGTACTGGGGTGACATAATACAAAATAGTGAAGATGGAGTAGAATGCAAAATTCATGTCATTGAACAAACAGAGTTCATTGATGACCAGACTTTCTTGCCTCATCGGAGTACGAATTTGCAACCATATATAAAACGTGCAGCTGCATCTAAATTGCAGTCAGCAGAAAAACTAATGTACATTTGCACTGATCAGCTAGGCTTAGAACAAGACTTTGAACAGAAGCAAATGCCTGAAGGGAAGCTCAACGTAGATGGATTTTTATTATGCATTGATGTAAGTCAAGGATGCAATAGGAAGTTTGATGATCAACTTAAATTTGTGAATAACCTTTTTGTCCAGTTATCAAAATCAAAAAAACCTGTAATAATAGCAGCAACTAAATGTGATGAATGCGTGGATCATTATCTTAGAGAAGTTCAGGCATTTGCTTCAAATAAAAAGAACCTTCTTGTAGTGGAAACATCAGCACGATTTAATGTCAACATTGAAACATGTTTTACTGCACTGGTACAAATGTTGGATAAAACTCGTAGCAAGCCTAAAATTATTCCCTATTTGGATGCTTATAAAACACAGAGACAACTTGTTGTCACAGCAACAGATAAGTTTGAAAAACTTGTGCAGACTGTGAGAGATTATCATGCAACTTGGAAAACTGTTAGTAATAAATTAAAAAATCATCCTGATTATGAAGAATACATCAACTTAGAGGGAACAAGAAAGGCCAGAAATACATTCTCAAAACATATAGAACAACTTAAACAGGAACATATAAGAAAAAGGAGAGAAGAGTATATAAATACTTTACCAAGAGCTTTTAACACTCTTTTGCCAAATCTAGAAGAGATTGAACATTTGAATTGGTCAGAAGCTTTGAAGTTAATGGAAAAGAGAGCAGATTTCCAGTTATGTTTTGTGGTGCTAGAAAAAACTCCTTGGGATGAAACTGACCATATAGACAAAATTAATGATAGGCGGATTCCATTTGACCTCCTGAGCACTTTAGAAGCTGAAAAAGTCTATCAGAACCATGTACAGCATCTGATATCCGAGAAGAGGAGGGTGGAAATGAAGGAAAAATTCAAAAAGACTTTGGAAAAAATTCAATTCATTTCACCAGGGCAGCCATGGGAGGAAGTTATGTGCTTTGTTATGGAGGATGAAGCCTACAAATATATCACTGAGGCTGATAGCAAAGAGGTATATGGTAGGCATCAGCGAGAAATAGTTGAAAAAGCCAAAGAAGAGTTTCAAGAAATGCTTTTTGAGCATTCTGAACTTTTTTATGATTTAGATCTTAATGCAACACCTAGTTCAGATAAAATGAGTGAAATTCATACAGTTCTGAGTGAAGAACCTAGATATAAAGCTTTACAGAAACTTGCACCTGATAGGGAATCCCTTCTACTTAAGCATATAGGATTTGTTTATCATCCCACTAAAGAAACATGTCTTAGTGGCCAAAATTGTACAGACATTAAAGTGGAGCAGTTACTTGCTAGTAGTCTTTTACAGTTGGATCATGGCCGCTTAAGATTATATCACGATAGTACCAATATAGATAAAGTTAACCTTTTTATTTTAGGGAAGGATGGCCTTGCCCAAGAACTAGCAAATGAGATAAGGACACAATCCACTGATGATGAGTATGCCTTAGATGGAAAAATTTATGAACTTGATCTTCGGCCGGTTGATGCCAAATCGCCTTACTTTTTGAGTCAGTTATGGACTGCCGCCTTTAAACCACATGGGTGCTTCTGTGTATTTAATTCCATTGAGTCATTGAGTTTTATTGGGGAATTTATTGGGAAAATAAGAACTGAAGCTTCTCAGATCAGAAAAGATAAATACATGGCTAATCTTCCATTTACATTAATTCTGGCTAATCAGAGAGATTCCATTAGTAAGAATCTACCAATTCTCAGGCACCAAGGGCAGCAGTTGGCAAACAAGTTGCAATGTCCTTTTGTAGATGTACCTGCTGGTACATATCCTCGTAAATTTAATGAAACCCAAATAAAGCAAGCTCTCAGAGGAGTATTGGAATCAGTTAAACACAATTTGGATGTGGTGAGCCCAATTCCTGCCAATAAGGACTTATCAGAAGCTGACTTGAGAATTGTCATGTGCGCCATGTGTGGAGATCCATTTAGTGTGGATCTTATTCTTTCACCCTTCCTTGATTCTCATTCTTGCAGTGCTGCTCAAGCTGGACAGAATAATTCCCTAATGCTTGATAAAATCATTGGTGAAAAAAGGAGGCGAATACAGATCACAATATTATCATACCACTCTTCAATTGGAGTAAGAAAAGATGAACTAGTTCATGGGTATATATTAGTTTACTCTGCAAAACGGAAAGCTTCGATGGGAATGCTTCGAGCATTTCTATCAGAAGTTCAAGACACCATTCCTGTACAGCTGGTGGCAGTTACTGACAGCCAAGCAGATTTTTTTGAAAATGAGGCTATCAAAGAGTTAATGACTGAAGGAGAACACATTGCAACTGAGATCACTGCTAAATTTACAGCACTGTATTCTTTATCTCAGTATCATCGGCAAACTGAGGTCTTTACTCTGTTTTTTAGTGATGTTCTAGAGAAAAAAAATATGATAGAAAATTCTTATTTGTCTGATAATACAAGGGAATCAACCCATCAAAGTGAAGATGTTTTTCTACCATCTCCCAGAGACTGTTTTCCCTATAATAACTACCCTGATTCAGATGATGACACAGAAGCACCACCTCCTTATAGTCCAATTGGGGATGATGTACAGTTGCTTCCAACACCTAGTGACCGTTCCAGATATAGATTAGATTTGGAAGGAAATGAGTATCCTATTCATAGTACCCCAAACTGTCATGACCATGAACGCAACCATAAAGTGCCTCCACCTATTAAACCTAAACCAGTTGTACCTAAGACAAATGTGAAAAAACTCGATCCAAACCTTTTAAAAACAATTGAAGCTGGTATTGGTAAAAATCCAAGAAAGCAGACTTCCCGGGTGCCTTTGGCACATCCTGAAGATATGGATCCTTCAGATAACTATGCGGAACCCATTGATACAATTTTCAAACAGAAGGGCTATTCTGATGAGATTTATGTTGTCCCAGATGATAGTCAAAATCGTATTAAAATTCGAAACTCATTTGTAAATAACACCCAAGGAGATGAAGAAAATGGGTTTTCTGATAGAACCTCAAAAAGTCATGGGGAACGGAGGCCTTCAAAATACAAATATAAATCTAAAACCTTGTTTAGTAAAGCCAAGTCATACTATAGAAGAACACATTCAGATGCCAGTGATGATGAGGCTTTCACCACTTCTAAAACAAAAAGAAAAGGAAGACATCGTGGAAGTGAAGAAGATCCACTTCTTTCTCCTGTTGAAACTTGGAAAGGTGGTATTGATAATCCTGCAATCACTTCTGACCAGGAGTTAGATGATAAGAAGATGAAGAAGAAAACCCACAAAGTGAAAGAAGATAAAAAGGTAAGGTTAACTTAAGGTCAGTGATGTTTATAAAAATGCTTGTTGTTACTTTTTTAAAATACTGACATCAGTGTTAGAATTTAGTCTCATTCATTCCATACATAATAATTAGTAGCCCTTTTTAATTTTCTGAGTATTCTGTGGGGATAAGTGATTTTTTGTTATTTTTGTGCTTTATTGGGGTAGAGTTTGATTTCATATTCTTCAGCATAAAAATTCTTGGTGAATGTGTTTTTTCTTTTTACAGAAACCCAGATATGAAGTGATTTTGTTCTTAATTTTTCCATTTGTAATCATCCTATTTTTCTGTTTTTCCCTTCTGCCCTACCAGTTTTGCGGTATTAATTTGACATACCTGTCTCACTCAAGGATATTAATAATACAATAAAATTGTAACAGTTTACAGTCTTGGATATTTATTAACTTTTCCAGGAAGCTTCTTTGCAGATGGTGGTATACTACCTGAAGGTATACAGAAAGGTTTCTGAAATTTGAATTGCAGAATTCTAAACAAATAGCAAGCATTCTTTCATCTTTTACATTTTCAGTAGGTATTAATCCATCTAATGGTATTAGGCATTTGAAACCTAAATATGAATGCTGTTAAAGTTGTATTTAATAATTTTGACTTTTATTAGATATTTTTCACAGTGGTATTTTAGCAACTTCACTTCTAATACTGTTTGACACTTAATTGCACACAAACTTGTATTTAAGGATTTTATGGCTTAAGATAGCATTCAGTAGGCTTTTATGCTAATGTGTTGGTCATTTCTTCATAGGTTAAGTCCATAATCTTGTAAATTATCAATATTTATTTTCTACAGCTGACTGCTGTTTATCATACCCAATTAAAGGTGTCGATATTTTGAGTAAGCTTATTCTAGGTAATTTTCCTAAATATAGTAACTGCCCATTATAGTTGAATAGAATCTGCTTTATTTTCTAAGTTTAAGTTAAAGTATTACCTTTTTTTGTCGTTAGCAAATTTTCTGGAAAAGGCATGTAAACTTTGTTTTTTTTTTTTTTGTTTTTTTTTTTTTGAGATGGAGTTTCGCTCTTGTTTCCCAGGCTGGAGGGTAGTGGCGCAATCTTGGCTCACCGCAGCCTCCGCCTCCCGGGTTCAAGCGATTCTCCTGCCTCAGCCTTCCTGAGTAGCTGGGATTACAAGCATGTGCCACCATGCCTGGCTAATTTTGTATTTTTAGTAGGATGGGGTTTCTCCATGTTGGTCAGACTGGTCTTGAACTCCTGACCTCAGATGATCCGAGGCCTGCCTTGGCCTCACAAAGTGCTGGGATTACAGGCGTGAGCCACCGCGCCCAGCTGTAAACTTTTAAAATAATACTGATCTAGACTTACAGCACATACTCAACTCATAACATGCTACTCTCTTGCATCTCTTCACACTTAACCTGTTATCACTAGTACCATTTTATCACTGACAAAAACTTTAATATTTTTCTCTTTATTGGTTTATATTACTAAAACTACTTAATGTTTATTAAGAAAAAACACAGCCTTTCCATTTTTAAATTGCTTTTATTTTTGTGTTTTTTTTTCCATTTTTGTTCACAAGCCTAATTGCTTTGGTAACCTTTTATTTTGATGTAATTTCAATGAAAGTTGGAATAGTAAAAGGGGAATCCATATATCCTTTACCCATATTTGCCAATTATCTACATTTTGCCCCACTTGATGGAGCTGTGTGTGTGCGTGCGCACGTGTGTGTGTGTTTTCGTGTCTATTGGTTTGTTTTTTTTTTTAAGCCCTTTGAGATTAAGTTGGAGATAGTGGACTCTTTTTGCTATTAAATATTTCATTGTGTATTTCCTAAGAACAGAAACATTCTCTTTAATAGCAGTAGTACAGTCATATTTTTCCATACTGCTGCATAGTCTTTCTAATTACAGTATTAGTATAATTTTGTATACTTTTAGTCAGGAGGCAGATTTAGGCATTCAGTTGTAAAGTGGTAGAGTTACAGAGACCGTATGAAAAGTAAAGGCTAAAAGCTGATTATTTGAAAAGACTAAAAAATAGAATAGACAAACCTCTGGTAATAGTGATGTGAGAAAAAAGGCATAAATAAGCACTGAATAAAAAGGAGAACATAATTACAGATAGATCAGATTAAAAGATAATAGAGAATACTATCAACAATTCCGTGCCACAAGTTTGAAAGTTTAAACAAAATGAACAAAGTCCTGGAAAAATGTAATTTACCTAAACAAATATGCTTCAAATAATCCTGTAAATATTAAATAAATTGTGAAGTAGTAGTTAAATTTCCTACCAAGGAAATACTAGTTCCAGACAATTTTGCAGATTTTTCAAAAACAGATCATTCCAATGTTACATAAATTGTTTCAGAGAATAGAAGACAAGGGAATACATTCTTAGGTTTATTCTCTAAGTCATCTATCTTTAATTCTAAAACCAGACAAGAATGGCTTAAAAAAGGAAAATTATAGTTCCATTTTACTTATGAGTATACGTGCCAAAGTCTTAAATACAGGTCTACAGACCCTTAACCTCAATTTTGAAATCGACTAACCTCTGAAAACCAAAGATTTAAGAACTTGGCAGCACAACCTGATTTGGCCTATTCTCATTGATGGCAAAACCTGACTTGAATGGATGTAAGTCTGCTTACAATCATTGTTTAGAGTGAGTATCTGTACAGTTCACTGTGAAAACATGAATGTGTTTGAATACTGGATGCTGACACTCAGTTTGCTAAGGTTGTTAAAAAATACCCAGTTTTTGCACCATGCATTATTACTAGTGACTAGAAATGTTTGATTTCTGAAACATAGCTTATTCCAAGGGTTTTAAATAAGGGATTTTGGGGGATTTAATAGCAGAAAAACCTTGAACAGTATGTAAAAGGAAAATCATATCCATGTTGGATTTATATCAGATGTGCAAAGGGTGGCTTTTAATAGAAAAATCTGTACATGTAGTTTACCTCATCAACAAACTAAATGAGAAAAAATACTATAATGACAATAGATGCAGAAGAAAGACTTGATAAAATTTAACAATTCTTGGGAAAACTGCTAAATTAGGAACAGGTAAGAACTTTCTTGAAAACGTGTACACAGACAAGCAAAATTTATAATAAACATCATCTATCATCCTAAATGAGGAAATACATTCCCTTTTTAATCAAAAAGAAGGCAAATAAAACATCACTTCTATTCAGTGTTATATGGAGATCCTACTCAGAGCAAAAGATAAGAAAAAGAAAAGCATGAGTGCTGGAAAGGAAGAAACAAAATTGTCACTATTAGCTCATAATAATGAGTATCAATGTAAAGGCCAAAAAGGATTAGTATTACTAAAGTAGTATTTATCTACTGATAAATTATTAGAGTTAACAAAATAGTTTGATATAAGATCAGTAATCAAAAATAGGTTGCATTTCTATACATTACCAACAGAAAACTAGAGAAAGTAATTACAGAAGACACCATTTATAAAAACATGACAGATTATCAAGTCCCCAGGAATAATTAATGTGTAACCTCTGTATTGGAAAAGTACAAAATGTTATTGAAAGACATTAAAAAGACCTAAATAAATGACAGAGCTATTGCCTTCCTGTCCATGAATATGGCATATCATAGAGAAGTCACTGTTCTTCATACTGAGCTCTAGATTCAGTGTTGTTTCATTGGAAGTTTCAAAAGTTTTTAAGAAATTTCACATGCTGATTTGATAAATGGAAGAGTAAAGGGCTTATTAACAGAATAGCATGGACACTTCTGAAGAAGAAAGGCAGGGTGGAATGGTGGTAGTGTGTATGCTCATTCTATCATATAATATAAAACTTCAAGACAGTGTGTTACTGGCACACAGATAGGCATATCGACCAATATAATAGAGTCTGGAAACAAACAGACCTCTGGTTTACTGCTGTCTCTCAAACATGTTAGCCACATGGGGCTATTGGACACTTGAAATGTGGCTAGTTTGAATTAGGATGCGCTAATCTAAATGGTGAGGAAAGGCCTTCTTGAAAAGTCATTTTTAGTCAGATCTGATAGCTAAATTGTTAACTGGGGGTTGGTGACATAGAATGGAGAATATTTAATGCTGAATACATAGGATGTACATGTGGTGGGAGAGGAACAGTATGTTCTTAAAGGAGGTCAGTGTGTTCAGTCATTGATCTAGGGCAGACATTGATAAACTTTCTGTAAAGGGCCTGATAGTAAATGTTTTAGGCTTTGAGGGTCATATAGTCTGTTGTACCTGGTCACATCTGTTATACTATGAAAGCAGCCATAGACCATATGTAAACCGATGAACATAGCCGTGTTCTAATAAACCATTTTCAAAAAAGGCAGCAGGCTGGATTTGGCCCCCAGGCCATATAATTTGCTGACTCTCTAGGGGAGAGAGTAGTATAAGGAGAGACGAGAATGCAGACCAGACTCTGAGACTAGTTACCAATGTTAGAGATTTTTGTTATTTAGCCTAAGAGTAATTTGAACATAGAGAGTGAATAGATTTCTTTCTTGTGATCACTCGGTTACAGTGTGAAGAATGGGTTGAGTGAGGGCTAGAGAGGCTGTGGAAGACCGTTTAGTATATTACAGTAATCTAAGCGAATCATGATGAAAACTTGGAGCAGCTGGAGTTGGGAGGGAGAGTGTTGGCGATGGAGAATGGAATGGATATGAGAGATACCTAAAACGCATAGGATGTGTTGCATATGGGGAGGTGAGGATAATGAATGAGATGGGAAAAATATCTCCTATGTTTCTAGCTTGTTCAGCTTCATCAGTAATGTGCTGTTCATGATACAGAACATTAGAAATTTGCCAAGTTTGGAGTTGAGGAGTGGAAATTATAACAATTATAACTTTGGTTTTATAGTTCAAGTGGAGATGTCAATCAGGTAGGAAGTTACGGGTCATCGGCAGAAGTCTGAGTTGTAGATACATAGGAGACAGTGAACTAGAAATGGTAATAGATGAAATCTCCTAGGGAGTGAATACAGACGATTGCTTAACACAGACCTTTGAGGATCTGTCAGTGTGGAATGGCCAACTATCAGAGATGGTCCTTAAAAACAGTAGACAGAAAGAATAAACCACTTACCTTTCTTAGCTGGTTCCCTCACCTATAAATTAGGAATTATAATACTTCCCTTGGAGTTGTGGTAGAAATTAAAAATAAGTGTTTCAAGTGTCTGACAGAGCAGTGCTCAATAAATAGTATTATAACGTACATCAGGCCTGAAATACCTCAATATACTCAGTCTGTATCTCAGAACGGTCCTCTGCCCATTTGCTGGATTAGTTTTCTTGACTCATTTTTAAGTTAAATACTCCTATAATTTTTCATTTTAAGTTTATGTGCTTTGCTTGAGCCATAGTTTAGGAATGTTTTCTCAGATTCCTTGATACCTGGAAAACCATAGCTTTTGGGCATTAATGGCATCTAAGGAAGATTCAGATATGTTTGTCTTAAACTGAGCTTCGTTGTCATTCTTACCAATCAGAAGCCTTTAGGTTTCGTTATCTTTTGTTTTATACCCAAATGAAGTTAGTGTTAGTTATGGTAACAAAACCTCTAAGATGTTTTTGATTGTAACTGGCAATGAGAATTATTTTTTAAAATCATGACCCATTATATACACAAATATTTCTACATAATTGAAATGCAATTTCACAAAAGAATACTTAACTTTATTGTACATTGTGCCCTCTGTATCCGTGAGTTTCACATCCACAGATTCCACAAACTGCAGATTGAAAATACTCAGGAAAGAAACTACCAAAAATAACAATACAATAACAAAAATGGATATTTATTTATGAGATGTAATCTTGCTGTGTTGCCCAGGCTGGAGTGCAGTGGTACCATCGAGCTCACTGCAGTCTCAGACCCCTGGGTTCAAGTGATCTTCTCGCCTCAGCCTCCTGAGTAGCCAGGACTACAGGTATTAGCCACCATGCCTAGCTAATTTTTTGTTGTCATAGAGATGGGGGTCTCACTATGTTGCCCAGGCTGATCTCAAACTCCTGGCCTCAAGCCGTCCTCTACCTTGGCCTCCTAAAGTACTAGGACTACGTGTGTGTGCCACCATGCCTGGCTTGATAATACAAATTTAAAAAACAGCGTAGCAACTGTTTACACAGCATTTACACTGTTTTAGGTTATTATAAGTAATGTAGAGATGATTTAGGTATATGGAAGGATATGCATAGATTATATGCAAATACTATACCATTTTATATAAGGGACTTCAGTGTCCTCGGATTTTAGTGTCCACAGAGGTCTTGAAAGCAATGCCCTTCAGATGCTGTGGGACAACTGTATATGTTATTTTGATTTTCTAGTCTATTACAGTGAAAAAAGAAGTACTTTTTTACTTCTTAAAATCTGAATTAATTTAGTAACCTACTAGTGTTTGAAAAGCAGCCCTTTAAGAGAACTGCTTGAAATTTCCTGAGAAAATCTGAGTTGTATTATTATTAATAAAATTGCCAGTTTTGAACACATTCAAGGAGTGTGTTAAACACGTGTGTTTAAGTTGGTTTGATCTTTCTTCAGTATCTATTTTGTCTATTTTATTTTTAGCTTGATTAAGATAAATAGTAAAATACTTGGTGAATTTTATGGTGTATTAGTATAAGCTGGTATTCAGATGATTTTTTATTTTTAACTTCTTTTTAAATTGTTTTCCTGTCTTATTCCAGGCCCTGAATATTTTCCTCCTCTTTATATTAGCAATTACCAACTTGTATTCCTTCTAATCAGTGTTTTTTCTTTGTATTTTACTGCTCCCTTCTTATCTAAATCCACCATCAATTAGTGTCTTAAAAGATTTTGCTGCTTTAGCCACTGTAATGGGGTTTGGAGACTGGCAGAAGAATAAAACCAAAATAAGTATGTTTTAGATAAATGTTAATATGTATATATTGAGTCACAAGGTATTAATCTGATATTAGCAAATCATGACTTCATACCATGCCATTATATTAATATAGTAAATCTTAGGTTTAGCATTGACTTCTGATTTCTAGAACCTCACTCTATCTGTAAATTGTTCATTCCAGTTATAAAAGTAATGAAGTATATGAAAATGTTTCTGTTGTCATTTGTCTATATCAGAATGCATAAGTTATGAGAAAAGCGTGCTTTTTGTTTTTTAGTGTGTATCATTTAACCTCTTGACAGTCATTAGGTTGACAGTGTTCACATCTGAGAGAACCTGATTTAGGTTCTTGAAAGAATTTTGTGAAGGCCAAAAAAAAAAAAAAACTGGGTGTAAAAAGCTTACTATATAGAAAGAGCAGGCAGGATGTAGTGGCTCACACCTGTAATCCCAGCACTTTGGGAGGGCAAGGCAGGCAGATCACTTGAGGTCAGGAGTTCAAGACCAGCCTGGCCAACATGGTGAAACCCGTCTCTACTGAAAATATAAAAATTAGCCAGGCGTGGTGGTGTGTACCTGTAATCCCAGCTACTTGGGAGGCTGAGGCAGGAGAATCGCCTGAACCCAGAAGGTGAAGGTTGCAGTGAGCCAAGATCGTGCCACTGCACTCCAGCCTGGGCGACAGAGCGAGACTCCAAAAAGAAAAAAAAAAGCTTACTATAGGAAGGCAATACTTACAGATCTGATGGGATAGGCTTACACTTTGTTGAATGAGCAAAGATTCTTTATTCAACAAAGTCTTGAAGTGCTTGAAAGTTTCACATTTTCTTTTTTGTACCTATTTTCTGTACCTTGCTTAATTTCTTCAGAGTTGATGTGGAATATTCATTTTATCCATTGTTACCTTGAAAACATCCCCTTAGGGGAGAAAGTGAGAGTCACCTTTGTACAGGAAGTGTGTTCAAAAGAATGAGAAAGGTTTTTTTCTAGACCCTTCAACCAGCATCTTTTCTAGTCTGCCTTGAGTTAGGTCCTGCACCTGTTCCTAACCAATACAGTCTGTCCAGGGTAGTAGAATTATCCAACTGAATTTAGGTCTGACCAGCCTGGGCAACATAGTGAGACACCATCCCTACAAAAATGTAAAATCTCAGCTGGGCATAGTGATGAGCCCCGAAGGATCACTTGAACCCAAGAGTTTGAGATTGCAGTGAACTGTGACTGCACCACTGCATTCTGGTCTGTGCAACAGAGCGAGACCCTGTCTCGAAAACAAAGAAAAATGAGTTTAGGTTTTAGTCTTTATCCTGAGAGCTCTGAGTGAAATTGGCTTTCTGTGAAATTAAGATAATTTCTAAGATAGGAAAACCACAATGTCTACTGCAGGCAAGATTTGTATCTTGTTTATAGTTGATCTCCATGGCCTAGCACAGTACTCTGTGTCATAGTGTGATCAGTTGAAGTCAGCATAAATGTATGGCCTTTGTTTTTGTAAAAGAACTGTTCATGTGTTTAACTACAATTTATTTTGACTCAGGAAAACTCATTTTATTCAACAAGCATTTTGGTAAATGCCTACTGTGCCTGAACACTGTTAGAAACTAATATGGGGATGACTTGGTCATTCATTGGCTCTGCTTTCAAGAAATTCAGTCTAATAAAATTGATTTTGCTGAAAATTAAATATGTTTTATATTTTCAACAAGTTTAGCCAGACTTCTGGTTCTTTCTCATATTTCATCTCATCTGGAAAGAATTTACTTAGGCTTTCTTCAGTACCATTTCTATTGCTTTCTTCCTGGGTAACTGGCTAAATTGATCTACCTGGTTAACTAGATCTGTGATGTTTCTATAATTTCTCATAAAGTTAAAATTTGTTTCTTCAGCATTTTTGGTGCTGGCTACACCAATTTATGATAACATAAGTGTGGATATGTAGTGCAAGTATTTCTGGCAGTATTTTACTATTTGCCATTTCTTTGAATTCTGTGTTGTCCATTTGATCATGATTTATTGCTTTTCAAATTCAGATTGAAATGTAATTAGATGGTTAATTTTTAAAGTATATTTCTGATTTATATATTTTGTTAAGACTTAATTGGAAAGATTATGTCAGTGGCATACATTTTCGCTAATTTAAATTTGGCTTTCTATACAAACTTTTTCTTAGTGTTTATAGCAGCGTACTGAATATTTTGTAAAAGCATAGTACAGATTATTGAAGTTACTCATTTCTGCAGCAGATTAATAGTAAATGTTAAGTATGTGTCAAGGAGGCACTTCTGTAACATAGATAATTGTGTTCTTATGTTAATGGACAGTTGTTACTATTGCAAGACTATAGGTAAATTTATAGGTTTGCCAATTTATGTACACCAAAATTTTGTATACTACAAATTGTGTCAATCCTAGGAGAGGTTTTTTACAGTAGATGCAGTGTTATGATTTCTTGCTCTGTAATGTTTTCCTGTCATCTCAGCTAAAGTGTGGATGGAGTACTCAAGTAAATAGGGCTTAATCTGTGACTTTTAAAGAAGAGAAACCCCAGAGCATAGGAGGGTTGCTTTTTAAAAATAGTAGTAATTTTTGATGTTTAGAATCCTTACAACAAAATATAAGGATATGACAAAAGAGATCTTATGATTGTATCGTAGTCAAAATAAAGGGTACAACTTGCATACATTGTATAACAATTGTTTTGAACTTTTTGGAAATTGTTCTTAGCCTTTGAAAATCTGAGTCAAGGTTTGGGTATTTTCCCTAGAAAAATGCACATGCACAAAATTTTACTGGAGTTTTAACGGTTTCAAATACTTTCTAAAGGCCTGTGGATCCCAGTTTAAGAAACTCCTTGTATAAGATGAGAGGGAGGAGGAAGACACTGAAATTTGGGGAAGCTGGGTAGAAATCCACCCATTCACTTGAATAGTTAGTTGCTTTGCTAGAACTTTCTCCAAGTGACTCCAGGTTTATTTTTTGTTAAGTTGTTAATGGCATTAATAAAATATCTGCCACATATATAATATATGTTGAAATGCTTTTTAGGAAGATGTTATCTTAGAGAATAAAGGTTCCTGAGTCAAGGTTAAAATTAGTTTGCCTGATAAGTATGTACAAAAACCTAGACCACATTTATTTACTCTGTTGTTTTTTATTTCCTCTTTTCACCTAGTGTTAGCATAAAGGGTGTGAGAGAGTCTTCACAATGTAAGTTTTCTGAAGTGTGTTTGGACTTTCAGCCAGCACTTACGGCTTTTATAGGCTTAAAAAAGGGATTAAATAAACCTTTAGAGTGCTGGGTCCCCTGAAGGCTTCTTTCTTACACCAGTGTGTTAAACTATAATGTAATGCTGCTTCTCACTGCCTGATCACTTTATATTGTAGTTTAATTTTGTTTTTCTATGTTATAACCTTTCTGAGGGCAGTTATGGTTATCATTCAACTTTGTATAACCTGCAGTATTGTTTCTCAGTCTTGAGTCGTGTATGGACCTTTTTTAAAGTTAAAATTCTCAGGCTTTTCAGAAATATATCTGTAGCTATTTCCCAAACTTGAGTTATTGGTCTTTGTTTTTACTAGTCTAGCACAGTGGCTATCAACCAGGGTCAGTTTGGCCCTCCAGGAAGCATATGGCAATGTCTAGAGACATTTTTGGGTGTCACAACTGGAAGTAGGAGGTTGCTGCTGGCATCTAGTGGGTAGAAGCCAGGGTTACTGCTAAACATTGAATTGCTAAACTGAATTGCAGAATTCACAGGCCATCTTCCACAACAAAGGATTATACAGCCCAAAGTGCCAATAATCTTGAAGTTGAGAAACCCTGGTGTAGGAGACTATGTCTTGAAAAAAATGTCTATGCAGTTCTAGAAGTCAGTCATACAAGGCATGTTTGTATCTGTTCAATAAGAAAGGTAGGGTTTTCCATATAGGTCATAGCGTTTTCTTCCCCAGCCTCACCGTGATTGGGTAAGAATATATTTTCAGGATTATGTTAACTGTGGGCCAGAGCTACATGCTATTGTCATTTATCATACTCGACTGTTTATCATTCATTATTCTGCTATAAAATGTGTTGCTTCCGTTCCATTTTCATACTAGTTGAGGTTGTCATTATTTCTTACCTGCATTATCACAAATACCTTTTTTAAAGAAATAAAGATTCTATTTTGAGCTAATTGTTGATTCATATGCTATTGTTTTTTTTTTTAAAAAAAAGAGAGACCCCATGTGCTCTTTGCCCATTTTCCCACAATGGTAATATCCTGCAAAACTATAGTACAATATCACAGCCAGGGTGTTGACATTAATATGATCTACAGATCTTATTCAGATTTCCCCAGTTTTACTTGTACTAATTTGTACATGTGTATATTTTGTTCTTTGCAGTTTTTCATGTGTATAGGTTTGTGTGTCCCTCCCATAGTCAAGATGTAAAACAGTTCCATCCACTAGCAAATTAACTTGTTTTGTCTTTTTATAACTACATGCTTTTCCTTCTCCTCACCCATCCCTAACCACTGATAGCCACTACTCTGTTTTTCATTTCTATAATTTTGTCATTTCAAGGATGTTATATAAATGGAATCACAGGGCATATAACTTTCTGGGATTGACTTTCATTTACCATAATGCCCTTGAGATTCAGCCAAGTTGTTGCGTGCATCAACAGTTTGTTCTTTTTATTGCTGAATAATATTCCATAATATGGATACATCAGTGTTTTAACCTGTTGAAGGACATCAGGTCGTTCCAGTTTTTGTCCATCTTGAATAAAGTTGTCATGAACATTCGAATACAGGATAAGAAACTGCCAAACTGTTTTCCAGAATGGGTATACTATTTTATTTATTTATTTATTGAGATGGAGTCTCACTTTGTTGCCCAGGCTACAGTGCAGTGGCGCGATCTCAGCTCACTGCAACCTCTGCCTCCCAGGTTCAAGTAATTCTCTGCCTCAGCCTCCTGAGTATCTGGGATTACAGATGCCCACCACCACACCTGGCTAATTTTTGTATTTTTAGTAGAGACGGGCTTTCACCATCTTGGCCAGGCTGGTCTTGAACTCCTGACCTCGTGATCCACCCGCCTCAGCCTCCCAAAGTGCTGGGATTACAGGCATGAGCCGCTGCACTCGGCCTGGGTATACTATTTTAAATCCCTACTGGCAATGTATGATGGATCCAGTTTCTCCACATCCTCACCAATATTTGTGGTGCAGCAACTTTTTAAATTAGGTTTCCGTGTTCCATTCACCATTTTTTTCAAACTGTTATTTATGTTGCTTTCTGGGGGGCAGTGCTAAAATAGAAGTGCCTGATCCCTGTCCGTACAAAGTGTATTTGTAACCTCTGTATAAAGTTCCAAATACGTGAGTTAGGCATCTAAAGCCATTTGCAGTATGGCCTTTGCTGACCTTTTAACCTTATTCATTCCCACACGTACTCTTAAGCTCCAGGTACATCAAAATAGATGGAAAATAGTAGCTGGCTCAGAGCTGTTGTGAAGATTAAGATTATGCACATAGTATTAACAAGTGCCTAATAGATAGTAAGCAGTAAATAAATGGCAGTTTCTGGTGATTTCATAGTCTTCATCCCGACATATAGTAGGCACCCAAATGTTTAGATGAGTAAATGACTTACGCACTAGATCCTTTCTAACTTCTGAAAATGTCCCTGACCTCATCCATTCCTATATAAGTTCTACCCTTTGAATCCAGATTTAAGTCTTAAATTTAGTTATTTTGACATTTAATCGCATATTATTTTGTATGTGCTATTAATGACTGGTAGCGAGGTGTTTTTTCATTATAACAGACTATATGTTTCTCAAGGGCCTTAAATTCCACTGATTTTTAATATCCTTTACAGCAAACTAACATGCTATGCACATAGTATAGTAATTTCTTCAGTTCTTACAGACTGTTGAAAGTACACCACCTTTTTTCCAAGTGAATTCACATACAGTTGGCTATTCTTCCTGTAACTTGATGATGTGAGTAATCATTATTTCATATGAATCCTGATTAGGTTAGGATGCTTAAGCTTAGACATACCTGTCTAGTAACTCCTATAGGAATGAAGAATTAGGTAAATGAAACTGTTACCATAAATGGTATATAAGCCAATAGTACTTCGTATATTAACAGAAATCTTATGTGTGAAGGCTTTCCTCTGGTGCCTGTTTTTAGTTGTTTGCTTCTGTCAATGTTTACTGAGTATCTACCATGTGCTGTATATATTGTGCCAGTTACAGGAACCAAAAGGAAATGTGACCAGATTTTAAATAGTATTTTGGAAGTTGTACCAATAGGGCTTGTGATATATTTGCTGTGGAGAGTAAAGGAAAAGAGAAAACCAAGGTTGACTCCTAGGTTTATGGTTTGAGCAGTTGGGTAGATTTACTAAGATAGCAAAGACTAAGGGTGAAAGGATTCAGACTAGAAAGAATAAAGACAACTGCTTTTTATGTTTAAAATATCTGTGTTGACAAATGAGTAGAAGTATCAAAGTCTAAAAATTAGATGTATGAGTCTGGTACTCAGAGGAAGAGTTATCAGGATGTATAAAGGATTTAAAGTTTTGGGATTAGATAAATTCACATAAGGGCAGAGTACAGCTAGAGAAGAAGGGAGAACTCACAACTGAGTTTGGGTAGAAGAGTTGTTGGTAGATGAAACTGAAAGGAAATCCTTAGTGGGAAAAGAGAAAAGCTAGTGAAGAGTATGATATGGGAGCTAACAGATCAAGTGTTTAGGGAGGAAGTTCAAGAAAGAATGTTGCTGAGAGATCAAGGATGAAGAAAAAAGTTTCTTATTCATTTGATAGTATCTGGTCGTGACAAGCGGTTTAAGGGAATGGTAGGGAAAGCCAGATGGAAGTGGGTTGAAGAGTTACTGGAATGGGAAAAGTAGAGACAATGGATGTAGATGACATTCAAGAAGTTTCGCTGTGAAAGGGAGCAAGAATTGGGGCAGTAACTAGAAGGCAATGTGGGATCAAAGGAGGGTTTTTGTGTTTGTTTTTAAAGATGAGAGAGATTGGAGAGTATATGTTCATAGGAGAGGGACAAATTGATGCTATAGGAGAAAAGTGATGGGGAATAGGAGTGATTCTGAAGGAGAAGAAAGAGAGGAAGGAGAATCAGGATTTAGGTAATGTGTAATCCTGTGATCAGGATTTAGGTACTGCAGTTATTATAGAGGGAAAAGATGAAATAGAGTAGGGTTATAGTTAGATTGGTCCTGGCAATAATATGAGGGAGTTCCTATTTTTTCTGCTTCTCAATTAAATGTGATTTCAGGCCATTAGGAAGGGAGAGGAAGGTAGGTAGTGCCTGTATTACTTGGGTTTTTTTAATTTCAGAATATGCTGGGATATGTGGAGAGTCTCAAGTATGAGACAGTATAAAGGGACCAGAGGAAACTCAGGTTGAAAGTCATTGGAGTAAAATATGATTTTAGATCTCTTCCCTTTTTGGAAAGAGAAGGATTAAAATTTATATAATTTTTGCTATACTTACATGAATATAAATGATGTTATAGAAATGGGATTATACTGTTTATAAGACTTAAAATTTATCTGGTGTATGTGTGAATCTATTAAAATCAACATTCAGTGCTTATTCTTAATTTGGGCATACTTGACCTGACAAAGTAAAGGAGATCCTTTAAAATTGCTAACTCTTGGTTTCCATAGAAGTTTACTTATTTCTGCTATAATTTGTTGCTGCTTGATAGATTGAATTCTAGATCATTGTCAAGTGAGTTTGCTTGTATGGTTAAAGGCTTTTTGCCTTAGCAACTCCAATGTTAATACTGCTCTTTTAAAATATACATATATATTACTTAACTCTTTGGAGTCCTTTGTTTAAATGGCATGTGGTTGGTTGGGTTTACTTTTACACTAAGCCCGAGAATCTTTTTGTTGTAGTTGATCCTGTTACATTTATATTTATTTTATAAATTTTGGCTTCCTTTTTTCTTGTTTTCTAGTTTTTATTCTTCATTAGCAAAGAAAAAAAGAAAAAGGAAGGAGCTATTAATTTATGTACTTCATATTTTTATCTTTGAATATATTGAACTCCTATTTCAGTTTACCATCTTTATTCCACCTCCCAAATAGTATATTATTGTACCTGTTATGCAGTAGTGTAATTATATTATCTCTCATATCTCATTCGCTCGTCTCCCTTTATATAGGGTAGGTTGAGGCTTTTAGTTCTGGCCTGTTATCAGATTATTTTTACATTTTATAGCTTTACCTACAAAATTATAAATTATATTAATAGCCATACCACTGTTAATTAGAATTAGTTTTACAATATTCATTGTTCACTGTTACATTTTTCATATCATAAATTCTCCAGTGTAAGTTTTTTTTAGTTGATTTTGTATCATGTGGTTAAGATTTTTCAGGCGTTTGAAACTATTATAATTTAAATATAATTATTACATATTTGCAAACTTTTTAAAAAAATGTGTAAGTTGCGAGTTATACATGCCTAAATGACATACTGGCTAAGAATTCTTGACACATGTTTCCCGTGAACATTCCTGTAGATGAGTCTTCTGGCTTCCAGTTTTCCGGAGAACTCTGAGGCTGTCCTGCTTTTTTTTTCCCCCCACTGTTGGTCATTTGTTTCTTCTGCCTGGATGCTTTTAAGATTCTTTGTAGCTTACCAAGTTCAGCATGATATGCCCTTAACTTGTTGATTCACTCTTATTTGTTGTTTATTTTTCCTGGTACATAGTAAGGTCGTTTAATCTACAAATTAAGCTCATTATTTTAGAAGAGACCTCAAGTATCTCTTTCTGGACCATTTGTACTAATTTATTTCATAGTGTTCCAGATGTTTGAGGTATGTTGATGAACAAAGCAGATAAAAATTCCTGCCCTTGTGTAGAGCTTAAATTGTAGCTGGGGAGATAAAAAAAAAAAAAAGATGATACGTGAGTAGTTACATAGTGTTGTAGAGAGAAAAGGCAGGGTAAGAGGAACAGAGTACTGGGGAGGGGCTGGGAAAGACAGCAGTAGGATTGCTTTTGCTTTTTTTTTTTTAAGAGATGGGATCTTGCTGTGTTGCCCAGGCTGGAATTTAAACCCCTAAGCTCAAGCTGTCCTTCCATCTCAGCCTCCCAAGTAGCTGGGATTGGATTACAATTTTTAATAGGGTGGTCAGTGTAGGCCTCATTGAGAAGGTAAAGGGAACGGCCACTACAAAAGTGCAAGGCAGGAGCATTCCTGGCATATTAAAATAGCAAGGAAACCATGTGACTTGAGGAAGGCGTAAATGATGAGGGAAATTAGGTCAAAATGTAAAGGAGCGGAGTCCAAGGCATGCAGATTGTACATGTCTATTCAAGGAGCCAACATTCTAGCTCTCTGTAGAGAATGGCCTGTAGGGAATGATGGTAGAAGCAGGGGATATTAAGCAGGTGATGCAGTAATCCATATATGTGAAATGATGATAGCTTTATGGGCCAGGGAGTTAACAATGAAGATGGTAAAAAGTAAGTAGATTCTGTATCTCTCCATTTGCTTAACAGTTGGAAGTAGGGTATGAGAGAAAAAGGAGATAGAGGATGACTCCAAGATTTGTATTCCAAGCAACTGAAAGGATAGAATTCCCAAAAACAGATGGAGAAGGCTGCAGATAGATTACATTTTAAGGAAAGCATGAGAGGTTTTTCTTAGACTTTAAACTGATGTTGTTAGGGTGTTTTACATTAGTTTAGGCTTCAGGAGAAAGAGCTGCGCTGGAAGTAATAATTTAGCTTATCAGCATATAGATGATGTTACCAAGAGGGTGAGTATAGATGGAAAAAAGAAGACAATCAGAGCCTGGGGCTGTGGCTCAACCTGTAATTCCAGCACTTTGGGGGACCAAGGCAGGAGAATTAAGGCCAAGGTGTTCAAGGCTACAGTGAACTATAATCGTGCCACTGCACTACAGCTTGAGTACAGAGCAAGATGCTGTCTCAAATAACAGCAGCAAAAGACAGTCAGAGACTGATGAGGATATTCACAACATTACAGTGTTGATCAGGAGGGACCAGAAAAGGAGACTAAAAAGGGGAGAGCAAGTAAGATAACAGGGGTGGTCTCTTTAGAAGTCCAGTGAAGAGACTGACTGCTGAAAAGTCAAGATGAGAACTGAGAACTAATTATAGAAAACAGTCTTTGGTGACCTTAATAAGAGCAGATTGATTTAGTGGAGTTTTGAGGGTGATAACTAATTTGAGTGCATTTGGAATGAATGGAAGGAGAGGAATTGGCGACATCTTCTATAGATTATTTGTATATAGTTTGTCTGCAAAAGGGAGTATAAGATTGAGACTTCTTTTTTAAATGAGGGCAAAACCCAGTGTTTTGTGGTGTGTATAATAAGAATGATATAGCAGGAAAAGGAACTCTCTGATGGTCTTTTCCATTTTATTTTGATCTTTTCAATTATATTGAATCTTTTATTTGCTACTTCTAAGCAGGTTTTTGTTTCTGTGATGAGTTTTTTCTTTCAGTTTATTTACATTTCATCTGTTGTCACGCTTCTTCTTTGATTTTTTTTTTTTTTTTTTTTTTTGACAGAGTCTCGCTCTGTTACTAGGCTGGAGTGCAGTGGCACGATCTCAGCTCACTGTAACCTCCCGGGTTCAAGTGATTCTCCTGCCTCAGACTACAGGCTCACGCCACCATGCCCAGCTGATTTTTGTATTTTTAGTAGAGGTGGTGTTTCACCATGTTGGCCAGGATGGTCTCGATCTCCTGACATTGCGATCCGCCCGTTTCGGCCTCCCAAAGTTCTGGGATTACAGGCGTGAGCCACCACGCCTGGCCTCTTTGATTTTTTTAATTTCAAGAATCACATGTAAGAAAATAGAGATCCAGTTTTCTTGTTTCCACAGCTGGTTCTTTGAGAGCCTAGTAAACTGCATTTCACTGCTCAAGTTTTGTTCAATTTTTGGTTACTGGTGAAGCATTTGAGGTGTTTGGTTTTTTAAAAATGTTACTGTAGTATTTATTTGAAGATGTTGCTGAGGTGACCCTTTGTGTTGCTGGTATTAAGTAGGAAGAGCAGTTTCTGGAAAGGGCTGTTTTCTTCTTCCTAGTCATGTTTACGTATACAAATGAGAGTTTTTAATATGTTGGACACTTAAAGAGATGTAATTGCTGAATGGAATGTTTGTTTTACTGTGATGTGCTTTTGCAGATAAGAAATTCACTTAAGTGGCTAGAAAAAAGACGGCATTTGCATTTAAGTAGAAGTTCAGATATGAATGAATGTAGTAATGAATCAAAAATTGGATTTTCGGTAGGGCGCGGTGGCTCACGCCTATAATCCCAGCACTTTGGGAGGCCAAGGCGGGCAGATTACGAGGTCAGGAGATCGAGACCATCCTGGCTAACGTGGTGAAACCCTGTCTCTACTAAGAATACAAAAAAATAGCCGGGCATGGTGGCAGGGCTTGTAGTCCCAGCTACTCAGGAGGCTGAGGCAGGAGAGTGATGTGAACCCGGAAGGCGGAGCTTGCAGTGAGCAGAGATGGCGCCACTGCACTCCAGCCTGGGCAATAGAACAAGACTCCGCCTCAAAAAAAAAAAAATTGGATTTTCATACTTCAGAATTTGTTTTCCACTGGCCCAATTATTTTATTAGAGGTACCATTTCTAACTAAAGGTTTATCAAAAACTAGATATAAACAATAAAATACCATGCTACTAATTTTTCTCTTACATTTCAGAACTTTGATGGCATTTTATAGCAATTGTAATTATCTAGTCTTAGTTTATGAAATAGGTTTCTAGTTACATAAATCATTTTGAGTTGTTACAAGTTTATAGCTACACATCAGGAACTCTCAACCAAAGGGTGCTTATCAGAATTTTGTGGAGAGTTTTTCAAAAGTCACATGTTTTAAAAGAGCACCTTGAAGCGTAAATGATTAAGAACTATCACTTACAGAAAAAAGGAATCGTATACATTTTTGTTCATCACAAAAGCTAGTATAGGAGTGTCTAATCCAAAACTTTATTTTTCTGCATAGAATTTTCCTTTGTAGCAGTGTCATTAATTAGTGGAAAAATTAGAAGTCACATAGGCTCCCCTCCCCTTGTTATATGTATGGATTATAATTTGACTGTCAGAGCAGTTCTTTATTTCTAAAGTATCCCTTTTGAATTGGCCAGAAGTTCCTTATATAAGCTACTTAGCCTTTCATTACATTAGATTGCTAGCTCTGAATCTTGGTGTAACTGCAGATTTAAATAATTTGCCCTTATAACTTTATGGACCTTGGGACGTATTTACTGGCATAAGCCAGAGAATCTATAATTTTGCTTTCCTGTCACAACCCCCAATTTTATTTTAATTAAGTATTCAGGGCTGTCTGGATAAGGTTGAGACTTCACTTTTTCCTCTTTCCTGTGACCCCACAGACAGGGATAGGATTATTTCAGAATCATTGGAAAGTTTAAATTGACTCCTAAATGCTAGTGCTAAGAAAAGGAGTTAAGAGGTGATTGGAACATTTAGAGTTGGCTAGCTAGTTTGTTTTTCTTAAAACTTTATATTCCTCAGATGGTATTACAGACTGTTAAGATCCCTTCCTTCCTGTTGTTCCCACCATAGTCTAGGCATTGCCATTTTCATTAATCTACCTAAGTGTAGGCCAGGCGCAGTGACTCACGCCTGTAATCCCAGCACTTTGGGAGGCCGAGGCGGGCAGATCACGAGGTCAGGAGATCGAGACCATCCTGGCTAACACGGTGAAACCCCATCTCTACTAAAAATACAAAAAATCAGCTGGGCGTGATGGCACACGCCTGTAGTCCCAGCTACTCGGGAGGCTGAGGCAGGAGAATGGCGTGAACCCAGGAGGCAGAGCTTGCAGTGAGCTGAGATCACGCCACTGCACTCCAGCCTGGGCCACAGAGCTAGACTCCGTCTCAAAAAAAAAAAAAATCTACCCAAGTGTAATCTCTTTTACCACTGCATTTATCTCCAAACAGAAAACATCTGCTTCAGTTTTCATTTTTCTAATCAAATGATAATATAGCTAATAGTTGGTAGGCTGCAATGCACCTTTGTGTTCCTGAGAAAGAAAAGAACTCAGCCAGTGTACCCCTGCCTCAACTTTGAGGTTATAGTCTCTTCATTTCCACTTCCTTGCACGTTGTTCTGTTTTGGTGGTGGTCGAAGTGGAGGGATCATTTAAGGAATAAGGATCCACACCACTTGACTTGCCCTTGGCTTGCTGAGTTAGGTCTTGAGCCAGAAACAGACACTCCAATGCCCCCTTGATAACATTCCAGACACCTAGTTGTGTTTGGTTTAATCTGCACTTAACAGAGTTGCATATAATCTGCATCACCAGAGAATGATGGTATAAGAGGATTTAGAAGTTAGGTTTCATGAGCTCTGAGAGTTTGCTGGATGGAGTGACCTGAAATTGAAAGGATTTAATTAAGTATTTAAGATATTTAAGATATTCAGAGACTCAGAAGAATACATTGAAGTATGCATTCAAAAGACAGACTTCCAGAAATAATGAGAAACTAAGATGAAGACTATTGTTTTCAGGCATTGAAAGCCCTGCCTGTGCGCCTTCCCCTGCCCACACATATACATTTTTCTGATTAAAAATGATACCTTTTTGTCCAATTTGAAAACCAGTACGACAAATATGACAAATATTAATGGATTTGTGATTTATGCCAGAGAAAATAAAAATTTGTGGATTAAACTGAAAAACCAACAAGGGCTGTCAATAAAAGTGGCCTAATATCCTCTGAATTTCTGAAAACTTGCCCATCTTTGTATACTTCAGAAACTCTCAATGGGATGTGCACAGTAGAGTCATCTGTAGGAATCGTTGCTATACCCTGCTCTAGAGAGTGAATCAGAATCTCCTCAGTAGTTTGATTCCCAAAAATACTTCTTTAAGTTTTTGAGATGTTCATTCTTTGGCTAAGAATCATTTTCCCTCTAATGCTACATTGAAGTTAAACTGTGAAAATTCTTACTTAATTTTGTCTTTTTACTATCCTGAAAATGTTTTGTACATTACTTATGAATGTTATCCTAACATTTAAGTAAGCATCTGGCCGGGAGCGGTGGCTCATGCCTGTAATACCAGCACTTTGGGAGGCCAAGGCGGGAGGATCACGAGGTCAGGAGATGGAGACTATCCTGGCCAACACGGTGAAACCGCGTCTCTACTAAAAAAATACAAAAAAATTAGCCGGGCGTGGTGGCGGGCACCAGTAGTCCCAGCTACTCAGGAGGCTGAGGCAGGAGAGTGGTGTGAACCCGGGAGGCGGAGCTTGCAGTGAGCCGAGATCGCGCCACTGCACTCCAGCCTGGGTGGCAGCCAGACTCCGTCTCAAAAAAAAAAAAAAAAAAAAAGCATCGGCTGGGTGCTGTGGCTCATGCATGTAGTCCCAGCACTTGGGGAGGCTAAGGCAGGTGAATCATGAGGTCAGGAGTTCGAGACTAGCCTGGCCAACATGGTGAAACCCCATCTCTACTAAAAATACAAAAAAAAAAAAATTAGCTGGGCTTGGTGGTGCATGTGGTGTGGTGGCAGGCGCCTGTAGTCCCAGCTACTTGGAAGGCTGAGGCAGGAGACTTGCTTGAACCCGGGAGGCGGAGGTTGCAGTGAGCTGAGATTGCGCCACTGCTCTCCAAGCTGGGTGATAGAGCGAGACTCCGTCTAAAAAAAAAAGCTACTGGGCGCAGTAGCTCATGCCTGTAATCCCAGCACTTTGGGAGGCTGAGGCGGGTGGATCACAAGGTCAGCAGATTGAGACTATCCTGGCTGATACGGTGAAACCCCCGTCTCTACTAAAAATACAAAAATTAGCTGGGCGTGGTGGCGGGCGCCTGTAGTCCCAGCTACTCCGGAGGCTGAGGCAGGAGAATGACGTGAACCTGGGAGGCGGAGCTTGCAGTGAGCCTAGACCCTGCGCCACTGCACTCCAGCCTGGGTGAGAGAGCAAGACTCCCTCTCAAAAAAAAATAAATAAATAAGGCTGGGCGCGGTGGCTCACACCTGTAATCCCAGCACTTTGGGAGGCCGAGGCGGGTGGATCACGAGGTCAGGAGATCGAGACCATCCTGGTTAACACGGTGAAACCCGTCTCTACTAAAAATACAAAAAAATAATTAGCCGGGCGTGGTGGTGGGCGCCTGTAGTCCCAGCTACTTGGGAGGCTGAGGCAGGAGAATGGCGTGAACCCGGGAGGCGGAGCTTGCAGTGAGCCGAGATCGCGTCACTCCACTCCAGTCTGGGCGACAGAGTGAGACTCCATCTCAAAATAAGTAAATAAATAAAATAAAAATAAAAAGCATCAGTAGGCAGGAAGAAAATGGAAAAATAAGGGACAAATGATGGAACTAACGGTTCATGGAGTTATATAGCATCATTATGCAATCAATAATTAGAGCTCTTACGTTCTTACAAATATAGATAGACACAGAAAACTCACTCGGACCTGCTTCAAGAGACCAAATGAAATTAATATATCACACCTAAACTGAATCAGGTATTGCTTGCCCCTAGTTTGTCCCTTGTGTTGGCATTGAAAAGTGATATTTTCTATTCTCTCCTGACCTATCAAGTCTGTTATTTTCCAAAGAGAATATTTTCTTTCAATAAGCCATTTTTTTTTCTGTTCACTTATGTCTCCAATCAAGTTGCTACTTCTGGCAAAATTTATTTAGCGAGTCATATTGGTGGACATTTAGGTTGGATGTGGCTATAAAATTTTTCTTTTGATCCGAACCGTGTATTTACATTGCTCATTACTATTATTCTGAAATTAATTTTAATAGTGTTAACTTAAATATGTTTTCTTATAGCAGAAAAAGAAAACTAAGAACTTCAATCCACCAACACGTAGAAATTGGGAAAGTAATTACTTTGGGATGCCCCTCCAGGATCTGGTTACAGCTGAGAAGCCCATACCACTATTTGTTGAGAAATGTGTGGAATTTATTGAAGATACAGGTAGGATAGAAGAATCATTGCAAGAGATTTGATTTTAAATTTCACTTTTGATACACCAACAGTTTGTCAAATGTTTGTGATTTGTTAATATAGTTCTCATTATTAGGATTATTTAGTATTAACTCCATCTGATCAGGTAACCATCTGATATTTGAAAGAAGTTTTTGTTGTTGACCAGTAATGCTTTTATTGGACTTCTCTTGAAGTAATAAATGGCTAAGTTGAATACTAAAATGTTAAACTTACCTTATTCTGGAATTTAGAATAACTTTATTAAGTTATGCTATTTAGTGAAGAGATATAGTTATGGTTTGAATAGTGTGGAAGTTTTCCATATTTTTAAGTGCAATGCTGTTTACTTTCATTACCCATTTTACACATGGATTTTTCTTTTAAAACTTACAGCAATAGTTGTAAATGCGTAAAAGGCAGCTTGTTCTATTTGTGATGCTACTATTTATTCAGTTCTAGCTTGACATGGTTTATATGATTTGAGTTGTATTTTTAAAGAATGCATAGATATCCTCATTATTTTAAAAACAAGCCTGCTCTTATGTTTACTTTGCCTAATGTAATCTCAAAACTAAACAAAATAGGCAAGTTAAAGGTGGAAAATAGGGACAGAATATTGTTGTTTTTGAGTGCATTTAAAATGAACACGAGTTAACCATGAAACCTTAGTGACTGAATGTACTACACATTTTAATGGCTTGAAAACATGAGCTAAGTCAGTTTTGGCTTTGTTACTAATGAACCCTTGATAGATAAGCATTGTTTAAAAAACAAAGTAGGATACTCTTGTTCTCGCTAAAAAATCATGCTCATTTTTCACATGTACACCTTGCCCTTCGGTTTATCAGCTAAGTTGTATATATATTGAGTTATCTATTTGGTAAGGAATGTTGACACTTTCAGTCTTAATGAGAGGGTAGAATGTGCAGTGGCTCATGCCTGTAATCCCAGCACTTTGGGAGGCTGAGGCAGTCGGATCACAAGGTCAGGAGATCAAGACCATCCTGGCCAACATGGTGAAACCCTATCTCTACTAAAAATACAAAAATTATCTGGGCATTGTGGTTTGTGCCTGTAGTCCCAGCTACTTGGGAGGCTGAGGCAGAAGAATTGCTCGAACCCAGGAGGTGAAGGTTGCAGTGAGCCGAGATCATGCCACCTGCACTCCAGCCTGGTGACAGAGTGAGACTCCATCTCAAAAAAAAAAAGAAAGAAGAAATTCCATTATCCACTAGCTTTGTAGTTGAAATGGCATGTGTCTTCTGCCTTCAGTTAATAAGTGTTAATTTATGGAGGCTACATTTGAATATGCTCTTTATCATTTATTTTTCCCTTCAGCAAATACTTGAGAAGTGTTATTAGAAAAATTTCTTGTCTATATTTCTGTCCACCTTTAATGTAGCAGAAATGCAAATGTTCTTAAAATATTAGCTTCCTGCTTTGGATTTAAAGAATTCTCATTTTCTCTAGTATTATAATTAAGCCTATGGATACAACTGAACAATTAGAACATACTTTCCTTTAGTGATTGAAAAGCAATAATAAAATTATAGATTAGTGTTTTGTACATTTATTATTTAAAATTTCTATTTCTTGAATATTTCTTAGTAGTTGAGTGATTCGGTTTGAGGAAAATAAATGAATTCCAAATATAGGATAAAATGCAGGTCTAGTCCAATTCTTAAAACAACTTGAATTAGTTTAGGTCAACTCTCAGGCGATTTATATATTTAAGTGCTTTGGTAGAAAGATAACATAGACTGTAGAATAGAATAAAAGATTAAACTAGTTCTTTTGTTGTCGTTATAGTATATTGTTTGATTTTATTACTGATTTTAAAACTATTAAGCAGTTTTAGCAGAAATTCCTAATTGCCTACGAGATTGTTTGTGTCTTTTGAGAAATTTGTTCATTTCATCTAAATTTCATCAATTTACAGCTCTCAAAATGAACTGTAGCATAACCTTCTTATATTTAAGGTTCAACTTGTAAATATATTGCAGATACTCATTACTTAAAGATTGTGATATTTTGCTGTTTATAGATCCTTAGATGTAGTGATATAAATGATCAGTAATTGTGTTGTTATAATCAGTCCTCTTATTTAAAAGACTAACCTTTCTTGAACAACCATGAAGAAAATATTGACAGTTTTAAGAATCAGCTTTATTGATGTAATTTACATACAATAAAATTTGCTAGTTTGAATCGTACAGTATGAATTTTTATAATCTATAGTCATGTAACTGCCACCACAATCAAGATTTAAGTTATTTTCATTCACCGCTAAAAGCATCTGGTGTTTTATTATTTTATTAAGTATAATGTTAGCTGTTGGATTTTTGTAGATGAACTTTATCTGGTTGAGAAAGTACTCTAACATTCCTAGTTTGCTGAGTTTTTATACAAAATAGGTGTTGATTTTGTCACGTGGTTTTCTGCATCTGTTGAGGTTATCTTACGATTGTTTTTTGCTGTGGATTGTGAATTACATTGATTTTTCACATTAAACTAACCTTACATCCCTGGGATAAATACCACTTGGTCATGTTTTATCCTTTTTATGTATTGCTGGATTCATTTTCTAAAATGTTAAGGATTTTTGCATCCTGAAGGATTTTAGTCTGTAGTTTTCTTTTCTTGCAGTGTCTTTGTTTGGTTGGTATCAGAGTGAAAAGCTGGCATCATAGATTAAGTTTATTTTCTGGAAGAGTTTATGTAGAATTGGTAGTATTTCTTTCTTTAATTTTAGTAGAATTCATCAGTGAAGTGATTTCGACCTGGAATTTGTTTGTGAGGAGGTTTTTAATTTAAGTTTCTTTAGTAGATATAGTGCTATTCAGATTTTTTATTTCTTCTGGAGTAAGCATTGGTTGTTTGTGTGTTTTGAGGAATTCATTCATTTCATCTAAATTGACAAGGTTTTTAATAAAATTCCTTATTATCCTTTTAGTGCCTTCTAGCATCTGTAGTGACGTCTTTCTTCCCTGATATTACTAAATTGTGTCTTTTTTGTTGTGGTTGAGGTTTATCAATTTTATTGATCACTTCAAAGGACTAGCTTTTGCTTTTATTGATTTTCCTTTTTTTTTCCATTTTTTAATTTATTGAATTCTACTTGTTTCTTTCTTCTTTGGTTTTTCTGAAGTTTCTTAAAATAGAAATCTAGATTACTGTGTTAGACCAGTTTTCTTTTCTAGTGTAAATATTTAATGGTCCAGATTTTCCTCTAAGCATTGTTTTAGCTGTATTCCATATAGATATGCTGTGTTCCATTTTTGTTTAATTCAAAATACTTTGTAATTTCCTTTTTTTTTTTTTTAAATTAACTCATCGGTTATTAGATTTCTAAATATTTGGTGGTTTTCCACATCTTTTTTGTTCATTTCTAGTTTAATTATTTTGCATTTGAAAAACAAGGAGTTTGATTCCAGGTTAAGTTTATTGAAGAGTTTAATGAGACCTTGAACTGAATGTTTATTATAGTGTGAAGGGTTCTATAAATGTCAGATCAAATTCTTTGAGTGTGTTGGTCAAGTCCTGTATGTCCTATTTTATATCCTATTTTTCTTGTTTAACTTTTGTAAAATTAAAGAATACTGTTGAAATCTGCAATCATGATTGTAGATTGTGTGTTTCTCCTTTCAGTTCTATTAGATTTTACATCATGTATTTTGAAGATCTTTTAATTTCATACACATTTAGGATTATGTCTTTTTTTTTTTTTTTTTTTTGGAGACAGGGTTCTCTCTCTAACACCCAGGCTGAAGTGCAGAGGTGTAACTTCAGCTAGTTGCAACCTCCACCTCCCCGGCTCAGGCAATCCTCCCACCTCAGCCTCCCAAATAGCTGGGACTGCCACCACACCCAGCCACCTTTTTTGGTTTTGGTAGAAACAGGGTTTTGCCATTTTCCCCAGCCTCGTCTCAAACTCCTGAGCTCAAGCAATCTTCCCACATATGTTTGTTCTGAAGTCTACTTTGCCTAGTATTAATATAGCCAATGTTTTTTCCTTTGAGTAGTGTTTGTGATATATCTTTTTCTTTACTTATGCTTTTATGTATCTTCATTTCTAATGTGGTATACATCTTTATAGATTACCTTCAAGTGATATACCACTTTAATGTGTTTTATAAGAACCTTAGAACAGTATACTTCTCTCATGCCTTGTTCTGTTGTTATATATTTTAAATCTATAATGTTTTAAAATCACCATACATGTTTATAATTTTTGCTTTAAACAGATTGTTGTCCTTGTTTTTGAAAGATATTTTCTTAGATTAGAATTCTCTTTTATGTAATAGCTTTATTGAAATATAATTCACTTTATACAATACACCCATTTAAAGTGTACAGTTTATTCACAGAGTTGTACCAGCTTCACCACAATCAATTTTAGAACATTTTCATCATCCCAAGAAGAAATACTATACTGATTAAGCAATCACTTTCTATTCCCCACTCTCACCCCCCCATCAACTTTCTGCCTTTACAGGCTTGCCTGTTCCTGGATATTTCATATAAATTGAATAATATATAATGTGGTCTTTTGTGATTGGCTTCTTTCATTTAACATAGTTTTCAAGTTATTCATGTTGTATCACCTATCAGTACTTAATTTCTTTTTATTGCTGAATAATTTTACATTGATGGACACTTGGTTTGTTTCTACTTTTTAACTTGTGAAGAGTGCTGCTGTGAACATTACTTTCAGAGTTTGTGTGTGGACATATGTTTTCACCTCTTGGGTATATACTTAAGAGTGGAATTGTTGGATCTGTGTTTAGCCTTTTAAGGAACTACCAGACTCTTTCAAAGAGGTGGCACCACTTGACATTCCCATCAGCAGTGTGAGTTCCAATTTCTCCACATTTTGCCAATGTTTATTTTTCTTTTTGATTATAGTCATATAAGTGGTAATGTGAAATGTATCTCATATGATTTTGATTTGCATTTCCCTGATGACTAATGATGCCGAACATCTTTTTAAGTGCTTTATTGGCTTTTTGTGCACATCTTTGAAGAAATATCTATTCAGATCCTTTGCCCTCTTTTTAGTTGGATTGTTTGTCTTACTGTTGAGTTTAAGGGCTCTTTGTATATTTTGGATACAAATTGTTTTCAAATACGATTTGCTAAAATATTCTCCATTCTGTGGGTCATTTTTTACAACTTCTTGAAGATATGCTTTGAAGGATAAAGTTTTCAATTTTGATGAAGAACATTTTGTCTGTTTCTAAAATTTTGTCACTGTGTGCATGGTGTCATGTCTAAGAAGGTTTTTGCCTAATCCAAGGTCACAAAGATTTATTCCATTTATCTTCCAAGAGTTTTACGGTTTTATCACATACATTTAGGTCTGTGATCCATTTTGACTTAATTTTTGTGTGTGGTTTAAGGAAAGGTTCCAGCTTGATTCTTTTGCATGTGGATATCCATTATATAAGCACTATTTATTAAAAAGACTATTCTACTGAATTGCCTTGGCACAGTTGTTCAAAATCAGTTGACCATAAATGTGAAGGTTTATTTCTGGACTCATATTCTATTGATCTGTATGTCTGTCCATACATGATATTATCTGTCTGTTTTCATTATTGTTTTGTAGTAAGTTTTGAAATCAAGAAGTGTGACTGTTTGAACTTTGTTCTTCTGGGTATAGAGTTTTAGGCTGATGGGTTTTCTTGCTTTTCATTCATCTCTTTAAAGACTGCTTGTTATGATATCTCATACCTAGTGAGATTTCTGCTCATTCTTATCTGTGTTCTTCTGAATGGGATGTATTCTCTTTTCTCCCTCAACCCCCAATACTTTAAGATTATTCTCTCTAGTTTTCAGCAATTTTATTAAAAATAATAAAATTATCACATAATTTTAATAATCTTAGTATGTGTGTTTTAAAAACGACATCTGCTTGAGGTTTCTGGAGCATCTTAGCTCTCTTAGTTTATAATTTTCGAATTTGGAAAATTTGGGGCCATTATTTCTTGAAGTATTTTTATCTCTTCTTCCATTTCCCACTCCTTATTCGTGTGTTAGACCTCTAGGAATTGTTTAAAACTTTTTTTTTCTGTATGGCCAAATGTAGAAATGCCATTTAAGTCTTTCTTTTTATGTGTTCATTTCTATACCCATTATATTGATGTTTTCCTGTGTATATATGTCTTTGGGCATATAAAATTTATAATAGCCATTTTAAGATTTTTGGTTTACTAATTCTGTTCTATATCATTTCTGGGCCTCTTTCTGTTGTTTTTGTTGTTTTGTGGGTTATATTTTTCTGCTTCTTGTTTTGATAGTTTTGATGTCAGAATTCTGAATTTTACATTATTTAGTCTTCTGAATTTTTATTGGATGATGTTATTAGTGTTTCTTTAAAGAATGTTAGATTTGCTCGGTGCTTCTCCTTGGCTGGTGGAGAAAAAGAAAAAAATAGTTAAGAATGTTTGATTTGTTTTTTCATGTGTTAAGTACCTTGTGAATCAGTTTGGTCCTTTCTAAGATGGATTGTAAGTTTGTATGGCAGATCTAGAGCAGCCTTTATTCTGATACTTGTTTATACCTACAATAAAATTAGATTTGACCCTGTGCCCCATTTATATTAAAAGATCTTCTGAGAATAAAACTTGAACTATTCTCAGCTCTTGGCCTCAAGAAGTTTTCTCTCATATATGTGCAGTATTCAACCAAAGAACCCAGAGACTCTTCTGCATATCCGATACTCTTTCTCTGTGTATTTCTCCATCTTTTTGGTATTCTACCCCACAAATTCTAGCCTTCTCAGTCTTTCTGAACTCTCTTCTCTCTTCAGCTCTCATAGACCATTGTGATTCCACCTCCCATCACTAACTACCACCTCAAAACTCTCCAGACACTACGTTGGGGCATTCAGACAGCTTGCCTCATTTGCTGCTTTTTCCCTCATGGATCATGGTTTTGAACTGTGATTAATGTTCATGTTCAGTGATCAGTGTTCAGTGTCTGAAAACTGGTGTTTCATATAATTTTTCGAGTCCTTAGTTTTTTACTATGGGAGGGCAATTTCCACAGCAGTTAACCAGGGCATCATGGTGGAAGCAGATGTCCCTATTTTTATAATAGTACTATCTTAATAAGTTGTGCTAGGTTCCAGTTGGGAAATGACCCTTGAAATATTAATATGTTTACAGTAGACAAAAAGGGATAGTGCAGAAGAGAGTAACTGAAGAGAAAGGGAATAATAGGTCTTTTTGAGGAGTTAATAAGGATGATAAACCTGATAGATATTGGGTTGAAAGAGAGGGCTCAGAAGTGCCTCTCAGATTGCTCTGTTAGGGTGACCGTAGATGGCATTCCATTAATGAAAATAGAAGTTATAATGAGAAATGGCAGTTTCATAGTACATTCATGTTTGGACATGTTAAATCTTCCGAGGTGCCTGTGGGACATATAAAAGCCTAAGACACAGTTGTATATATGGCTATGGATCTCTGGAAAGTGGTTTGGTCTTTAGATATGATTTTGGTAATTGTCAGTGTCTAGATATTAATGTAAACTATATGTGATATAATTCAGGGTAGACATCTAGGGTGGTAGGAAGAAAAGTTCACAGTGCAAACAGGCTATACAAGAGTGGAGCCCTAAAACACTAGGGAGAAGAAAAATTTTACTAAGAAGCATGATTATCAACATTTGAATGAGAATGATTTTTTTACATTGCTTTTTCTGAGGTGCAATTCATAAATAACATAAAACTAACCATTTTGAAATGTACAGTTCAGTGGCAGGTAGTATATTCACAGTGTTGGATAACCACCACCTCATCTAGTTCCAGAACATTTTCATTTACCCCGAAGAAAACCCTGTACACATTAAGCAGTTATTTCTTATTTCCCCACTACTCCAGTCCCTGGCAGTAACCAATCTGCTTTATGGCTCTCTGAATTTACTAATTCTGGATATTTCATATCAGTAGAATCACACAATGTATGACCTTTTCTTCTGCTTCTTAGCATTATTGTTTTGAGGCTCATCTGTGTTGTAACATGTATCATTATGTGTATATACATACATACATGCACACACATTTTGCTTTTTCAATCGTTTGGTGGACATTTGGGTTATTTCCACCTTTTGGCTATTGTGAACAGTCTGCTGTGAACATTCATGTGTACAACTATTCGTTCAAGTACCTGTTTTCAATTATTTTGGGTACCTAGGAGTAGAATACTGGATCATATGGTAATTCTGTGTTTAACTTCTTGAGGAACTGTCAAATTGTTTCCACAGTGGATGCACCATTTTACTTCCCACCAACAATGTGTAAGGGTTCAAATTTCTCCATGTTGTTGCCAACACTTGTATGTGTTCTGTATGTGTATTAATTTTAGCTGTCTTATCCCTTTTGATAAGGTTTCCTTTTAATCACTAAGTAGGTTACTTTGTCAGTATTGTGATTTTAGCAATATTAAGTCTTCGAATCCATGAATGTTTGATGTCTTTTTTATTTGTCTTTAATTTCTTTCAGTACCGTTTTGTAGTTTTCAGTGTTCAAGTCTTGCCTTGGTTAAATTTATTCCTAGGTATTTTATTGGAATGTTATTGTAAATGGAATTTAATTTAATTTTCATGTTTATGGATGTTTATGGTGGTGTGTAGAACTGATTTTTGTGTGTTGATCTTGTATCCTGAAATTTTGCCAAATTATTAGCTCTATTTTTTGTGTGTATTTGGGGGTTTTTATATATGTTTGTCTTCTGTGAATAGGGATACCTTTACTTTCAAATCTGAATGCTTTCTATTTCTTTGTCTTGCCTAATTGCTGTGGCTTGAACTTCCAGTGCAATGTTGAATAGCAGTTGTGAAAAGAGCACACGCTTGTCTTGTTCCTTATCTCAGGGGAAGCTTTTATTATTTCATCATGGAGTATGATATCAGCTGTGGGTTTTTTTTGTTTGTTTGTTTTTTTGAGATGGAGTCTCACAGTTCTGAACGCTAGAAGTCTGAAAGCAAGGTGTCAGCAGGGCCATGTTCCCTCTGAGACTCTAGGTAAACCTTCCTTGCCTCTTTCTTGCTTCTGGTGGTGGCTGTCAATCCCTGGTGTTCCATGGTTGGCAGCTGTATTACTACAATCTCTGCCTTTGGCATTCTCCATGTGCGTGCGCAGGTGTGTTTTCTCTTCTTTTCATAAGGACATCAGTCATATTGGGTTAAGGACCTCACCCTACTCCAATAATGACCACATCTTACCTTAACTAACTACATCTGCAATGATCTATTCCCAATAAGGTCACCTTCTAAGGTATTGGGGGTTAAGACTTCAACATATCTTTTTAGGACACAAAATTCAACTCATAATACCTTTCATTCCTAGTTTGTTGAGTGATGACAATGATTATTATTATGAAAGGACATTGGATTTTATTGGATTATTTTTCTGTGTCAGTTGAGATAATCATGTTATTTTTCTTTTCTTTCATTTATTGATGTATTACATGGATTGATTTTTCTTTTTTTGGGGGGGGAGTAGTGAGCGTTTAATGGGTGCAGAGTTTCAGTTTTGCAAGATGAAAACAGCTCTGGAGATGGGTGGTAGTGATGGATGCACAATATGAATGTACTTAATACCACTGAAGTGTACACTTACAAATGGTTAAGGTGGTAAATTTTATGTCATGTGTATTTTACCACAATAAAAAAAAAATCAGGAAATATGATATCTTTTTTTTTTTTTTTTTGAGGTAGAGTCTCACTCTGTCACCCAGGCTGGAGTACAGTGGTGTAGTCTTGGCTCACTGCGACCTCCACCTCCTGGGTTCAAGTGATTCTCCTGCCTCAGCCTCCCAAGTAGCTGGGACCACAGGTGCGTGCCACCACTCCTGGCTGATTTTTTTTTTTTTAATTTTTTTAGTATTTATTGATCATTCTTGGGTGTTTCTGGGAGAGGGGGATTTGGCAGGGTCATAGGACAACAGTGGAGAGAAGGTCAGCAGATAAACATGTGAACAAAGGTCTCTGGTTTTTCTAGGCAGAGGACCCTGCAGCCTTCGGCAGTGTTTGTGTCCCTGGGTACTTGAGATTAGGGAGTGGTGATGACTCTTAACAAGCATGCTGCCTTCAAGCATTTGTTTAACAAAGCACATCTTGCACCGCCCTTAATCCATTTAACCCTGAGTTGACACAGCACATGTTTCAGAGAGCACGGGGTTGGGGGTAAGGTTATAGATTAACAGCATCCCAAGGCAGAAGAATTTTTCTTAGTACAGAACAAAATGGAGTCTCCTATGTCTACTTCTTTCTACGCAGACACAGTAACAATCTGATCTCTCTTTCTTTTCCCCACATTTCCCCCTTTTCTATTCGACAAAACCGCCATCGTCATCATGGCCCGTTCTCAATGAGCTGTTGGGTACACCTCCCAGACGGGGTGGCGGCCGGGCAGAGGGGCTCCTCACTTCCCAGACGTGGTGGCCAGGCAGAGGGGCCTCCCCACCCCCGAGACAGGGCGGCTGGAGGCGCCCCCCACCTCCCAGACGGGGTGGCCGGGCGGAGATGCTCCTCACTTCCCAGACGGGGCAGCTGCCGGGCGGAGGGGCTCCTCACTTCTCAGACGGGGCGGCTGGGCAGAGGCACTCCTCAGTTCCCAGACGTGGTCACGGCCGGGCAGAGGTGCTCCCCACTTCCCAGACGGGGTGGCGGCCGGGCAGAGGCGCTCCTCACCTCCCAGACGGGGTGGCGGCCGGGTAGAGACGCTCCTCACCTCCCAGACAGTGCGGCCGGGCAGAGGCGCTCCTCACATCCCAGACAGGGTGGCCGGGCAGAGTCGCTCCCCACATCCCAGATGATGGGCGGCCAGGCAGAGACGCTTCTCACTTCCTAGACGGGATGACGGCCGGGAAGAGGCGCTCCTCACTTCCCAGACTGGGCGGCCAGGCAGAGGGGCTCCTCACATCCCAGACGATGGGTGGCCAGGCAGACGCTCCTCACTTCCTAGATGGGGTGGCGGCCGGGCAGAGGCCGCAATCTCAGCACTTTGGGAGGCCAAGGCAGGCGGCTGGGAGGTGGAGGTTGTAGCGAGCCAAGATCATGCCACTGCACTCCAGCATGGGCTGGGCTCCCAAACAGGTTCATCCTCACACCAACTTGCAAGGGCGTGGCCCGCCTTGTCACCATGAGACCCTGAGAAAGTCCCTTCACCTCGCTGGGCTCTGGTTTCCTCATTCCAAGGATGGCTCTGCTATCTGCGTGTCGGCTATCGGTGCTGAGGCTGGCCCGCCTCTGCGTGGGCAGGATCTTGGCATTCCTTTTGCTCCATGGACGCTGCCTCCCTGGGCTCGCCGCGCCTGGCCGCCCGGCAGGCAGCCCCAGGCCCCGGCTGCTCCATCCCGCTGCCCTGATTTTTCTTATATTAAACCCCCTTGCATTCCTGGAATAAATGCTTTTGGGATTATGGTATATAATCCCTTTAATATGCTGTTAGATTTTATTTGCTAGTATTTTGTTGAAGACTTTTGCATCTATATTCATAAAAGATACTGGTCTGTTGTGTTTTCTTGTGGTGTTTTTGTCTGGCTTTAATGTCAGGATGCTACTGACCTCATAGGAGTTAGGAAGTGTTTCTACTTTTAGAATGGTATATTTAATGACTGTGTTCCCTGGTTTTAAAAGTGCACTGTCTTCAGAATCTACTGAGGCATTCCTGTGTTAGAGACTTACGCTTTCTAAATTTTTTTCTGCATTTTTAGTTTTTCAGCCTCCTGCTTTATTGTCAGTATACCTCCTGCTGCTGTGTATCTCATTTTTGCTTTTCTAGTTTGCAACTTCTAATCTGCTGTGAGTCAGGAAAACATATGGCAGAGTTAAATTGTGCTTTTGGTTAGGTTAGATAGAATCTGTGGAAAAACCTAAGGTGTTTCTCTTATAAGTAAATAATATATTTTAGTGGAAAGGCTTTGTGACATATTATTGGCTACTTGTAGTCCTTTCTGTTCCCATTTTTTTTTCAGTTATGCTAGAGTAGGTGATCAGGTGACCAAATTCCAGATAGCTGAGGTATTACTGTATTTGCCAGAATTTTTATTTGCATGTGGTTGCAGTTAATCTGGAACGCCCCACTATGACAAATGAATTATAAAGAAATAGAGACTATCTTTAAAGCGTAGCAGTTATATTTTTGGTAAAAGTGGATTAGAAGGATAAACATTAATAGCCTTCTCTGTATATTGGTCTAAAACTTGTGTTTTGTTTCACCACCCCAATATGGGATGAAAATGGATGAATGAATCTTTGTGTTATTGCTAAAGTAAATACAACTTCCTTAAGTAAAACCTTTTTGTTTAAACTTCAGCTTTCCCACTTGATGCTTTCAAGAACTCCCACTTTTTTTTTTTTAATCACTACAACACTTTTTCACTAAATATCAATCCCTTGTTTCTCCTGCCCTACCTTGTCTGGATATTTCTCAATCCATTTTTATGTTCACTCCCTTGCATACTTCCTCGAAATTTCCACCATTTTATTCACTTGGCAAAACCTCAACTTTGGTTAAACCTCTGGTTACTCTGTGTTTGAACCAGAACAGGGGATATCATGGCTATAGAAAAACAAGCCATGCAGTTCACTTTGACTGTATGACCACACTTCCAGGCACAGTGGCTCACACCTGTAATACCAGTACTTTTGGGAAGCCAAGGAAGGATTGCCTGATCCCGGGAATTTGAGGTTGCAGTGAGCCATGATCACAGTACTGCATTCCAGCCTGGGTAACAGAGTGAGACTCTGCCTCTGAAGTAAATACATATATATGTAATAAAATATATATGTAATAAAATATATATATATGACCACATATCTTAAGCAGCTTAAGTGATCATCTTATATTTCCAATTTACCTAGTAAATTTGTTTGTTGAATCCCTTGCATTCATAAGGGATTTTTTTTTTTTTTTTTTTTGAGATGGAGTCTCACTGTGTCCCCCAGGCTGGAGTGTAGTGGTGGGATCTCGGCTCACTGCAACCTCTACCGCCCAGGTTCAAGTGATTCTCCTGCCTCAGACTCCTGAGTAGCTGGGATTACAGGTGCCTGCTATCACACCAGGCTAATTTTTTGGGTTTTTTTTTTTTTTTAATAGAGAAGGGGTTTCATCATGTTGCCAGGCTGGTCTGGAACTCCTGACCTCCAGTCATCCTTCCACCTCGGCCTCCCAAGGTGCTGGGATTACAGGTGTGAACCACCATGCCCAACCTGGCATTGATTGATTGATTGATTGATTGATTGATTTTGAGATGGAGTCTCGCTTTGTCGCCCAGTCTGGAGTGCAGTGGCGCGATCTCAGCTCACTGCAACCTCCGCCTCCTGGGTTCAAACGATTCTCCTGCTTCAGCCTCCTGAGACTACAGGCACGTGCCACCACACCCCGCTGATTTTTGCATTTTTAGTAGAGATGGGATTTCACCATATTGGCCAGGCTGGTCTCAAACTCCTGGCCTTGTGATCCACCTGCCTCGGCCTCCCAAAGTGCTGGGATTACAGGCATGAGCCACCGCACCCAGCCTGTTTTCATTTTCTCACATTTTTCAAAATTTTGGGACCTTTAGAAATGTTACAAGAATAGTATGATTGAGCATTTGTTTACCCTTCTCTAGATTCACCGAGTAAACTTTTTACCACAGTTCTCCAGCTTTTTGGGAGGCTGGTGGGAGGTGCTGAACAATGTGAAATTCAGTTAAAAACGGCATGACACTTCACCTCCAAGTCATTTAGCATAGATTTCCCCACTAACAAGAACATTCTCTTCACATAACTGCAAAATAAATACATGTTTAGGAAATTTAATATTGATACAATTCTATTGTCTAATATAATGTCTGTAATCAAATTCTCCCAGTTGTCTCAACGGTGTCCTCTTAGAGCTTTTTTGTTGTATCAATCCAAGGTCCCAGCAAGAATCATGTATTACTTTTCTTGTCATACTTCTTTTTTTTTTTTTTTTTAGGTTTGTCTTTATTTTATTTTATTTTTGCATTTCTAAGATTTGTATTAATTGTGTTAATTTTGTTAAAATCAATTTATAATTGTATTAAAAGATACATAACGTAAAATGTGTCATGTTAACCATTTTGAAATATACATTTCAGTAGTAAATACATTCACATTGTTGTGCACCCAATCTCTAGAACTTTTGCATTTGGAAAAACTGAAACTGTATTTTTATGAAACGCCAACCCCCCCATTTCTCCCTTCCTCCAGCCACTGGCAACCACCATTTCATGTTCTTTTTGTTTGTTTGTTTTTGTTTTTGTTTTTTGTTTTTTGTTATTATTATACTTCAAGTTTTAGGGTACATGTGCACAACGTGCAGGTTTGTTACATATGTATACATGTGCCATGTTGGTGTGCTGCACCCATTAACTGGTCATTTAGCATCAGGTATATCTCCTAATGCTATCCCTCCCCACTCCCCCAACCCCACAACAGTCCCCGGTGTGTGATGTTCCCCTTCCTGTGTCCACGTGTTCTCATTATTCAGTTCCCACCTATGAGTGAGAACATGCGGTGTTTGGTTTTTTGTCCTTGCGATAGTTTGCTGAGAATGATGGTTTCCAGTTTCATTGATGTCCCTACAAAGGACATGAACTCATCATTTTTTATGGCTGCATAGTATTCCATGGTGTATATGTGCCACATTTTCTTAATCCAGTCTGTCCTTGTTGGACATTTAGGTTGGTTCCAAGTCTTTGCTATTGTGAATAGTGCCGCAATAAACATACAGGTGCATGTGTCTTTATAGCAGCATGATTTATAATCCTTTAGGTATATACCCAGTAATGAGATGGCTGGGTCAAATGGTATTTCTAGTTCTAGATCCCTGAGGAATCGCCACACTGACTTCCACAATGGTTGAACCAGTTTAGAGTCCCACCAACAGTGTAAAAGTGTTCCTATTTCTCCACATCCTCTCCAGCACCTGTTGTTTCCTGACTTTTTAATGATTGCCACTCTAACTGGTGTGAGATGGTATCTTATTGTGGTTTTGATTTGCATTTCTCTGATGGCCAGTGATAGTGAGCATTTTTACATGTGTTTTCTGGCTGCATAAATGTCTTCTTTTGAGCAGTGTCTGTCCATGTCCTTTGCCCACTTTTTGATGGGGTTGTTTGTTATTTTCTTGTAAATTTGTTTGAGTTCATTATAGATTTTGGATATTAGCCCTTTGTCAGATGAGTAGGTTGTGAAAATTTTCTCCCATTTTGTAGGTTGCCTGTTCACTCTGATGGTAGTTTCTTTTGCTGTGCAGAAACTCTTTAGTTTAATTAGATCCTATTTGTCAATTTTGTCTTTTGTTGCCATTGCTTTTGGTGTTTTAGACATGAAGTCCTTGTCCATGCCTATGTCCTGCATGGTAATGCCTAGGTTTTCTTCTAGGGTTTTTATGGTTTTAGGTCTAACATTTAAGTCTTTAATCCATCTTGAATTGATTTTTGTGTAAGGTGTAAGGAAGGGATCCAGTTTCAGCTTTGTACATATGGCTAGCCAGTTTTCCCAGCACCATTTATTAAATAGGGAATCCTTTCCCCATTGCTTGTTTTTGTCAGGTTTGTCAAAGATCAGATAGTTGTAGATATGTGGCATTATTTCTGAGGGCTCTGTTCTGTTCCATTGGTCTGTATGTCTGTTTTGGTACCAGTACCATGCTGTTTTGGTTACTGTAGCCTTGTAGCATAGTTTGAAGTCAGGTAGTGTGATGCCTCCAGCTTTGTTCTTTTGACTTAGGATTGACTTGGCGATGCAGGCTCTTTTTTGGTTCCATATGAACTTTAAAGTAGTTTTTTCCAATTCTGTGAAGAAAGTCATTGGTAGCTTGATGGGGGTGGCATTGAATCTATAAATTACCTTGGGCAATATGGCCATTTTCACGATATTGATTCTTCCTACCCATGAGCATGGAATGTTCTTCCATTTGTTTGTATCCTCTTTTATTTCCTTGAGCAGTGGTTTGTAGTTCTCCTTGAAGAGGTCCTTCACATCCCTTGTAAGTTGGATTCCTGGTATTTTATTCTCTTTGAAGCAATTGTGAATGGGAGTTCACTCATGATTTGGCTCTCTGTCTGTTATTGGTGCATAAGAATGCTTTTGATTTTTGCACATTGATTTTGTATCCTGAGACTTTGCTGAAGTTGCTTATCAGCTTGAGGAGATTTTGGGCTGAGACAATGGGGTTTTCTAGATATACAATCATGTCATCTGCAAACAGGGACAGTTTGACTTCCTCTTTTTCCTAATTGAATACCCTTTATTTCCTTCTCCTGCCTGATTGCCCTGGCCAGAACTTCCAACTCCGTGTTGAATAGGAGTGGTGAGAGAGGGCATCCCTGTCTTGTGCCCGTTTTCAAAGGGAATGCTTCCAGTTTTTGCCCATTCAGTATGATATTGGCTGTGGGTTTGTCATAGATAGGTCTTATTATTTTGAGATACATCCCATCAATACCTAATTTATTGAGAGTTTTTAGCATGAAGGGTTTTTGAATTTTGTCAAAGGCCTTTTCTGCATCTATTGAGATAATCATGTGGTTTTTGTCTTTGGTTCTGTTTATATGTTGGATTACATTTATTGATTTGCATGTATTGAACCAGCCTTGCATCCCAGGGATGTCCAATCAATAGAAAAAGAGGGAATCCTCCCTAACTCATTTTATGAGGCCAGCTTCATCCCGATACCAAAGCCTGGCAGAGACACAACTAAAAAAGGGAATTTTAGACCAATATCCTTGATGAACATCAATGCAAAAATCCTCAATAAAATACTGGCAAACCGAATCCAGCAGCACGTCAGAAAGCTTATCCACCATGATCAAGTGGGCTTGTCATACTTCTTTAGTCTTCTTTAATTTAGAATAGTTTTCTAATCTTGTGGGTATGTTTTCATGTCATGAATTTTTTCATGAAAAAATTCAAAGCCTTTTTTTGCAGAATATTCCTAAATTTTATTTGACTAGAAAGTAGTGACACATTTTAGTTCAATAAACTGAATTTATCATAATATATGTATCCCCCTCCCCACATGGAATTTTAAGAAACTCGTTTTTGATAAATTGAGAAAAGAAAATACTGCTTTTTGTCTTATTCCTGTAATGGCATTGTGCCTGAAATGTCAAGTATCACCGCAAAAAACTCTTGCTCTATTGATGTTACTTCATCCCTATCAGCTTTTTAGCATGTGAAAAATCTCACTTCACTTAGCTTAAGTGAAGCCCCATTAGTAATGCATCATTAAAAACAGCATGAACACATTTACTTCAGCTGTTGTTTTAAAACTCAAAATAGCCGGCCTATTGAACTATACAGTATCAGGGACAATATATTTTATGTCTTGTATCACACATACATACTCTAAACACAGCACAGAGTGGGCATTTAAGGAACATTAAATCTTGTTTGAAATAAAAATATCATCACAATGTCTCATCATAGTATGTCTTCATGTGTTTGTCTTTTGCTTATCCTAAGTGTATCTTTAAGTAGTTTGAGTAATTTATAGCCATTCCGTTTACTGTTGATGTCATTTATGCATGTCTGATTTATATTTGCTATTGGGCCTGAGCCATCACGTTTACAAGAATGACTCCCAGATCTTTATCTCTCACATTCCAGAGTGTTCTTATATTTCATTCTTATATTTAATTCTCCCAGTTGTCCAGGCCTCAGGTATCTCATTAATCTGTCTTTTTCACCCATTGTGCCCACATACCATTAATTGCCCATGCTTGTCCATTCCCAGCATTGTTTGTCTTAACATCTGTTTTACAGGGAAGACTCAGTATATAGCATTTATTTTGTTCCTTCCAATCCAGTTGTCTCATCACTCCCAAAGTTTTCCTATTAAAAAGTATTGAGTGCCTAGAAAGAAAAAATACCAAACTTTCATTGCCCAGGAATTGAGGCTTTTTTGGTTTAAATTATTTTAGTTGCTAGTCAGCAAACACTAATGCAAAAAATACATTTAACTGGAATGAAGGTAACTTAGAGAAGCTGAAAGCAACTCATCTATTGGGCCAGAACCAGGAAGTGTTCTCTTTTCATTTCTCTTCTTTTTTATGTCTAGACTCACCTGGTCTGTTCACCAGATCCTAGAATTTTAGGTCTAAGTTGTTTTTTTGTTTGTTTGAGGTGGAGTCTCCCTCTGTTGCCCAGGCAAGAGCACAGTGGCGTGATCTAGCCTCACTGCAACCTCTACCTCCCAGGTTCAAGCAGTTCTCCTGCCTCAGCCTCCTGAGTAGCTGGGTTTACGGGCACATGCCACCACACCCAGCTAATTTTTGTATTTTTAGTAGAGACAGGGTTTCACCATGTTGGCCAGGCTGGTCTCAAACTCCTGGCCTCAGATGATCCACCCACCTTGGCCTCCCAAAGTGATGTGATTACAGGTGCAAGCCACCACTCCTGGCCGATTTTTAGGTCTAAGTTTTAACCACATGCTAAGCCTAACCACATATCTTTGAATTCTAATTCCAAATTTCCAGAAGAGATACTCTGATGAGTCCAGTATAGTGAGCATAGTGCCTAGTTAATTTTTAATTTTACATTACCAAATGATCAAATAATTATTTAATTTTTTGATAACTGATGAATGTAGGATATGTTTTACTGTGTTAAAATGCATATTGCATTGTGCAGTTTTCTTGAAATAATGATTTTTACCATTTACTCATGGACCTCCTTTTGTAGTTTTTATACTTAATCAAACATAAGAATGTACTTTTAATTCAGTGGGAGCTAGGTTCAATAAGTTTATATACTACTACTAGTTCTTGTTTTGTTTTTTTCTTCCCAGCATGGGCTTTTAGAATTTTTTTGAGGTAAAATTTATATAACATAAGGTTAACCATTTTAAAGTATATAATTCAGAGGCATTTAGTATATTCACAATGTTGTGCAACCATCACCTCTGGTTGCAAAATATTTTAATTGCTCCAAAAGGAGATCCTGTGCCCATTAAAGTCATTCCTCAGTTCACTCCTCTCACAGCCCTTGCAACCAATCTGCTTTCTCTTTAAGTTGCCCATTCTGGGAATTTCATGTTCTGAAATCACAAAATGTGACCTTTTGTGTATGGCTCTTTCATTTAGCATATTATTTAGACTTATCCTCATTATAGCATGTATCAGTACATTATTTCTTTTTATGATTTATAAATTCCATTATATAGCTATATCACATTTAGCCGTTTATTCATTGACAAGTATTTGGATTGTTTTCATTCTTTTGGCTATTGTGAATAGTGCTGCTGTGAATGTTTGTGTAAGTATTTGTTTTAGTACCTGTTTTGAATTCTTGAGGGTGTATGCCTAGGAGTGGAATTGCTGGATCATACGGTAATTCTATGTTTAACTTAGTAGAGAAGCACCACATTATTTTCTACAGCAGCTACACTATTTTACATTCTTATCAGCAGTGTACAGGTGTTTCATTTTCTCCACATCCTCACCAACACTTGCTGTTTTCCATTTTTAAATTATATGAAGTAATACCTCATTGTGATTTTGATTTCCATTTCCCGTTGACTAATGATGTTGAGCATCTTTTCATGTGTGTCTTGGCCATTTGTGTACCTTCTTTGGAGAAATTTTTTTTTTTAAGTCTTTGGCCTTTTTAAATTGGGTTATCTTTTGTTAAGTTGTTAAGTTGATTCCTAGTACTGGACTTTTATCAGGTAAGTGATTTGCAAGTATTTTCTCCCATTCTGTAGGTTGTCTTTCTTGATAATATCTTTTAATATATAAAAGTTTTAAATGTTAATGAAATCCAATTTATTTTTAAATAAATTGGATGTATATTGTTGCTCATGCTGTTGGTATCATAAATAAGAATTTATTGGCAAAATCAAGGTCATGAAGATTTATCACTTTTTCCTTTATCCCTAGGTTTTATAGGGTTTGCTCTTACATTTAGGTCTTTAATATATTTTTGTATCTAGTATGAGGTAGAGATCTAAATTCGTTCTTAAGCATGTGGATATTCGCCTGTCTCTGCACTATTTATTGCGAAGAGTATCCTTTTCTCATTAAATGGTCTTGACACCCTTGTTGAAAATCAGTTGGCCATAGATACATGGGTTTATTTCTGTGCTCTCAGTTCTATTCCATTGATCTGTATATTATACTTTTGCTAGTACCACACTGTTTTGGTTACTGTAATTTTGTAGTAAGTTTTGAAATCAGAAAGCATAGAGTTCTTCGGTTTTTTCTTCTTTTTCAAGATTCCTTTAGCTACAGAGTTTCCTGCAATTGAATGTGAATTTGAGGATTTTCCTTTCCATTTCTGCAAAAACAGCCAATTAGGTTTTGATAAAAATTGCATTGAATCTGTAGATCAATTTGGGTAGAAGTTGCCATTTTAAAAATATTTAGCCTTCCGGGCCAGGTGGGGTGGCTCACGCCTGTAATCCCAGCACTCTGGGAGGCTGAGGTGGGCAGATACCTGAGGTCAGGAGTTCGAGACCAGCCTGGCCAACATGATGAAACCCCGTCTCTACTAAAAATACAAAAATTAGCCAGACGTGGTGGCAGGCGCCTGTAATCCCAGCTACTCAGGAGGCTGAGGCAGGAGAGTCCCTTGAACCCAGGATGGGGAGGTTGCAGTGAGCCAAGATCATGCCATTGCACTCCAGCCTGGGGACAAGAGTGAGGCTTCGTCTCAAAAAAAAAAAAAAAAAAAATTTCACCTTCCAATCCACAAACACAGGATATCTTTTATTTAGATCTTGATCTTTAGTTTCTGTCAACACTATTTTGTCATTTTCATTGTACAAGTGTTGTACCTTCTTGGTCAAATTTATTCCTAGGTATTTTATTCTTTAGGATGCTGTTGTAAATAGAATTTTTTTCTTGATTTCATCTTCAGATTGCTCATTGCTGGAGTATAAAAATACAACTAACTTTTATGTGTTGATCTTGTAACCTGCAACTTTGCTGAATTTTGTATTAACTTCTACTAGTTTTTATTTGTTTGTGGTTTGTTTTGTTTTTAGAGGCAGAGTCTCACTCTGTTGCCCAGGCTGGAGTGCAGCAGTGCAATCTCTGCTCACTGCAACCTCCACTCCTGGGTTCAAGCAATTCTCTTGCCTCAGCTTCCCGAGTAGCTGGGATTACAGGTGGGTGCCACTGCACCTGGCTAGTTTTTATATTTTTAGTAGCGATGGGGTTTCACCATGTTGCCCAGACTGGTCTCAGACTCCTGAGCTCAGGTGATCTGCCCGCCTCAGCCTCCCAAAGTGCTGGGATTACAGGCGTGAGCCACTGCGCCTGGCCAACTCTTACTAGTATTTTTTGTGGATTCTTTAGGATTTTCTGCATGTAAGTCATGTCATCTGTAAATAGGGATAATTTTACTTCATTTTTTTCCATCTTGGATATTATTTATTTATTTTTCCTTGCCTAAAACTCCAGTGTAATGTTAAACGGAAGTGGCAAAAACAGACATACTCGTTTTGTTCTTGATCTTAGGGGAAAACTGATTCTTTCACCATATTTCATCACAGCTAATAAGTATATAGCTCTGGATTTTTCATAAATGTCCTTGATCGTGTTGAAGAAGATAACCTTCTATTCCTAGCTTAAGTGACTTTATCATGAAAGGGTGATGAATTTTGTCAGATGCTTTTTCTACATCAATTGAGATGATCATATGGTTCCCCCCACCCCCTGCTGATTTATTCTATTAATGTGGCCCATCAGACTAATTGTTTTCCATATTTCATACTACCCTTGCTTTTTTTGGATAAATCCTACTTGGTCATGATGTATAATCTTAATATTCTATTCTTAATATTCAATTAATATTGATTTGGTTTGGTAGTATTTTGTTGAAGATTTTAAAAATCTGTATATGTAAGGGATATTGGCCTATAGTTTTCACTTTGTATTTTTAATCTGGCTATGGGGCATTAGGGTAATCACAGCTTCATAGGAAGTGTTTCTCTTTGTTTTTTAGAAGAGTTTGAGATCAATTATTGTTAATACTTTTTTAAGGGTTTGGCATAATTCATCAGTGAAAATATCTTGTATTGGGCTTTTTTGTTTTTGTGAGCTTTTGATTACTAGATCAAGCTCATTTGTTTATAGAGCTGTTGAGATTTTCTGTTTCTTCTTGAATCAGTTTTGGTAGTTGGTATATTTCTAAAAAAGTTTATTTCATTTAACTTACCTAATTTGATGGCGTACAATTGTTCATAGTATTCTCTTGTAACCCTTTTTATCTGTATATTTCATTAGTGATGTGTCTACTTTCATTTCTGATTTTAGTAATTGGAGTCTTCTCTTTTTTTTCCTTGGTAAATCTAGCTAAAGGTTTGTCAATTTAATCTTTTCAGAGAACCAACTTTTGGTTTTGTTTGATTCTCCCTATTGTTTTTCTACTTTCTATTTTATCTCTATATTAATTTTTATTATTTCTTTCATTCTGCTAGCTTTAGGTTTAGCTTTGTCTTCTTTTTCTAGTTCCTTAAAGTTGGAATCTTTTTAAATCAAGGTTTTTACAGATGCAGGTTTCCGTCTGAAAATCTTTTGGCTGCATCCCATAGGTTTTTGTATATTGTTCTTTTTGTTCATGTCAAAGTATTTTCTTTTTTTTTTTCTAAAAGAAAAATAAAAAGAAAACATTTATTTAAAACCACTATATGCCAGACATTGCTAACAATAGGATAATACCATATGTGATTAAAAATAATTTTGCCAATATAATTTCCTGCCAGATCTTTTTTTCTTTTGTATATTCCACTTCCTTTTCTCTCTCTTTTTTTTTTTTTTTTTTAGGTTATTTGTTCTTTTTTTTTTTTTTTTCCTTTTTTTTTTTTTTTATTATACTTTAAGTTTTAGGGTACATCTGCACATTGTGCAGGTTAGTTACATATGTATACATGTGCCATGCTGGTGCACTGCACCCACTAAATCGTCATCTAGAAGTGTTTTCTAATTTTATTTGTAATTTCTTCTTTGTTCCATTGGCTGTTGAAGAATGTGTTGTTTGGCCGAGCACAGTGGCCCACGCCTGTGATCCCAGCACTTTGGGAGGCCGAGGCAGGTGGATCACGAGGTCAGGAGATCAAGACCATCCTGGCTAACACGGTGAAACCCCGTCTCGACTAAAAATACAAAAAAAAAAAATTAGCCAGGTGTGTTGGCGGGCGCATGCTGTAGTCCTAACTACTCTGGAGGCTGAGGCAGGAGAACGGTGTGAACCCAGGAGGCGGAGCTTGCAGTGAGCAGAGATCATACCACTGCACTCCAGCCTGGGCGACAGAGTGAGACTCTGTCTCAAAAAAAGAAAAAAGAATGTTGTTTAATTTTCACATATTTATTAATTTTTCTTTTGTTACTTATATCTGTTTTTATTCCCTTGTGATCAGAGAACATACTCTCTATTATTTCATGCCTTTAAAATTTATTTAAACTTGTTTTGTGGCCTAACATACGGTGTTTCCTCCAGAATGTTACATGTGCATTTAAAGAGAATGTATATTGTGCTGTTGTTAGATAGAGTGTTCTGTGTGTTTGTTTGGTCTAGTCGGTTTTTAGTGTTCAAAGTCTCTGTTTTCCTTGGTGATCTGTCTAGTTCTGTTCATTATTATAGTGGACTACTATCGTCTCCAACTTTTATAGTTGAATTGTTTATTTCTCCCTTCAATTCTGTCAGTTTTTGCCTTATGTATTTTGGACTCTTGTTAGGTGCATTTATGTTTATAATTATATCTTACTGATGGAGTCTCCCTGTTACTGATGTATAATGTCCTTCTATGCTCTTGTAACAGTTTTTGTCTTAAAGTCTATTTTTTCTGATACTAGGATAGCTACTCCCACTGTCTTATTAATTACTATTTATATGGAATGTACTTTTCTATCCTTTTACGTTCAACATATTGTGTCTTTGGTACTGTAGTGATTGTCTTATAGACTGTGTATAGTTGGATGCTGTTTTTCTCTTTTATCCATTCTACTAATCTCTGTCTTAATAGGAGATTTCAAATTATTTTCTTAGTCATTACCCTGCAGATTACAATTAACATATTTATAATAGTCATGTTTTAATTGAAAGCACCTTAGTTTCAAAAGTGTACAAAAACCGCTCCTTTACAGCTTCATTTCCCATCTTTGTTATTGTCAGAAATTACATCTTTATACATTTTATGCCCATTAACATAGACTTGTAATTATTGTTTTATGTACTTCTAAAATCATACCAGGACAAAAAGGAGTTATAAATCAAAAATGAAATACTGCTGGCTTATATGCTTGCCTATCTAGCTGCCATAACCTTCGTTATTTATTTTTTTGTATGGCTTCAAGTTACTGTCTAGTGCCCTTTCATTTCAGCTTAGAGAACTTCCTTAACTCTCTTTACCATATCTTGTAGGACATGTATACTAGTGACAATCTCTCTCAACTTTCGTTTATCTAAGAGTATCTTAGTTTCTCCTTCATTTTTGAAACATAGTTTTACCAGACACAGAATTTTTGGTTTGCAGGGTTTTTTTTCTCTTTAAACACTTTAAATATATCATTCTACTGTCTTCTAACCTCCATGGTTTCTGAAGATCGAATAGGCTGTTAATGTTATTGAATATACCTTATATGTGACAGTTGCTTCTTTCTTGTTTTTTCATTCATTCCTCTTTTCTCTTCAGACTGGATAATCTCAACCAGTCTTTAAAAATTCACTGATTACTCCTTCTGACTGCTCATGTCTGCTGTTAACCTCTCAACCTCTCTGGTGAAGTTTTCTTTTCATTTATTGTACTTTTCAATTGCAGAATTTCTTTTTAGCGTCTTTTTATAATTTCTGTGTATGTATTGATATTCAGTTCGTTGAGTCATCATTCTCCTGGTTTCCTTTAGTTCTTTGTTCATGGTTTCCTTTAGATCTTTGTGATTTTTTAAAAGAACTTTTGATTTAAAGTCTTTGTCTAGTAAATGCAATGGACATTTTCTCTAAATTTCTTTTTTTCCTGTAATAAACTCTACTTTCTTGTTTCTTTGTATGCCTCTTTTGTTGAAAATAAAGACATTTAAAAGATTATAATATGGCAGCTCTGGAAATGAAATTCTTTCCCCTCACCAGGGTTTGCTTTTGCTGTGTGTTGTTTATGTTGTTTGCTTGTTTAGAGACTTCTGTAAACTATTTTTGTGAAGTCTGTATTCTTTGCCATTTGCTGCCACTGAAGTCTGTTCTATTCACTTTGCGGTGATTTGTTAGTTTCTTTAAATATCTGGAGCCAAGGGAAAAACAACACTTTCCAAGTCTTGTGGGTGAAACAAAGGCAAGCCCTTGTGCCTTCCCTTCAGAGAGCCAAAAGACAGGTTGAAATCCATGACCACAGTTCTTTCAGAATAAGGTTGGTATTGCTCTCTGGCACTTGTGTAACCCACACCCACAGTGCAGGCTACTGTCCTCATGATTGTCACTAATCTGGGGTATTAGGGGATGGGAGGTAATTTAAAGCTTTCTTCACCAAGATGATTACTGGTTGTTGTAATTTTTTAATAGATTACAGAGTTCTGCAAACGTTGATTCTGACCCTTCTGGCAGCTCATTAGTCGCTTTTGTTGGGGGACTGAGTCCTGGAATTCTCTTATCCACCACTTTTGGTGACATCACTCCCCATGGACACATTTATCAAATTTATGGATTATTTATACACCTTGCATCTCTGTTACCCTTTGTAATCTATTTTATGACTTAAATAATTATGTCACCCTGAAGGTGTAGGGGAACAGGCAGTGAAACCCTGGTTTTTTATCTGTTAGCAACTCAAATAAAACTTAGGCCATTCTAAAACTTCAGATATCAGTAATACTCTGGGTTACTTAAGGGTTAGTGACCTTTTCTAATGAAAGGGAAAAAAGGTACTCAATTAAAAGGCAACATTATTTTAGTTGTTGTTGTTGTTGTTGTTGTTGTTGTTGTTGTTGTTATTATTATTATTATTATTTGAGACGGAGACTTGCTCTTTCGCCCAGGCTGGAGTGCAGTGGTGTGATCTCGGCTCACTGCAACCTCCGCCTCCCAGGTTCAAGCAATTCTTCTGCCTCAGCTTCCAAAGTAGCTGGGACTACAGGTGCCCACCACCACGCCTGGCTAATTTTTTTTGTATTTTTAGTAGAGACAGGGTTTCACCCTCTTAGCCAGGATGGTCTCAATCTCCTGACCTCGTGATCCGCCCGCTTTGGCCTCCCAAAGTGCTGGGATTACAGGCATGAGCCACCGTGCCCAGCCAAAAGGCAACATTATTTTACATTACTAAAATTTTATATTTAGCTTGGGAATGTTGGGATAGGTTTCTAATCCCTTTATTGCTTGGAGGTCCAGGATGGATACTTTGGGTGATTTAAGGCCATATAAAACTTGGATAATTCACAGCTGGATAATTTAGTCTGTTTTTGTTTTTTGAAATCACTGTTAATAGTGAGTAAAGGGCAAGATTTTAGTGTGGATAGTTAAGGGCCTTATAATCTCCATTTAACAAATAATAATAAATGTTTATCACTGTGGAAGGGGTTTCCCAACCTTAGCATTATTGACATTTGAGGCTATTTAATTCTTTGTTGTTAGAGGCTGTCCTTTGCATTCTAGGATGTTTAACAGCATTCCTGGCCACTGCCTGTTAGATAGCCTTCCTACAATTTTGACAACCAAAAATATCTCTAGGCATTACCAAGTGTTCCTTGAGGTGCATTATGCCCCCAGCTGAGAACCACTGCACTGTGTGAAGAACCCTGGGGATGGAAAGTTCCTGCTATGACTTTTACTGAGTAGTAATAGAGCTATAGATAAAGTACTACAGGAGTGCAAAGGAAGAAAAAATTGCGTCTAATTGGAGATAGCAGGGAACGTGTCAATGAGGAAGAAATGTTTCAACTGGGATATATAGATATACATGGAGTAATAAGAATTCTGTAAAAGAATACATTCACAAAGTCAGGATAAATGTTATCTAGAGAACAATGAAGTATAGTTATTTTGAGGTAAGATTACAGGTGTGAGCTACCATGCCTGGCTTTAAATTGGGTAATTTTTATTGATTTATCTTCAAGTTCAGTTATTATTATTATTATTATTTTGGTCATCTTTATCTTGCTATTGAGCCCACTTGGTGAGTTGTTTCTGTCACTGTATTTCTTCGTTATAAAATTTCTATTCATTTATTTATATTTATATTTATTTATTTATTTTTGAGAAGGAGTCTCGCTCTGTCGCCGAGGCTGGAGTGCAGTGGTGTGATCTTGGCTCACTGCAACCTCTGCCTCCTGGGTTCAAGTGATTCTCCTGCCTTAGCCTCCCAAGTAACTGAGATTACAAGCGCCCACCACCATGCCTAGCTAATATTTGTATTTTTAGTAGAGGTGGGTTTTCAACATGTTGGCCAGGCTTGTCTCAAACTCCTGACCTCAAGTGATCCACCCACCTCAGCTTCCCAAAGTGCTGGGATTACAGGCGGGAGCCATCACTCCTGGCCTAAAATTTCCATTTAGTTATTCCTTATATATTCTGTTTCTTTGCTGAAACTTCCTATTTTTCAAGTTTCAAGTGTGTTTGTAATTGCACATTGTATAATAACTGCTTTAAAGTCCTGTTCAATAATTCCATAACTGCCACCATTGTGTTGGTATCTGTTAAATGTCATTTATCATTCAAGTTGACATTTTTCTTGGTTTTTGATATGGGGGACTTTTGTTTTATTATTGTATCTCATAGACACTTTGGATATCGTATTCAGAGACTTTGGAATATTACTCAAATCTATTTAAGCAGGCCTCCTCTGACGTTGCACCAGCAGGGGAGGAGGGCTGCAAGGTGGGAGTGGAAGTTCAGACTCCTGTTGGCTTCCATTGGCTTTCACTGATAATATAGCATGGTGGGGTAGGTAGGGCATCTCTTACCTAGGATTGGTGGTGGAAGTTTAGGCTCTCGACTCAGCCTCTGCTGACACTCCAGAAAGGGTAAAGAACTCCTTGTTACTGATTGGCAGCAGTAGAAGTCTAGGCTTCCCAGTTGGCCTCCACTGACAAGAGTGAGGAGGGACTCCATGCTCTGTGGCTTGAGTAGGGCAATTATAGTCAAAAAGGTTTTGTTTTGCTAGGCTGTACCTCTTCTAATCCTTTCACTAGGGAAAGCAGACTTCTTGTTGCTGTTGTTGGGTTTTATCTTTTTGTTTTTGTTAGTTTTGGGTATGGTGGTGGTGGTGTTTTTGCCTTATTAGTATTTCTGGGTTGCAGGCCTCTCCAACGCCCAGTCATGATATGAGCCTCTGCCTGCCCCCTCAAAAATCAGGGAACTTACTGTCATGTCGTTCTTCAAGTTTCTAAGTCATTAGCCGGTTTGCCTTCTTCTCTCCACCATTCACAGACTACTTATGTTTGGTTTTTTTACATGTTAGATTCAGGGTTTTTAGCTGTATTTAGTGGGAGAGTAGGGAGAAATAAGTCTATTCATTTTGTCAGGAGCTGAATGTCCTAAATGGTTTAAAATAGAAAACAGTCCACTAAGAACTTACTTTTTTAAAATGCTCAAAAAATATTTTATTCTTACAAATATTTTACCACTATAAATTTGTAACGAAATTGTACATAAGATTAAGTACATTTATTGTTATAGATGTATATTGGTTTTTTGTTTGGTTGGTTGGGGTTTTTTTTTGGAGACAGGGTCTTGCTCTGTTGCCTTGACCTCCCAGGCTCAGGTGGGGAGCCTGAGCCTCAGCCTCCTGAGTAGCTGGGGCTACAGGTGCATGCCACCATGCCCAGCTAAGTTTTTCTTTATTATTTGTAGAGACAGAGTCTCCCTGTGTTGCCCAGGCTGGGCTCAAACTCCTGGGCCAAGCAGTTCTCCCACCTTGGCCTCCCAGAGTGCTGGGATTACAAACATGAGCCACTGTGCCCAGCCGTGTGGATATATATGTGTTTATTAAAGTATGCATATTTCTTTATTCTCTTAGGGTTATGTACCGAAGGACTCTACCGTGTCAGCGGGAATAAAACTGACCAAGACAATATTCAAAAGCAGTTTGATCAAGGTAAGAAGATGATTATGTGAAATAAAAATTGTTGTTTTATGTTTTCCTTGTTAGAATTCATGGTGAGAAGATTGATTTTCATTTGAAAACTTCCTAAGGATATGGATGTTGAGGAGAGAGGGTTTCAAAGTGAGATTAGAAGCACTAAGTAAAATAGATACCACAGTAAAGGTACAAAACAGCTAGGGAAAGCCTGTTTTCTTTACATTAGCAAGGAAGTCACTGATTACTTTTAGAGCCTTTGAATTAAGGGGACTTGGTACTAGGGATTTATAAGAGGAAATAGATGATAAGAAACTTCTAAAATACAATTGCAATAGAAGAAAAGATTGAAAACGAGGCAGTTGAGTCAAGAAAATACAATATTGTATAAATTTTTAATGTAAGTATGAAGACAGAAGAGGATTTGGTAAATAAGAAAGGAGGTACTGGAAAAGCAGGCATTCAGTATTGAAGCAAAGTCCATCAGGCCTGGAAGGAATGGAAAGCAGTAGAATAAATTTTGTTTTTGAAATAACAAGAAACTATCTCTTACACTAAGACTGAAGGGAATACTGTACAATATTTTGATATCAGATTAGATATTTTATGGAGCATATACTCCGAGTTTCTTCCCAAATTTCGTATTCCTAATACATTAAACTATCTCACAAATAAAAGACTGTGACTGAACCTGTATAAATCCATCACCAGATTTAGAAAAGCAGTAATTTGACTTATGATTGATCGGCATCTTAGCCATTAGGAGTAAAAAAAGCCGAATTTTCTACTCATATTCAGTAAATTCTATATGCGATTAAAGATTTAAACGTAAAAAATGAAAACCATAAGTACTAGGGAGAAAAATGAGTGAATATTTTTATAGTCTTAGAGTAAAGAAAAGCCTAAACTTGATATGAAACCTAGAAAGCATGAACCCAAGTTGATAGACTGGACTATGTACATGCTAAAATTTTACAAAAATGTAAAAATTCTGTATGACATGTGGCTAAAACAGGGTGTGACATACCTAGCTTAAGTAATTCACATCAGAAGAGAGCAACCAATAAATACATGAAAATATGCTTAGCCTCTATTAATGATAAAAATTAAAGGATTATATTTATTTGTTTTATTTGAATGAAAAGAATTGTTAGAGCGTAAGTAAACATGTATCTTGTACGCTGTTGGTTGTAGGTGCCTTTTGAGAGGCAGTTTGTGAATATCAGGATTCAGATAGCTTTGCTAGAGAAATTCCACTTCTAGGAATGTGTTACAGAAGTCTTTGCATAAGCATGCCAAGATATACTTACAAGGCTCTTCCTTGCAGTATTGTAAGTTTTTTTTAAAAGGGGTGTTGGGGGGTACCACTCAGGTCTAATAAGTAGAATGAATACCAAGAAGCCATGTAAAATAAAGATTTTATGCCTGTTGAAGTGGCAAAACATCAGTTATTGAGTGGCGTGTGTGTGTGTGACTGTGTGTATACAAAAACACACCTTGTTGCCAAAGAGTATCGTATAGTCTAGTATCCCATTTTTAAAAAATATTGGCCAGTCACAGTGGCTCACCCCTGTAATCCTAGCACTTTGGGAGGCCAAGGTGGGCGAATTGCCTGAGCTCAGGAGTTCTAGCCCAGCCTGGGCAACACAGTGAAACCCCATCTGTACTAAAATGCAAAAAATTAGCCAGACATGGTGGTACACATCTGTAATCCCAGCTACTTGGGAGGCTGAGGCGAGAGCATCACTTGAACCCAGGAGGGGGAGGTTGCAGTGAGCTGAGATTGTACCACTGCACTCCAGCCTGGGTGACAGAGCGAGACTGCATCTCAAAAAAAAGAAATCTATCTATCTATCTATCTATCTATCTATCTATCTATCTATCTATCTATGTATATCTATCTATAGTGTTTAAAAAACTGTTTAGACAATGGTATTAAATTGGTAGAATTTCACTTCCAGTAATGAATGCATGGTTATAGTTAATACCAAGGCTCTTGAGTTTGACTTTCTTGTTTTGTTTTCTCGTCCTGCCACCACTGCCACTATTTTTGTGCCTCTGGCAAGTTAATCTTTCTAAATCTCAATTTCTTCATGTCTAGTATGGGAGTGATGAGAGTAACTATAAGGATGATGGGATAATGCATATGAAGAGTTTTCTCTCCGAGCACCATATTAAATGTTCATTGGGTAGCTATTACTACAAAGAATGTAGCCTAAGGAAATAAGCTTGTATGTATTAAAGCATAGCATCATATCATTTTCATATTATTGTAATATATTTAAATGAAATCTAAATGTTCAGTAATAGAATATTATGTAAATTGTATAATCTAAGGAAATATTTCACAGCCATTAAAATTGTTTATGTAGGGCAAAATGTTAACAATTGATTTGGCAATTTTTTTAATGAGCAGAGAAAGGCTGAAAGGAAACATGCTAAACTGTAAACAATGCTTCTCTCTAGGTGATGGGGAAATTTTTTTTCTTTTTGCTGGCCTATTTTTTATATTAAAGTGATTTACTGATAGCAAATTAACCTTATGATACACCTTTAGTATGTTCCATTCTTGATTTTTTTAGTCGGAACTTCACCAACTACTTAAATTTAAACCATTTTACATAAAATTTTGAACTGTAAGCTTAAAAGGTCCAAATTAGAATTTATACAAATTGAGTACCCCTTATTCAAAATTCTTGGGGCCCAGAAGTATTTTGGATTTCAGATTTTTTTCAAATTTTGGAGTATGTGGATTTTACTTAGCAGTTATCCCAGATACGAAATGTTCCAGTGAACAAGTTTCAGATCAACCTGTATGCATATTTATTTTTTCTTTCTAGTTACTTATGGCCTCTTTTTTTTTTTTCCTCCTCCAAAGAAACAGGGTCTCACTATGTTGCCCAGGCTGGACTTAAACTCCTGGGCTCAAGTGATCCTCTCACCTTAGTTTCCTGAGTAGCTGGGACTACAGGTACGCACCACCTCACCTGCCTCTTGTGGCCTCTTTTAAATAGCTGTATAAACAAAAAAAAAAGATAGATATTAGTAAAGTTCCTCAATATACTAATAAGCCTAACAGCATTTTTTTATTATAACAGAAAAGGCTTATTGCTTGGTTGTCTTTTCCCTGATCTGTGTAGTTTGTAAGCCTGAAAAGAAAAGTGGGGCCAGGCGCCGTGGCTCATGCCTGTAATTTCAGCACTTTGGGAGGCTGAGGCAGGTGGATCACCTGAGGGTCAGGAGTTCGAGACCAGCCTGGCCAACATGGTGAAACCCCATGTCTACTAAAAATACAAAAAATTAGCCGGGCGTGGTGACGGTCGCCTGTAATCCCAGCTACTCGGGAGGCTGAGGCAGGAGAATTGCTTTGAACCCGGGAGGTGGAGGTTGCAATGAGGTGAGATTGTGCCACTGTATTCCAGCTGGGGCAACAAAAGTAAAACTCAGTCTCAAAAAAAAAAAGAAAAAGAAAAGTGGCCCAAGACTTAAAGTTATCTTTTGATCTAAAAGTAACCATTTAGCTTGCTTCTATAATAAAGTTTTATTATATAATTTAAAATGTTAATTTTTGTCTTGTAGATCATAATATCAATCTAGTGTCAATGGAAGTAACAGTAAATGCTGTAGCTGGAGCCCTTAAAGCTTTCTTTGCAGATCTGCCAGATCCTTTAATTCCATATTCTCTTCATCCAGAACTATTGGAAGCAGCAAGTAAGTATAAACCTCCTTTTTATGAGAGGGATGATAATGGCAGTTTTTGGATATTGATTGCTAAGTGTTAAAATCATCATGTACTAGAATATGTAGCTAATAAAAATTAACTTAACTAGAACTCTATTTCTTAAAGGCATTTTCCTCTAAATTAAAATCAGAATCCCTGGAGATGGCCTCCAGGAATATTCTGTTTTAGCTAGCCCCCTAGGTGACTTAAATGCTCCTAGAAATTAGAAGATCATTGTACTAGAAGTTTGAGGTTTGTGTTTTTAATTCAAACTTAAGGGCATTGTAAGAAAATTAAATAAATTCTTCAAATTGTAAGTCAAAGAAATTTACTTTGGCTTTGTCTTACCTGTTTTATGTTGCTGTAACAGAATACTACAGACTGCATAATTTATAAAGTAATTTATTTCTTACAGTTCTAGAGGCTGGTAAGTTCAGGGTCAAGGAGGCCTCATCAGGTGAGGGCCTTTTTGCAAAGTCATTCCATGACCGAAGGTGGAAGGGCAAGAGAGCACACTCAGAGAGTAAGAGACAAGAAGGGGGCTGAACTTACTCTTTTATCAGGAACTCATTCCCAAAATAGCTAACTCACTTCAGAGATAACAGCGTTAATCTGTTCATGAGGACAAAACCCTCATGATATAGTCACCTCTTAAAGATTCCACCTCTCAACACTGTTGCCTTGGGGATTAAGTTTCCCACACAAGAACTTTGGGGGAAACATTCAAACCATAGCAGACCATGTGTTGTAAGTCATTTTGGGAAAGAACATGATATTTATTTAGTATTTATTCCTACTTTGGCATCTTTCATTCAGATGTTTCCACTAAACAGATATTCATTTATCTGGAAAATGAGAACTAAAGTCTGTTTGGGCATCAGTTTCATCCACATGATTTCTCAGTGACAAAAAATTAGCACAGTTGCTAAATACTTCTCTCTACTATTTCCTTTTGGTTGCAAGTCTTCAGGTTATTTTAGATGAGACTACTTCGTATTGTTCTAAGTTCTCAGTGATTCTTTTTTTTAATTCTGTATATTGTCACAAGGTATAGTTGCCTTATATATACGTACTCTCAGGTAAAGTGGGAAAATGGCTTAATTGATAGCTTAGATGTTCTTATCTATTGACCATTAATAGGAACCTCAGAACATTCCTACTTAGGAAATTTTTGAGGACTGATTTAGAAGTAATGTGTAACAAATGAAATGTTGTTAGTAATTGGTTATGCTACCATAATGATGTGGTGTGCACACTGGTCTCCAAAATAAGGAAGAGGTGGAAAGCACCCTCTATCTCATTTATTTCAGGGCCACATTTTAGTTACTCTGTTTCATAATTGCATAGATTTGGAGAGTAAGTTAAATACTTAAACTGCCTGTAAAGGAAAATCTTTGATAAGCAAAATGGATTACAAGTAATTGTAGTATAGGCGAATCTATAGCCCGAGGGCCATATTTAGGCTATCGCCAGTTTTTGGCAGACTTTTAAGCTGAGAGTCGTTTTTACACCAAGAGAAAAGAAAATTTCATGACACATTAAAATTACATGAAATTCAAATTTCAGAAGTTTTATTGGAGTATAGCCACTCCCGTTTGTTACATGTTGTCTGTTACTGCTTTTGTGCTACAACACAGGGTTGAGTAAGTGTGCCCACAAAGCCTAAAATAGTTACTCTGTAGCATAAATGTTAAGAGCCTAACATATTTATAAGTAATTAGTTAATTATAAATCAGTATCTAGTTACGTAAATTGCTAACGTACCATTTCCCATTTTGTCAATGCTGGGTCACTTTGGTCTTCAGTGATTAGCTTTCCTTATAAAAAGGCTATAGTAATAAATGATGACATTAATAGAAATAGATAATGTTAGTTGAAGTGATTTCTTAATTTACATAATTTAGCAGGTTCTTTTGAACAGGGCTCTCCAACCCCTAGGCCACACAGCCTGGCTTGTTAGGAACCAGGCTGCACAGCAGAAGGTGAGGAGTTGGATAAGGGAAACCGGGCTCCACCTTCTGTCAGATTAGGTGCGGCATTAGATTCTCCTAGGAGTGGGAACCCTATTGTGAACCACGCATGCAGGGGATCTAGGTTGTGCACGTCTTATGAGAATCTAATGATAAATGTAATGCACTTGAATCATCCTGAAACCATCCCCCCACCCATCTGTGGAAAAACTGTCTTCCACAAAACTGGTCCCTGGTGCCAAAAAGGCTGGGGACTGTTGCTTTAGAACATTTTCTTTGATTTTGTTTACCTATCCTAATATGCTTTAAACACATTCTTGACTGTTATAGTAAATATAGCAGGAAGCTTTATCAAATATTTTTAAATGTGTAAGTTTTACACAGATTCTTCACTGTTTTAATTTTACAGAAATCCCGGATAAAACAGAACGTCTTCATGCCTTGAAAGAAATTGTTAAGAAATTTCATCCTGTAAACTATGATGTATTCAGATACGTGATAACACATCTAAACAGGTATTTTTATTTTTTTAGGGTTTTTTGGCAAATAAAATGCACTACACATTTCAAACATGTAAATTTTATAAATTGGATAATTATCAGATAGAAAAGGGGACTCAGACTAAACATATAGTTGAATTTTGTTTTTCTAATTTATATCTAAAAAGATATATGATTAGTTTTGTAATGTAATTATTATATAAATAGTAAGTGTGGTAAGTATATTTTCCTTTTTACCACATTCTCTGTAAAATCTTAGAATTTTAGATATGAAATGACACTCAGATAACTAACCAGATTGACCTATTTGGAGTTGGAACAGGGTTTGGTTTGAAAAATTACTAGTTCTGTGACCTTGGGTAAATGACTTATTCTTCCTAAGTCTTGATTGTCTCAACTATAAACATGAAAATAACAACACTTCACAAAGTTGTTCTGAGGACTGAATGGAACTATTTTAGTATATGTACTAATTTTTTGAAAAGTCTCCTCATAATATTTTCTACTGGCATTTTAATGAACTGTATGGTTTTTTTTGTTTTTTTTTTTTTTTAAACTAATAGTATCAACACCCAAACCAAGTACATTTCAGCTGGTACCTCCTAAAAGAGGATTCACCAATGTTTAAAGCTTACTTTTTACTAGCAATGTGGTATAAAATTGTATTAACATTTCTTATAACCTTTCCCTGAGAAAATACCATGGAAACATGGTGAAACCCCATCTCCACTAAAAATACAAAAATTAACTGGGCGTGGTGTGAGCATCTGTAATCCTAGCTACTCAGGAGGCTTGGGGCGGGAGAATTGCTTGAGCCCGGGAGGCGGAGGTTGCAATGAGCTGAGATCATGCCATTGCACTTCAGTCTGGCCAACAGAGCAAGACTCTGTCTCAAAAAAAAAAAAAAAAAAAAAAAAAAAAAAAAAAAAAAAAGATTGTTTTATGGAATGCTAGCAGCCAGGTTTTTTTTTTTTTTTTGAGATGGAGTCTTGCTCTGTCGCCAGGCTGGAGTTCAGTGGCATGATCTCAGCTCACTGCAACCTCCGCCTCCTGGGTTCAAGCAGTTCTCTTGCCTCAGCCTCCCGAGTAGCTGGGATTACAGATGTACACCACCACACCCAGCTAAATTTAGTATTTTTAGTAGAGACAGGGTTTCATCATGTTGGCCAAGATAGTCTTGATCTCTTGACCTTGTGATCCGCCTACCTCGGCCTCCCAAAGAGCTGGGGTTACAGGCGTGATCTACCGCACCTGCTGCAACCAGGTTTTCTGAAAGTTAAAAATTCTCAGCCAGATGCGGTGGCTCAACACTTTGGGGAGCTGGAGGCCAGGAGTTTGAGACCAGTCTGAGCAACATAGTGAGACTTGATTCTCAAAAAAAAAAAGGAAGAAAGGAGAGAGAAAGAAAGAGAGAGGAAAAAAAAAGAGAGGAACAGAGGAAGGAAGGGAAAATTAGCCTGATATTAGTGTCAAACACCTATGGTAGTAATTTTTCCAAAGCTAGTTGAGAGAGCATACTCTGGTTTTTCATCTCTCACAGTAGTCAAAGAAGTTACATATACAATTAGAATTTGTTGTTTCTGTTGCCAGAAACTCAATACAATTTGTCACATCAGGAAAGGTTTTTTGTTGTTATTGTTGTTGTTTTTGAGACGGAATTTCACTTCACTCTTGTTGCCCAGGCTGGAGTGCAATGGCGCGATCTCGGCTCACCACAACCCCCACCTCCCAGGTTCAAGCGATTCTCCTGCCTCAGCCTCCCAAGTAGCTGGAATTACAGGCTTTGTCACTACGCCTGGCTAATTTTGTATTTTTAGTAGAGATGGGGTTTCTCCATGTTGGTCCTGCTGGTGTCGAACTCCCAACCTCAGGTGATCCGCCTGCCTCAGCCTCCCAAAGTGCTGCGATTACAGGCGTGAGCCACTGCACCTGGCCCAGGAAAAGTTTTTTACATACGAATTAAAGATGCTTCTTTATGCAAATTTTTAAACCCCAGGTTTGAAGTAGGATAAAAGGTAACATTAAATCTGAGATCATTTCTAGCTCTGGAATTCTGTGATTGTAATGAGTTTTGATTTCTAAATGTTTTTTCCTTTCATAATTTCAGGGTTAGTCAGCAACATAAAATCAACCTAATGACAGCAGACAACTTATCCATCTGTTTTTGGCCAACCTTGATGAGACCTGATTTTGAAAATCGAGAGTTTCTGTCTACTACTAAGATTCATCAATCTGTTGTTGAAACATTCATTCAGCAGTGTCAGTTTTTCTTTTACAATGGAGAAATTGTAGAAACGACAAACATTGTGGCTCCTCCACCACCTTCAAACCCAGGACAGTTGGTGGAACCAATGGTGCCACTTCAGTTGCCGCCACCATTGCAACCTCAGCTGATACAACCACAATTACAAACGGATCCTCTTGGTATTATATGAGTAGGAAGTGATTGCAAACAGGCTGGATTTGGACAAAAAGCAAATCTAGACATGCATGTTTCAGGGTTCAGTAGTATACTTCATGTTTCATACAGATAATTCACATTCAAAATTACATTTTCTCTTTGAACTAGATGGTATTCCTTATTCACTTACATTACAAATCTAAGACCATGTGATAAGCATGACTGGAGAGGTTTAATTTTTATAAACAAAAATAGCTATAAAGTACAAAGCTGCTGCTGCATGCAACCTTATTGCAATCAGTATATCATTCCTGTGGCAATTTCTGTCACCTTATATTGTGAATAAAATTTTTCTATAGAAATTAAATGATTTAAAAACTCACCTATATGAAACATTTAATGCTTTTCAGCCTGCTTTCTGGCTGATTTTGTTATTTGATGTGCTAATTTGGGCAACTTAATTTACATTCTGGCAGTCGGTGTAGATAACTAAAAGCCCAGTTAAGTATTTTATAATTTCAGGCTACTGAGGCCATGCTTGGGATGTTGTTTGAAAGAAAGAAAAAATACACTTGACATATTTCACATTTCTGTACCTTCATCTTTACTTCCAAGTAAACCCGTGGATGATTTGATGAGGGATAAATGAACCTATTTCTTTTACACACATACCAAGGACATGCTTGTGGCTAAAGTGAGTTGATAATGTTGTGCAAAGGATAGTTGTCACCAACTCATTTCTTTATGGTCCATAATGAAATAAAAATTTTGTATACTGTTAATTCTGTAAACAGATGCATGTTCAAAAGATCTATGATGGTCTTGTAATCTTAATCTAATATATTTTAGATATTTTAATTTTTTCCCTCTTGGGGAACACATTTAGTATAGTGTAGAAAATACTTCCATGACATTTTCATATAAGGTTATATAACTTTTCATACATAAACATGAAATTTGTTGTAGAAAATTCTTTAAACCAAACATTTAAATCTAGGACTTCAATTTAATTTGTTCCTTGAATCTATTTTTATGTGGCCCTTAAAAAATATCCAAAAAACCCATTGCTAATATAGCAATAAAAATACTTTGGGTACTGACAGACTCTTTGGAGTGTTTATATTACAAATTTGTATTCATATTCTTTTCTGTGATGTGTTGTACTAAAATCCAAAATGGCTTTTGCACCATTTTTAAGCCAATTTTTTCCTTTGATGTTGGTACCAGAATTACTATAAGTGACTGCTGCTTTTGGGGGTAAACATTTTGTTAGTGAAGATAAAACCAGAACACTAAATTATGGATAAAATTTTCAGAATAGGTGGCACAGGTAAATTTCACTAGGTTATATTTTGTGTAGTAAAGAAAAAAATTATTTGGTCAATGTTATCTTAATTCATACTACAATTTAAGATTATCTTATGTGTATTATAGTAAATAGATGATTTTCAGATTCAAGGCTCCTAAGAGTTTGATTTGCTCTGTTTTTTCCTAAAATAAATATTGTCTCTCCCAACTGTTAAGTTCTAGGTATTGTACTTCCAATTTTAACTTCAGAACCAAGATGTTGGCATGAACCAGGCTGCTGTTGAAGTACATGTATATTATAAATTATCTTATTTGTGTTATACTCTTACATGTTATCTTTTCTAAGAAAACAAAGTCCCTATTATTCCTATTGCAAAGCACACAGGAATTAAGAAAGTACAGTAATTTTTAAAAAAAAATCCGGTAAATGTAGTATTCTTAACCTGTTCTATATTACTTATACCTATTGTCTATATAGCTTTAATTTATAGTTGTCAGTTTAACTATTGGCATGTCTGGCAAAGAAAATTAAACTTTAAGAGTTTTATAAACTGTTTCTAGGTTGCTAAAGAATTTATTTTTCTACTATATATGGTATAGACAAAGCATCAAACTATGTACAGGAAAAAAGCCTGACTATTTCTATTTGGAAGTAGGCTGAAAAGAGAATTTTCAAAACTGTTCGTGTCTTCAGTTCATTCTGTCATAACTTTGCTATTGTAATATGTGAATACCAGTTTATTTAAGCTGTTCTCTTTTATACTGTATTAATTTAATGTTCATCTGCGTTTAGTACCATTTTTGTTATTAAAACTGGCATTTACCGTTTTTCACATTAACCCACCTTGCACCTTCCCCCAAACTTATCTCCACTTTTCTATGCATTCTATCATTGATTTGACACACTTCATAGTGAGTCATTTAAATACTCTACGTTTGGTTCAATTAACCAGTAGGTTACAGTTATTGAAAATTAAAGTACAGTTTAAAGCTCAGTCTGTTACACTGAATTGATTGTGTTTGTTTTTGCCAAGGGTTTAGATATGCTTTTAAATATTAGAAACATCTAAGAACAGAATAACATAATTAAACTTTTTTCTGGTAAGTTACTGGAAGGTTTCACTGTTTAGGGACCTATCATATGAGACTTCTTAAAGGATTAAAAGAATAGGATAGTCTCATAATTGTGAGTAAACATCAAGGCATTATATTTTACAATACTGAATAAAATTTCATCTACACACATGTTGCCATTGTTTCATTTAAGGTTCAGTGCTTATAGTTAACTACAATATTGGACCTAACAGGATCTAGATTAGCAATATAAAGAAGCATAGTGGTACTCTGTTTCACACTTTCAGTAGATTTATTAGAAGTCAAATTCTATTCAACAGACACTTATTAGGATATACAACTAATTTAAGAATAAAATTCCAGGCACAATATATTTTTTTTAAATGGTATTTGTTAGTAGTGCTTCTTCCCCTTAACATTTACAGTGTAAATACTGCAGGTAACCGCAATCTAAGTTAGCCAAAAAGCAGCTTTTTTTCCCATACTGTATGTAAATAATGTAGACCTGGGTTTTTTTGTTTATTTGGGTTTGTTTTTTTTTTTGAGGTACTGGAATCTAATTAATATCTCTTAGGTATCAACAAAAGGGAACAATTGGAATGAGAATTTAGGCCTTAGCTTCCATGGTGATTTTTAGTTTTTTATACAGTAATAATTGTGATGCTATTTGTCAACTGGATATAAATACACATATAATTTTAAAAAGTCAAAAGTGCTTTTGTTTCTTTGTTTAATGTAATTTTTGTGCTTCACCTACAGGATGCTGCAGTAAATTAAATATCAGTGAAGCTTCTGATGTATAAAGAATGCTATGAATAAAACATTAAGAAGCTGTGTAATTTTAAGTTATAGTTGCCTCTATTTTTACCATTTCATTGGTAAAAATTAGCTAATTTTTTTCAAGTGAAATGAAAAATAAAAATATAAATTTATCAATATGATGGAAATCTTATTAAGGAGATGTATTATTGAATTTTCACTGTACCTGAAAAGGAGATTCAAAATTTTTTCTGGGGATGTATATAGGTGAAAATTTGATTTTTTAAATTATCAGGAAAACAAGATAATGCACAGATTTCTAAGACTAAGATCTTACCTGGATGTGATTTTTGAGCTGTGGCTAGACATTCTTTAGAGCCACTGGAAATATTTTGAAAACTATTCTAGTTATAGCAGAGCTGCTAATATTAACGAATATATTTGTGTCTTCATGGTTTGTGACTATTAGGCCAAATTTTGTGGTATATGTTGTCAGTCTGGATCTGGTGAGGTCTGTTCAACATGAATCTTTGTGTTATCTTGAATTTAGTAGTTTCAAGGTACTTAAATTCTTAACAGTTTCTAATTTGTTTCAATACATATGGGACATGGTTGATTTTTTTACTGTATTAGAACTCTTGGAAGTTCTTAGCCTTTTCAGGTTATGAAATACCTGAAAGTAAAATTTTCTAAGATTTAATAAGGGAAGATACTATTCAAATCATTTTCTTAGGATAGCATCTTTACATACAATGAGAGGATTGTACAAGCATTAATCTCATATTCCAACATCCAGTTACTTGATGTGATCCAAGTACCCTGGTCTTTTTGAAGCAGTTAAAATCTAATTAATTAACTTTGGGAGTCTTCACTATTCAATTGATCCTCATCATTGTCCTATTTGCATGACTCCATTTTTTCCTCCACTATATGAGTTTTCTTTGTCAGGGGGAGAGGAGTGGGAAGAGTCACAGAATCTCATATTCACATCTTAATTAAATTGTGTGAAATTAGTCTTTTGTGGAAATTCTGTAGGCAGTATGATTTTGAAAAGCTAACCAATGATAATTAGCATTTTAGTTAATACTAAATGCATAAAATTATAACCCTTGAAATTAATTTGGTGCTGGCAGTTCTGGTTTAGTCATTTTTACCAGTAGTTAGTAGTATTAAGACCTGCAGTATATGCACTTTTTGAGTAGCTGTCAAATAATTGTAGTTGAGAAACAACTTGTTTATTCTCACAATTCAGATTTTCTATTCAGTTTTGTCTCAAATAGTAAGTTATTGTGAACAATTTAATAACGGCCCTCCTGTTCTAGTTTGCCTAATATTTTAGTTAAGATTTAGTGTTTTAACCTATTTTTTTAAGTTTATTTTTTGTATTAGATTTTATTTGAATAAGTTATGTGGGTTTAGTAATTGACCTATTTATTCATTGCTTCACTAATTCATCCAGATTAGTTTTAAGTGTGTATATGTATTTGCTCACCAGATCATTTTCTTGGGACCTTGAACTGTGAATGTTTTGTCCTAACCATTTAATATTTTCTAGGTACTTGCTGCAAGTTCTTGAACTATTTTACCAGCTTTAACTTTGGGGCTCTTAGTTTCTTTTCTCCAGATTCTTGTTATTTTATTTTATCCAAATAAATATTTAGGTGTTCTAAGAAGTAGACTTCTGTTTAATTCCGTAAAATAAGTAAAATCAGAAGCTGTACACACTATCATACTGTTATTATTTGGGATTGTTTATAAATGTAGGTGAAAGGATAAAAAATACCTATCTGAGAGAATACAGTCTTTAGATATCCTTCTTGGAAATTTGACTTAGAGATTTTTCATTTGTTGGCAGTCACAGGCATAGCTGCTGAATGTCTTTTGGTCTGTAATATTTGAAGTGAGAAACATTACCAGCAATGTACTTTTAAAATATAAACTAAAGCCAGGCATGATGGCTCATGCCTGTAATCCCAGCACTTTGGGAGGCTGAGGCAGGGACATCACTTGAGGTCAGGAGTTCGAGACCAGTCTGCCAATATGGCAAAACCACATCTACTAAAAATACGAAAGTTAGCCTGGCATGGTAGTAGGCGCCTGTAGCCCCAGCTACTCAGGAGGCTGAGGCATGAGAATTGCTTGAACCTTGGGGGGGCGGAGGTTGCAGTGAACCACAATCAAGCCACTGCATTCCAGCCTGGGAGACAAAGGGAGACCCTGCTCTAAAAATGTAAATAACAAACTAAAATGTTATATCTAGTACTTTAATTAAAAAATGACTGTTGTGTACCTTAGAATCCATTTAGATTATTTTTATGGAGTTAGCAAACTTTTTGGGGAAAGGACAGATAGTGTCTTTGGCTTTGCAGGCCATATGATCTCTGTGGCACTTCTCTGCTATAGTGCACAAATAGCCATAATGCAGAAATGAAAGGAATATAACTGTGTTCCAATAAAATTGTGTCTGTAAAAAACTAGCAGCAGACCAGATTTGACCCACAGATATTGGCTGGTCCCTGGCATAGATTGTTAATAAAATTATCTCCTCCAACTTTATGTGGAATATTTTATGATAGATAATTCAAAATAATATCGGTTGGAGTAAAATTTTACACAGGATAATTACCCTCTGTTCCTGTTGCCATTGTTTCCAAAGGAAATTCTCTATTTTCATTTACTTAGTAATAAGTAAATAAGGAGAGCTATGTGAAACGGTTATTTTAAAAGCTCTTAGTAACAAAAACTATCTGGAAGGTAGGACTGGTGATACAGTTGTACACATCAGAACTGATTTGTTTTCAACAGCCTTATTAAGGATAACACAAGATTTTTCAGGGCAGTAATTACATCTCCACATTCTGTACATTAATCATGACCACACAACATTTCAATAAATTGTGGCATAGATTAATGAAGTTATTAACACTTAACAAAATCATGTCCATAATCGATCTAAAAGTATGTGATGATTATTTAATTGGTGGTCTCTCCAAGGTGTAGGCATCACTAACCAGTCTGCTTAGGTGCCTTTGGAGAATGCATATAGAAGGGAAACTATATGTGTACCGATTGTTGGCAGGCCTTTATTCAGAGGATAAATTTGACTGAAGGTCAGAGAATTCATAATGTAGAGAAACATAAATGGAGTAATTGTGGGAAGTTCTTCCAAGTAACACCTCAATCAATGTCAGCAAACATCCCGGAGAGAAATTTTATAATGGTCCCGACTTCGACTGGTTTGACTCAAGATTTTTCAACTTTACAGTGGTGCGAAAACCATACACATTCAGCGCACTCCTTGACTTACAATTGGTTTATCAGAACTTGGTCCCATTGTAAAGCAAGGAATATATATGTGTTAAATATTGCGGTGGGAAAGGTCAACAGAAGATTACGTATCTCTGCCATAATGCTCAGGCTGGAAAGACCTATGAATGTATTGAAAGGGCCTTCACCTATAAATTGGTCTGACTGCATATCAGAGCATTCACTCTGGCCAGAAGTCACAACTCAGTGTACACCATAATGTCATACTGAAGGGAGACTTATCACATACTGAGTGTGGAAAAGCTGTCAGCCACAAACTAAACTTGCTTATTGAATGGTAGCCAGCCTCCATGATGGCCCCCAATGATCCTAGCTCATGGTTAACTTCTTGCATAGTCCCCTAACTTCAGTGTACCAAAATTGGTCTGTGTGACCTGAAGCATTTTTTGTGAATACTCAAATGGAATTTAAAAGAAGCCAAATTTGTTTATACATTTTTTTAACCACAGCTTCCAGATATTTACAGCTGTCTCATACCACCTTTACTTGGAGAAAGCCAAATTCCCATATAGTTAGAATATAAGTGACTTAACAGCAACAAGAAGGAAGTTCCACTTATAGTAATGTAAGATGATTTGGACCAACCATCCAACTGAGGGCATCTAGACAAAATGGAGAAAATTGTTTAAAAAAAAAAATCAATTTGAAGGCCATTAGAAAGCCAGTAAGCACAAAATTACAACCAGAAGTTGGGAGAGAAAATAACACCCAAGTAGGTGAGCCTGTTTTGGGGGCCACTTTCTCCTTGAGTTTTTTGGCAAATTCTGGAGGAGGTATCCAAGAGGATGACAATATATCTGATGGTGTCCTACAGGCATAGGTGAACAGAAATTGGAATTAAAGACCTTTTAAAGCTTTAAAGTATTTCTATAGTTTTGCAAACGATGTTTACCACAAAATAACAAGGCATGTGTGGAGACAAGACAATATGAATCAAAGACAACACAGATTTTAAAATATGCTTACTCAGTCCAAGGAGATAAAAGTCAAGATGAAGAATTTAGCAGATATCTGGAAAATTACAGAAAAATTTCCAATGTTATATAGCCAAAAATAATACTAGCTGAAATCAAGAACTCAATGTTCTTGTGACAGCTTACTCACAGCTGAAGATAGAATTCGTGAACTGAAAGACTGGTGAGAAGAAAATAGAATAAAACAAGAACAGAAAATATAGAAGATAAGAAATGTTTATCAAATTTAACACCGCAGGAAAACAGCAGAGAGATGCAAAAGCAATATATTGATAGATAATTACTGAGATCTTTCCATAGCTGTCAAGATAAGCAACTGATTTGGGGAAGCTTCTGAATCTCAAGCAAGAAAGAAAAATTCATACCTAAGCATATTATAATAGAACTGAAAACCAGAGAGAAAAAATCTTAAAAGCAACCAGAGAGAAAAAAATCACTTTCAAAATTCTACTACTTCACTAAAAGCTACCTAATCAAAACAGAAACGAAAATATAGTGAAATGGTATCTTTACCTAGAATTTAATGTCTAACAGAAATCACCTTTAAAAATGTCAAAGTTGTTTTCAAGAAAAGTAGAAAATTCTCCTACAATGAAATACTGAATTATACTTTTATAAATCCGAGGGTTTATTAGGAATAATACTGAAAAGAGATTTTCAGGCAAGAGAACTATCCCCAGGTGGAATGTTGATACATAAGAATGAATAAAAAGCAACAGAAATGGCAAATATGTGGTTAAATCTAAGTGCTAATATGAAAACAAGACAAAAACATTATGGATTTAAATACATAATGAACTAAAATAAGGTATCTAAACTGCAAGAGATGTAACTAGAGTTCATGTTGGAAATTCCTTGCTTCTCCCAGAGGAGGGTAATACCAATTAATGTTAGATTTTGTTATGTCAAGGATGCATGTAATTTCTATTGTGACCACTAAAATAATGGTAAGAAGCATGTAACATTCAAACCAGTAAGAATGAAAAAATGGAATAACAGAAAATGTTTAAAGGGGAGAAAATAAAAGGAAACAACGGACAAATAGAACAAAAATATAATATTGTACATTTAAACCCAAGCATTGCATCAAATTAAAAAATAAATATTTGAATGGGACATCAGATGAGTCAAAAAAAAAAAAAAAAAAAAAACCACAACAAAATTACAGGCTATTCACAAAGGCCATACCAAAATTATAAGGATACAGAGAGGTTAAGAGGAAAAAGATGGTATTATAAACATGCTAATATATTTGAATTGTTACTACCCTCTTGGACTAGCAAGAACTTTCCAATGTGAACTCTGAGGGAAATAGGAAAATTCCCCCAAAAGCACAACCTATCAAAACTTACATAAAAAGAGTAGAATACACAAATAGTCTGAAACCTATTAAACTGAATTTGTAATTTCATAGTTTGCTTACACAGGCCCACATGACTTTGCAAGTGGATTTTACTAATTAAGGAATAACACAAATCCTTTATAAAGGTTTCAGTAGAACAACAACAAAAAAAGAAAAACACTTTAATTCATTTTATGAGGGCAACATAATCTTGATAATCAAATTTCTTTCCTAATTGAAATGTATTCTCTTACTTGAAAAACAGCTCCTGGTATGTTCCTGGACCCTAGTAGAGAAATGAACATTGGCCATGTGTCTGGAGTGGCCCATAATGAGTGGGTTTTGTTAGACCCATCAATTCATAAAGATAGGCAGGCCCAGCACCAATGCATTGTAAGATGGAAATCGGACTACCCAGCACGAGTAAGCTATTTAGGTTGGTGCAAAAGTAATTGCAGTTTTCGCCATTCCTTTTTTTTTTTTTTTTTTTTTTTTTTTTGAGGCAGTCTTGCTCTGTTGCCCAGGCTGGACTGCAGTGGCATGATCATGGCTCATTGCAACCTCCGCCTCCCGAATTTAAGCAATTCTCCTGCCTCAGCCTCCAGAGTAACTGGGATTACTGGTGCACACCACAGCGCCTGGCTAATTTATTTTTGTATTTTTAGTAGAGACAGGGTTTCACCATGTTGGCCAGGCTAGTCTTGAACTCCTGACCTCGTGATCCACCTGCCTTAGCCTCCCAAAGTGCTGGGATTACAGGTGTGAGCCACCGCGCCTGGCATTCGCCATTAGTTTTAATGGTGAAAACTGCAATTGCTTTTGCCTCAACCTAATACATAAGCAGACAGATCACCCACCACCACTACTCGTGTTTACCTCCCTCAGTTCACCCCTATGGTTGTATGAGGGGCCTCCTATGGTGAGATAAAGGAGGAGAAAAAGCCCAAGCTTGATTTACAAGATGGGAACATATCTTTGACACACAAACTAACCAACCCAGAGCCATACCTCCTCTATCCTGCCCATACTCCCCAGGAAACAATATTCCCCTGCCTTAATCATTCAAGAGCCAGGTACCGGACACCTAGGGACCACTCCAATAGCTTAGAGTCCACCCGAATTATTGAAACTAGCCAGTGCTCAACTGTACACCCTGCCCTGCCTTGCCATTCGCACAGAAACCCCAGTAAAGGTTCTGACCTAATGCTTTCCCCTCGCGTCTGTTTTTTGCCTTCTGGCTATACTGGCATCTTTCCCACGTGGCCCTGCATAGCATGCCATGCCTCCTGTCTCTAGGACCTGTGAGTACAATGAACTTTATTTTCCTGAGCCTCTCCTGTGTTTCCTCTTGCAGCCACACCTGACTGACCATTACATAAAAGAAAAGGAAATAGACACTGTTAGGAGTGGCTTTGAAAGACGGTGGTGAAGGAAAATGTTCTCAATGGGCAGAGCTATAAGTGGTACTCCTGGCCATCCATCTTGTGTAGAGGAGAAGTAGCCTGAGGTGAGAACATCTATGGATTTATAGGCAGTAGCAAATAGCCTAACTGGCTGGTCAGGGCCTGGAAGAGAAAGGGCTTGAAAATCCGTGATGAGGAGGTCTGGGGTATAGGAATATAGATGGCCATATGGGAATGAGCATGAAGTATAAATTTTGGAGGGTATATTACATAGTAATGCTCACCAGAAAGCATAAACTATGGTCAAGGCACTGACTAACCAAATAGACAACATGACTCAGCCAGTTGACATTAGCCAGCTTTTGTCATTAGTTACCCCTGTGGCACAATGTGCTCATGAGCAGAGTGGCCACTGAGGCAGTGGCGGAGGCTATATACGGGCCTAACTTTCACTGAATGAGGCTATAACTTTCACTGAATGAGCCTGACCTAGTTACTGAATCAGGCTGGTTCAGCTTTTCTGGATATCCAATCTACCAGCAAGAGAGACCAAAGGTGAGTCTCCAATATGGAACTGTTCTTGAGGAGACCAACCAGCTACTTACTGACATTTTGATTACATTTGGCCTCTTCTGTCCTGGAAGGGTCAGGATTCATTTGCCCAAGAATAAACATTAATTCCAGGTATAAATTTGTCTTTTCCTATCCCCCAAACCTCAGCAGCGCCACTATCTGAGGACTTAATGGAATGCTAGGTCAATAAACATACAATCCCACATAACATAGCATCCAGTGAAAGAAGTGCAGGAATGCACCCATGACCATGGGACCCTCTGGTTGTATCAGTTATCACATCATCCAGAAGCTACTGGCCTAACAGGCTTTCCCTGCCTACCCTTGCCCCCACTTCTCTTTATCTTTCACAGGAGTTACCCTCAATAAGTACCTTGCATTTCCAACTCTGTCTTGGTGTCCACTTCCCAGAGACCTCACACTAACATAGGCTGCTTACGGAGGACCCACATAACCAGATGATGGAAGAGGGAAAAAAAATCTAGGCTCATTTCATAAGTGGGTTGTCTTTGTACATAGGTACAAGCCAAAAGTGAACTGAAACTTCCTTTCAACTTCGCTTAGGAGTGGTATTAATAGGTAGCAGTGAGAGGAAATCCTCTTGGTGGGCAGAGGTTCAGGTGGTTTACCTGGTTATCCATTTTCATAAAAAAAGAAGTGGCTCAAGTTCAGCATATATACAGACCCATGGACAATGACAAATGATCAAGGATTAAAATATTAGGAACACAGATGCCTGGGGCAGAGACATGTGGATGGACTTATTGAAGTGGATGCAAAATGTGAAGATCTTTGTATTGGGTGTTGATGTCCATCAGAGTGCATATGCCATGGAAGAGGCACTAAACAACCAATTAGACAGAATGACTTGACTGGTTAACATGAGCCAGGCTCTGACATTGGCCACTCCAGTGCTGGCACAATGGATACACAAACAGAATTGCCATGATGGCAGGGCTGGAGGCTATTCATGGGCCTAACCACACACGATCCCAATTACCAAGTTTGATCTTACTACCGCTGCTTCCAAATTTCCAACCTGTCCAGTCTTCTAGCAACAGAGTCCACAGTCCCATTTTTCAAGGAGATAATCTTTCAAAAAGACAAATCAACTACTTGGTAGCGTATTGATTATTTTGTACCACTCTGAAAGGGGTAGCGACTCATTTTGATTGGAAAAGACACATTTTCTCAGTATGGATTCACTGAGTGATACAGAGTGTTTGATCCACCAATAATAGGTAGAATGCATGAGTTCAGAAACCTCGGGGTTGCTCCTAGTGATCATCTTGGGGAGTTTGTGCTTCCTGTTCCTATAACTTTGGGCTCTGTGAATTTAGAGGTTGTGTTTCCCAAAGGGGGAATGCTTACACTGTTGAAATGTAAGCTACAGCTACCACCAGTGACTTAAGTCTTCAATGCCAAGTGATCTAGCACACAAGAAGAATAATCACCATCCTGACAGGGGTAATTAATCTTAATCATCAGGGGGAAGGAGAACTGCTGTTACACAGTGGGGCCAAGAAGGAATATGTTTGGCACTCAAGTGATCTACCTGAGTGTCTCTTGGTACTCCTTTTTTAGTACCACCTGAATACTAGTACTACCTGAGGTGCTAGCTCAGGGTGAGGGCAATCTGCAATGGAATGTAGAGGAGAAAGACTATGACGATCATTTGTGGCTTCAAGAATGGCTGTGGTTTCTATAGACACTAGAGTCCCACTGCTAGTCTTCTTATAAGTTTTCCCCCAGAAAAAGAAGCCCACTACAAAGGAAGAATAGATGCTCCCAGAACTTATAAGGAAATGTGATCTGAGCTGTGAAAGGGTGGGCTGTGGAGGATGCCATGCCACACTGCCCACATCCCCACTGTAGCAATGAAAAAACTCAGTTCTCTAACCTCTGAGAGTGATGCCTGGTAACAAGACTTCACCTTCACCCCAACTTGGGATAATACTGAAGGGCCATATTGGTTTCAGACCTCCTGGTGCAGTTGGCTGGGGCCTGTGTTGTGATTGCCTCATAGCCCACCTTCTCCCTCTGTTCAATCCTGCTTTCTTTTTCATCATTGGCAAGGGGATCCTGGAGCTGGTTTGTACTGCATTATGGGAGCCAATTGTTAAATTTGCAGGGATTTTGCAAGCTGATTGATGTCAAGTTGGCAGCTTAAAATCAGTCATGGTATTTATACCATAGACATCAGCAAGGCCCACAAATCAGCAAAACCAATGTGCCACTGCCCACAGGTGTTATCACAAGAGCACTCCATAATAACATTCCCATATGCTAATCTGTGTCTGAGTCAGCTTCCCAGGGAACCTGATTTCTGACACACGTATTCAGGCGGTAATAGATCTTTGTATCAACAACCTCCTACATAGCAATGAGGCACAAGAAGAGGTCCTTGAATGAAGGCACAAATTCAAATCAGAACTTAGCAAGAAGACAAACTGGCTTGCTGAATCAGCATGACAAACTCATTCTGGTTTGCCCAAGACTTTCTTGGATTTAGCATGGAAAGTCCCACATTCCAGGAAAGTCCTACATCCTTGCAGTCCCAGGTAAACCGGGACTGTTGGTCACCCTAGTATGCAAGTAGGAACCTAGAGCAAGGAAAGCAAAGCCTCAGGTGTGGGACTGCCTGCTGATTAGCGCAGGTGTTTTGAAGCGGCACGGGAAAGATGCATTTGGAGAGACTAGGGATGGCTGTAAGTAGTAGTCTGATCAAGCTGGCCTAGACCTCTAAGAAGAATGCATGCTGCCATGGGGCTGGGTTCAAGGTCAGGGCTCTAGTACCCCAGAGTATTAGCAAGGGTAAGATGAGGGCCAAGTGATGGAATAATAGAGCAGGAAATGAAAAAATAATGACACAAGGCAGCCTTTTAGATACTGGAACTAGAATTCAGGCAATGGCTTAATCATAAGGAACTACATGTGAGCCTAATGTCTAGAAGCTATGGATAGTTTGAGGTAGGACAATTTCCTAGACTGGGTCGATTGAGAGCTGCTATATGTTAGTTCAGGGATTCCTTAATTAATTCACCCATCCTTGAATGTGAGGCAAAGCTGAGCCTGTAGGAGAAAGCTAAATGACCCTGGCTTTAGATTTTAGATAGCTTCGGTGACTGCAAATAATGAGTATTAAAGTTCCTTTCTTTTCTTTTCTTTTTTTTTTTTTTTTTTTTTTTTTTGAGATGGAGTTTTGCTCTTGTCGCCCAGGCTGGAGTGTAGTGGCACGATCTCGGCTTATTGCAACCTCCACCTCCCGGGTTCAAGCAAATCTCCTGCCTCAGCCTCCTGAGTAGGTGGGATTACAGGTGCCCACCACCATGCCTGGCTACAGTTTTTTGTATTTTTAGTAGAGACAGGGTTTCACCATGTCAGCCAGGCTGGTCTCGAACTTCTGACCTCAGATGATCCACCCACCTCGGCCTCCCAAAATGCTGGGATTACAGGCGCGAGCCACCGCGCTTGGCCTTGAAGTTCTTTTTCACAATGTCCAGAGATCTAATTGTACCTATTCTATGAGAGTGGAAACTGAGACCCTGTCTTAGGTAATAAATTCCAGAGTTTGGGACTCAAGTTTGTACAGAGCACAATTCATGTCAAAAATCCAAATGCATCATCTATCGCAGTGAGGCCATGGCCAAATCAGAATGAATTCTCAATCTTGTAATCAACCACAAGGAGTACTATCTCTTTACGACCATCTGCTCTCCAACAGGAAATACCACCCAGGCTGGAGGCTTGGCAGACATTTCCTTCATCTTCTTTACTCTTATTCTCCCTTTTTAAGCTTTCTCAACTCCTTGCTAACCAAACATTTCAAATTTTGATACCTGGCATTTTAATTTTCATTTTCCCAGTCTAGAATGTTAACTCTAGTCAAATGCGAGTAACATTTAAAAGTATCAATATTCAAAAGCATTTTATAATATTATGGCTAAATTGATGATTCTCTATATTGGACAATAGTCTCTTGAGTCAGAAATGTATTTTATCTTTGTAGCAAGAAAACTCAGAATTGTTCTGGGATAGCAAAGAGTGAAGAGAACCAACCAATGAGAGTAGATGTAGAAAGTGGCTCATAACTAATGCATTAAGTTTGTGTTCTTCCCTCCACCCACACACCCGACTCCATTGTGGAGAGGAAGGCTGCACAGTAAGATGTTGGACTGTCATATTATATAGAGAGAAGAAACACTAAAAATCTCCAACATTTCACCCCAAGACAGCTGAGTTCAGACACATAACTGCTTTAAGCATTTATCAATAGCTTAGTGAGTCTCTCACTTCCTAAATTGAAAATGATTGCATTGTCCCTATGGAACATTGTCGCCCACGGTTCTTGGGGTGTTTAGTACTATTGTGGCAGCACATTTTAATTTAAAGAGGTTTTGTGGGCTGGTTCGATAAGACTTTCTCTTTCATAATGTATTCTGAGCACCCCCAAACTCCCCTACAAACCAGTTTGAACACTGGGAACTGCCTACTGTATGTGTGGGTATGTGTGTGAGGTATGTGTTGTGGGCTCTCAGCCACAGGAGAAAATCTTAGCCCCTGGCCCATATACTGGGCAAGAAATCCAAATCTTTCTATCAGTTTACATGAAGCTGCAGCTTTCATTTCAAATGAGCAAGATCAAAAAGTTCCAAAAGTAATACCTTTGACATTATGACCCAGTATGCATACGTGCGCACACACCTATACACTCACACATATAACACAGATGTGAAAGTTTCCCAAACAACACCTTCCCTTACTATATATTTTGCTCTCTAATATTTTTTCTGTATGTTTTTAGTATTGATATAACGAACTAATTGTCGTTGCAATCCTTTCCAGCAGGTTGTCACTTCACAACCCAGTAACAGGTTAGGTTCCACAGTTAAAAAAAACACCAATGTTGAGAGTTACAGGCCTGGAAATTCTAGACTCTAAATATAACTTGATATCAATATGTGCTCAAAGATTAACTTGTCAGATATGAACTATTTCTTGAAAGTCAGTTGTTTAGACTGGGAATACATTTCCCATAAGGGGGGAATATATTTTTAAAGATAAAAAGCAGACCAGTCCCACAAAAGTGCCTTTCCATGTATATTTATTGACATAAAAAGAATACCATAGGGGCAGCTTTGGCAGGGCGCGGTGGCTCATGCCTGTAATCCCAGCACTTTGGGAGGCCGAGGTGGATGGATCATCTGAGGTAAGGAGTTCAAGACCAGCCTGGCCGACATGGTGAAACCCTGTCTCTACTAAAAATATATATAAAAAAAAAAAATAGCTGGGCGTGGTGGTGGGCGCCTGTAATCCCAGCTACTCGGGAGGCTGAGGCAGGAGAGTCGCTTGAACCTGGGAGGCAGAGGTTGCAGTGAGCCAAGATTGCGCCATTGCACTCCAGCCTGGGCAACAAGAGCAAAACTCTGTCTCAAAACAAACAAACAAACACACACATGCACACACACACACACACACAAAACCATAGGGGCAGCCTCTTGGTCGTGAGCAGCCAGCCACTTCACTGATGCTCCTTTGTCTTCTTCCACAGCCACTTAGAAAGCAGGATATTCTCTTCTATACTAACCAGACTAAAATGTTAACCAGCCTCCTGGGAAGGGTGATAAACTAAAAATGCAAAATTTCTGGAAACTGAACTTTTTGTCCAAACAATAGGGTTACTAAATATGTGATGTATAGAATCTCCTAGGAAAGATCCTATGGGAAGCGTCCATTTAGAAACATCTTCATCTCCACCAACACTGAGAAGGGGCAGGGACGAGAACTTATTATAGAGCATCTACAGGCTAAACACTTTCTGTACTGGGTCTAGTAATCCTATTAACAATGCTATATTCATACAACCATGCAAAATACTTGGTGGGTTTGAACCCTGGTTCTTCTGACTTCAAAACCCATGTTTTGCACAGCCTCATCCACTTCTCCAATCATTTGATTTGTTAATTGGGTAGAGCTGTTTCTCCCGAAACAGTCACGTGATAACGTCCGCAACGCTATGCATTCTTACTGCATCAGGAAGTGACAGGTAAGACTGCCAAGCTGATATTGCTTCAGTTTTGATGAAATTGGAAAAAATCCAACTCTAAAATTAAGGCTGAAACTTTTGAATTTCTGAGGTTGCACAAAATAATGGAAAGAAGAGCAGTGGGCTATTCTTTCACTAAGAACACTAATAGAATTCTTGTGTTGCTTTTCATGGTTGACGGGGTGGGTGCTGATACTTAGTCCTTTCCCACCTCACTCCTACCCTCAGATAATATTTGTCTTTCCACACTCTAAGAGAGGCTTAGCATGAAACCTGAGAATTCTGTCCATCTTTCTTTTTCTGGTCAGGAAGTATTCAAACAATCTTGGAGGATCATCTAAATGATAATTGAAGGAGATCCCTTCTTTGGTGTGAGCCTGAATATTCTTAGTGAATTTCCAATTTACACCATTCTGTAATCATATCAATCTGATAGGATTAAGAATTTTTCTTCCTAAATTTATGACCTTCATCTAAGTTTACAAATTTATTGGCACAAAGTTTTTCATAATTTGTATTATTGCTAAATCTATAATGTCCCCCCTTATATTCTAAACATAATTATTTGTGGCCGGGCACGGTGGCTCACGCCTGTAATCCCAGCACTTTGGGAGGCAACGAGGGTGGATCACCTGAGGTCAGGAGTTCGAGACCAGCTTTGCCAACATGGTGAAACTCCATCTCTACTAAATATACAAAAATTAGCCAGGCATGGTGGTGGGCGCCTGTAATCCCAACTACTCGGGAGGCTGAGGCAGGAGAATTGCTTGAAGCTGGGAGGCAGAGGTTGCAGTGAGCTGAGATCACGCCACAGCACTCCAGCCTGGGGTGGCAGAGCGAGACTCCATCTCAAAAAAAAAAAAAAAATTATTTGTACCTATTCTCTTTTTGTCTCACCAAAAGTGTGCTGATGTTATTAACGTTTCTATTTATTCATTTTTAGAGATGGGGTCTTTTTCTGATGCTCAGGCTGGAGTACAGGGACTCAAACTCCTGACTTCAAGCCATACTCCCACCTAGGCCTCCCAAAGTGCTTGGATTATAGGTGTGAGCCACCTCGCCCAGCCTATTTGTGTTTTTAAAAACTTAACCCTTCACTTTATTAGTTCTTCCTACTGTGTCTTTGTTTTCATTTAATTATTTTCTGCTTTTATCTTTATCATTTCCCTCCTACTTGCTTTGGGGTTGTCATGTTATTTTTCTAATTCCTCAAGTTGTTTGCTGAGACAATTTTTAGTTCTTCTGTTCTCTTTAATATGCACTTACAGTAAGTTTTCCTGTGGGTAGCACATTAGCTGTATCTCATAAATGTTGATATGTTTTTAATCATTGTTTATTTTGAAATATTTTCTAATTTTTTATGTTCATTGGAAGCATTTTAATATTTTATGTACAGAAGATTTGTAGTTATATTTTTTATGGTTTCTAGTTTAATTTTTTAGAGATCATAGTCTTTCTAATATCAGTTCTTCGAAATTAGTTGAGATATATTTTACATATGTGGTCACTTTTCTTTCCACAGGCACTTGGAAAGATGTGAGGTGTCTAATTCTTGGATGCAGTGGCCTATACATGTTCATTATATTAAGTTCATTCAATTGTGGTATCCTTCAACCTTTGATACTTTTACAGAATTTTTTTGTCTATTGTTATCAATTACTAAGATAAGTCTGCTAAATTTTTCCATGTGATTACAGAACTGGAGTTTGCCAGTTGCTCCTTAAGTTTTGTCGTTCTTTACATAATTTGACATCCTTGTATTAGGTACATAAAAACTCATAATTGTTAAAACTTCTTGGTAGATAATATTATTATCCTATAATACCTCTCCATAGCCCTGTTTCTCCCTTTTGACATAAAATCTGTTTTGTGCATTATTAAGTTCTGCTGCTTTCTTTTGGTTAACATTTGCTGGGTATGTCTTTTTTTACCCTTCACTTTCAACCATAGTGTGTCCTCGAATTTTAGATGCTGCTTGTGTAAATGGCATTGAGATGAAGTTTTGTTTAACCCAGGGTGACAGTTTCTTTGTATTTGGATTAAAGAGTCCTGTTTATATGTCTTGTAATCATTTATGTGCTTGAATTCATATTTACCATTTCGTTTTATGCTTTCCACTTGTTCCATGTTCTCTCCCTCCCTCTTTGTCTTTCTTCTTTTCTTGCCTTCTTTTGGCTTTGACTGAATTTTTTTTCTCCTCTACTAATTGTAAATTTGTACACTCTATGTCTATTTTTTTGTGTTATTCTTGAAATTTTAACATTTTCCTAACAACTTCCAAAGTTAGTCAATACGTGTATCCTTTTCTTGATCATTATAAGAGCTTAAAATAATCTATAACTCTGATCACCCCCATCCCCAAATATATGTTATTGTTTTCCAGTATTTTAGCTTTAAGTTACAATCTTATAAGGTAATCAACATTATTATTATAACATTTGTTTTTATTTACTCACATATTTATCTTCTTGGCTCACCATTCTTTTTTTCATCTCAGATCTTCCTTCTGGATTCATTTTTATTCTTCCTGGAATATATTCTTTTGAATTTCTCTTAGAAATAATTTTTAAGTTTTAGTTTGTCAGAAAATAGATATTGCACTTGTTGTAAAAATAGTTTCATTAGGTATTCATGTCTAGGTTCACAGTTGATTTCTAAAATTTTAAATAAATTTAGGGAATAAAAGTGCAGTTTTGTAGCATGGCTACATTGTAGTGGTGAATTCTGGTATTTCATTGTAACTATCACCCAAATAGTGTACATTGTATCCATTAAGTAATTTTTCATCCTCCACTCCCTTCCAGCCACTTACAGTTCTGGGTCCTCAGTGTGTCCATCTACACCCTATGTCTATGTGTACACATTATTTAGCTCCCACTTATAAAGTAGAATATGCAGTATTTGACTTTGTTTCTGAGTTATTTCACTTAAGATAATAGCCTCCATTTCCATCCACATGCTGCAAAAGACATGATTTCATTATTTTTTATGGCTGAATCAATTATTTTGATTTCCATGGTGTGTGTGTGTCTGTGTGTGTGTGTGTGTGTGTATGTGTATCACATTTTCTTCATCCAGTGTTGTTGATGGACAACGTAGGTTGATTCCATATCTTTGCTATTGTGAATAGCACTGCTGTAAACATTAGAGTGCCAGACTCTTCCTGATATAGTGATTTATTTTCCTGTGAGTATATACCCAGTAGTAGGATTGCTAGATCAAATGGTAGTTCTATTTTTTAATTTGTTGAGAAATCTCCATACTGTTTTCTATAGAGATTGTACTAATTTACGTTCCCAACAACGGTGTATTAGCATTTCCTTTTCTCCACATCCTCACCAATATCTATTTTTTTCACTTTTTAATGATAGCCATTCTGACGGACATAAGATCATATCTCATTTTGATCTTAATTTGCATTTCTCTGATGATTACTGGTGTTGAACATTTTTTCATGTGCTCGTTGGCAATTTGTATGTCTTCTTTTGAAAAACGTCTGTTCATGTCCTTTGCCCACTTTTTAATGGGGTTATTTTGTTGTTGGGCTGCTTGAATTCGTTGTGGATTCTGGATATCAGTCCTTTGTTTGATGCATAGTTTGCAAATATTTGCTACCATTCTTAAGATTTTCTGTTCACTCCATTGATTATTTCTTTTTCTGTGCAGAAGCTTTTTAATTTAATTAAGTCCCATTCATCTACTTTTGTTTTTGTTGCATTTGCCTTTGAGGTCTCACTCGTGAATTCTTTGCCTAGGCCAGTGTCCAGAAGAGTTTTTCCTAGGTTTTCTTCAAATATTTTTGTAGTTTCAGGTCTTAAGTTAATTTTTGTATAAGGTGAGAGATAGGGGTCCAGTTTCATTCTTCTATATATGGCAGTTCAGTTTTCCCAGCACCATTTATTGAATAGGGTGTCCTTTTCCCAGTGCATGTTTTTGTCTACTGTGTCAAAGACCAGTTGGCTGTAGGCATGTGGCTTTATTTCTGGGTTCTCTATTCTGTTCTGTTGATCTATATGTCTATTTTTATATCAGCACCATGCTGTTTTGGTTACTATGGCCCTGTAGTATAATTTGAAGTCAGGTAATGTGAGGCCTCCAGCTTTGTTCTTTTTGCTTAGGATTGTTTTGGGTATTTGGGCTCTTTTTTGGTTCCATATGAATTGTAGGATCATTTTTCTAATTCTGTGAAAAATGACATTGGTATTTTGACAGGAATTGCATTGAATTTGTAGATTGCTTTGGGCAGTATGGTCATTTTAACAACATTGACTCTTGTGATCCATAAGCATGAAATGTTTTTCCATTTGTTTGTGTCTCTTTAGTGTTTTGTAATTTTCCTTGCAGAGATCGTTCACCTCCTTGGTTAAATATATTCCTAGGTGGGATTTTAATTTTTTGGGGTAGCTATTATAAATGGGATTGACCTCTTGATTTGGTTCTCAGCTTGATTGTTATTGGTGTATAGATATGCTACTGATTTTTGTACCTTGACTATGTATCCTGAAACTGTACTGAATTCATTTATCGAATCTAGGAGTCTTTTGGAGGACTCTTCAGGGGTTTCTAGGTATAAGATTATATAATGAGCAAACAGATAATTTGACTTCCTCTTTTCTAATTTGCATGCCTTTTATTTCTTTATCTTGCCTGATTGCTCTGGCTAAAACTTCCAATACTATATTGAATAGGAGTGGTGAAAGTGGGCATTCTTATCTTGTATTGGCTCTTAGGGGGAATGCTTCCAAGTTGTGCCCATTCTGTATGATGCTGGCTGCGAGTCTGTCATAGATGGCTTTTATTATTTTTGAGGTATGTTCCTTCTATACCTTATTTGTTGAGGGCTTTTTATCATGAAGGATACTGAACTTTTCCCGATGCTTTTTTATGCATCAATTGGGATAGTTTTTGTTTTTAATTATGTTTATGTAGTGAATCACAGTTATTGATTTGCAAATGTTGAATCATCCTTGAATCCCTAGAATAAGACCCACTTGATTGTGGTGGATTATCTTTTTGATGTGCTGTTGGATTCAGTTTGCTAGTATTTTGTTCAGGACTTTTGCATCTTTGTTCATCAGGGATATTAGTCTCTAGTTTTCTTTTTTTGTTGTGTTCTTGTCTGGCTTTGGCATCGGGGTGATGCTGGCTTTGTAGAATTAGTTAGGGAGAATTTCTTCCTCCTCAAGTTTTTGGAAGAGTTTCAGGAGGACTGGTACCGGGACTTTTTTTATAGGATAGAATTCAGCTGTGAGTCCATTTCATCCTGGGATTTTTGTTGCTGTTGGGAGATTTTTTATTACTGATTCAGTCTCACTACTCATTGTTAGTCTGTTCAGGATTTCTATTTGTTCCTGGTTCAATCTTGGGAGGTTGTATGTTTGCAAGAATTTATCAGTTTCCCCTATGTTTTCTAGTTTGTTGGTGTGTAGTTGTTCTTAGTAGTCTCTGAGGCTCCTTTGTATTTCTGTGGTATCAATTGTAATGTCTCCTTTTTCATTGCTGATTATGTTTATTTAGATCTTCTCTCTTCTTGGTTAGTTTAGCTAGCCTATCAATTCTATCACTTCAAAGAACCAACTTTTTGTTTCATTGATCTTTTGTATTCTTTTGTTCTCAATTTCATTTAGTTCTGCTCTGATCTTTGTTAGTTCTTGTCTTCTGCTAGCTTTGGGTTTGGTTTGTTCTTGTTTTTCTAGCTCCTTGAGGTGAGATGTTAGGTTGTTAATCTGTGAACTTTCTATTCTTTTGGTTTAGGCATTTAACACTATAAACTTCCCTCTTAGCACTGCTTTTGCTGTATCCCAGAGCTTTTGGTATGTTGTGTCTCCGTTTTCACTTGTTTCGAGAAAAATATTTAAATTTTCATCTTAATTTTGTCATTTGTCCAAAAATCATTCAGGAATAGTTTGCTTAATTTCCACGTATTTATATAATTTTGATTCTGAGAGCTTCTCTTGGAATTGACTTCTAGTTTTATTCCACTGTGGTCTCAGAAAATATTCGGTATGATTTTGATTTTTTGAAAATTTACTGAGACTTGTTTTTTGACCTAATATACAGTCTATCTTGGAGACTGTTCCATGTGCTGATGAGAACTAAGTATATTCTGCTGTTGTTGGATAGAATGTTTTGTAAATGTCTGTTAGGTCCTTTAGGTCTAAAATTTAGGCCCGGTGTTTCTTTGTTGATTTTCTGGCTCAGTGATCTGTCTAGCGCTGTCAGTGGAATGTTGAGGCTCTCCCACCACTGTGATTGTATTGCTGTCTATGTCTTTATTTAGGTCAAGTAATGTTTGTTTTGTGAATCTGGGTGCACCAGTGAGTGGTTGGGTACATACTTGCTTAGAATTGATAAATCTTCTCGTTGAATTGATCCCTTTCTCATTATATAATGACTTTATCTTTTTTTTTTATTCCTATTGGTTTAAAGTATGTTTTATCTGATATAACTACTCCTGCTCAATTTTGCTTTCTGTTTGTGTGCAGTATCTTTTTCCACCCCTTTACCTTCAGTCTGTGTCTTCACCAATAAGGCGAGTTCTTGTAAGCAGCATATAGTTGATTCATTTTTTAAAAAGTTTTTTGTGGGCACATAGTAGGTATACATATTTATGGGTTCGTGAGATGTTTTGATACAGGCATGCAATGTGTAACAATCACATCAGAGTAAATGGAGTATCAATCACCTCAAGCATTTATCCTTTGTGTTACAAATAATCCAATTATACTCTTTAAGTTATTTTTAAACATACAATAAAATTATTTTTGTCTGTAGTCAGTCACCCTGTTGTGCTAGCAAATACTAGGTCTTATTCATTCTTTCTAATTATTTTTTGTACGCATTAACCCCACTTCTTATTCACCCTTCCCACCATTACCCTTCTCAGTCTTTGGTAACCATCCTTCTATACTCTATCTCCATGAGTTCAATTGTTTTAAATGTTAGCTCCCCCAAAGAGTGAAAACATGTAGTTTGTCTTTCTGTGCAAGTATTATTTCACTTAACATGATGACCTCTGGTTCCATCCATGTTGTTGCAAATGACAAGATCTCGTTTTTTTTTTATGGCTGAATAGTACTCCATTGTGTATATGTACCATATTTTGTTTATCTATTTATCTGTTGATGGACACTTAGCCTACTGAATAGTACTCCATTGTGTATATGTACCATATTTTGTTTATCCATTCATCTGTTGATATACATTTAGCCTACTTCCAAATCTTGGCTATAATGAAGTGCTGCAATAAACATGGGAGTGCAGATATCTCTTTGATATACTGATTTCCTTTCTTTTGGGTATGTATCTAGGAGTGGGATTGCTGGGTTTTATGGTAGCTCTATTTTTAGTTTTTTTGGGAACCTTCAAACTGTTCTCCATAGTGGCTGTATGAATTTACATTCCCACCAACAGGGTACAAGAGTTCCCTTTTCTCCACATCCTCACCAGCATGTATTATTGCCTGTCTTTTGGATATAAGCCATTTTAACTGGGGTAAAATGATATCTCATTGTAGTTTTCATTTGCATTTCCCTGATGATCAGTGATGTTAAGCACTTTTTTATATATCTGTTTGCCATTTGTATATCTTCTTTTGAGAAATGTCTATTCAGGTCTTTTTCTCATTTTTAGTTTGATTATTAGATTTTTTTTCCTGTAAAGTTCTTTGAGCTCCTTATATATTCTGGTTATTAATTCCTTGTCACATGGATAGTTTGCAAATATCTTTTCCCATTCTGTGGATTGTCTCTTCCCATTGTTGATTGCTTCCTTTGCTGTGAAGAAGCTTTTTAACTTGATGTGATCCCATTTGTCAATTTTTTCTTTAGCTGCCTGTGCTTGTGGGGCACAAGCCCCATTCGAGAAACCTTTGTCCAGTTCAATGTCCTGGGGAGTGTCCCTGATGTTGTCTTGTAGTTGTTTCATAGTTTGAGGTCTCAGATTTAAGCCTTCAATCCACCTGGGTGTGATTTTTGTATATGGTGAGAAATAGGGGTAAGTTTCATTCATTTACATGTGGATATCCAGTTTTCCCCGCACCATTTATTGAAGAGACTGTCCTTTCCCCAATGTATGTTTTTGGCACCTTTGTCAAAAATAAGTTCACTGTAGATGTATGAATTTTTCTCTGGTTCTCTATTCTGTTCCACTGATCTGTCTGTTTTTATGCCAGTTCCATGCTGTTTTGGTGATGATAGCTCTGTAGTGTAATTTAGAGTCAGGTAATATGAATTCTCCAGGTTTATTGTTTTTGCTTTAGCTATTCTGAGTTTTTTTTTTTTTTTTTTTGAGTGGTTTCATATACATTTTAGGATTTTTTTTCTATTTCTGCAAAGAATGTCATTGGCATTTTGATACAGATTACATTAGATCTGTAGATTGCTTTTGGTAGTGTGACCATTTTAACAATATTGATTTTTTCAATTCATGAACATGGAATATCTTTCCAATTTTGTGTTTCCTTGTTCAATTTCTTGCATCTGTGTTTTATAGTTTTCATTGTAGAGCTCTTTCACTTTTTTTGGTTAATTTAATTCTTAGCTCTTCTATTTTATTTATAGCTATTGTAAATGAGATTAATTTCTTGATTTCTTTTTCAGATTATTTGCTGTTGGCATATAGAAACGCTACCGATTTTGCATGTTTATTTTGTGTCCTGCAACTTTACTGAATTTATTGATCAGTTCTAATAGTTTTTTTTGGTGGAGTCTTTAGGTTTTTCCAAATATAAGATCATCTCATCCACAAAGAAGGATAATTTGACTTCTTCCTTCCCAATTTTGATCCCCTTTATTTCTTTCTCTTGTCTGATTACTCTAGCTAGGACTTTCAGTATTACGTTGAATAATAGTGGTGAAAATGGGCATATTTGTCAGTTCTACATCTTTGAGGAAAGGATTTTAGTTTCTCCCCATTCAGTATGATACTAACTGCGGGTCTGTCATATATGGCTCTTCTTGCTGGGGTATATTCCTTCTATATCCAGGGGTTTTTTAGGGTTTTCATCATAAAGGATGTTGAATTTTATCAAATGCTTTTGCAGTATCAATTGAAATGATCACATGGTTTTTGTCCTTCATTCTGTTGTTATGAAGTATCACATTAATTGATTTGCATATGTTGAAGCATCCTTGCATCACAGGGATAAATCCCACTTGGTCATGATGAATGATCTTTGTAATGTGTTGTTGAATTCAGTTTGCTAGTGTTTTGTTGAGAATTTTTGCATCAATATTTATCATTGATATTGGCTACAGTTTTCTTTTTTTGATGTGTCTTTGTCTGGTTTTGGTATCAGTGTAATACTGGCTTTGGAGATTCAAATTTTGAAGTTCTTTTAGTCCATTCTGCCAATCTATATCTTTGAAGTGGAGCATTTAATCAACTTATGTGCAAGGTTAATATTTATATGTAAAGTTTTGTTCCTGTCATAATGTTATTATCTAGTTGCTTCCAAGAATCTTTGTTTCTCCCTTTCTTTTTTTCTGTTTGTCTTTGTGGTTTGATGGAGTCCTCTTGTGTTGGCATATGATTTGTTTCTCATCCTCCTTTGTGAAATTGTTTTATAAGACCTGTGAGTTTTATACTTTAATTTTTTTTTAAATTAGAGTCAAGAGTTTAACTCTGTCACCCAGGCTGGAGTGCAATTGCGAGATTCTAATTCACTGCAGCCTTGAAATCCTGGGCTTAAGGGATCCTCCTACTTTAGCCTCAGGACTAACTAAGACCACAGGTACAAACTATCATGCTCAGCTAAATTTTTTCTTTTTTCTTTCTTTCTTTCTTTCTTTCTTTTTTTTTTTTTTTTTGTAGAGATGGAGTCTCACTGTGTTGCCCAGGCTGGTCTTGAACTCCTGGGTTTAAGCAATCCTTCCACCTCGGACTCCCAAACTGTTGGTATTTCAGGCATGAGCCACCACAACCAAGCTTCACTTTTTTTTTTTTTTTTAATGGCAGTGAATTTTGAAGATACTATCCCATTATCTTTTACTTCCATTGAAACTGATGAGAAGTTGGCTGTCATAATAATGCTTCCTTTGTAGATAATCTGTCTTCATTATTTGTCCTTAATCTTATTTTCGTCTTTGGTATTCTATTGTTTCAGTATGATGTGTCAAAGCAAGTATTTCTTTTCATTTATACTGCTTTAGATTTTTTATGTTTGTTGAACATCAGTTTTAAAAGTTTTCAATTATGTCTTTAAATATTGTCTTTTTTCCTGTTCTATCTAGTTTTGCCTATTGTTATGGACTGAATTTCATCCCATCGAAATTCATATGTTAAAGCCCTAACCCCCCGTGTGACTGTATTTGGTAACACGGCTTTTAGGGAGGTATAATAACTAAGGTTAAATGAAGTTGTAAGAGTGGGACCTCATCCAATAGCACGGGTGTCCTTATAAGATGAAGAAGAGAGACCAAAGTATACTTGTGCTCACTCTCCCCCCAATCCCTCCACATGAACAGAGGAAAGGCCATGTGAGGGCACAATGAAAAGGCAGCTGTCTACACTCTAGAGAGGCCTCACCAGAAACCAACCTCCTTGACAGCACCTTGATCTTGGACTTCTAGCCTCTGGAACTGTGAGAACATTTCTGTTGTTTAAGTCACCCAGTCTGTGGTATTTTGTTATGGCAGTCCTAGCAAACTAATATACCTATATTCTAAAAATGTATTTTGAACTTCTCACTTTATTCTCCAGGTTGTGTAACCTCTCCTTTATATAAGTTTTAATATATTTGTGCTATATTCTGTGTACTTTTTTTCATTCTAATTTCTATTTTAGTAACTCTCTTTTTAATTATGGACAATTTGATATTTTAATCTAATCATTGAGTTTCTGATCTTAGTTTCACATCTCATTTCTAGATGTTGTCTTTAATTTTTTTTACTAGATCTATCTACTTGATAATTTTTTATTGTCTGTTGTTCTTTGGGTATACCCTCGATACCCTCTTATTTTTTTAAACATAATCATTGTCAACCTGGCAGCACTTTAAACTAAAATTCAATTTATCTAATATGAATTCAGTCCTGGAACCCATACTCAAGAGAACATTTTTTCCCATTCTATTTATAAATAAGGCTGAGATTGGCATGTTCCCTAATTATCATCTTCTATGTGGTGAGAGTTTCCCCCAAGTTCATCCTTCCACTAAAATGATGCCTTTCAGAGTCTCAGCTTATGTCGAGGTCTTATTTTGACTTCTTACATTCTACAAACCTTCAGTTTTGTCTCCTGACTCTTGCATGCAGTTAGTGAAAACCAAAATCTTCATGCCACCAGAAACTGTCAGATGCTTCAGGCATATATCATCTCCAATGTTCGTTATTTATCTGGGGGTAGCTTTCTTGCCAGATCAGCTCTGCATTCATAGACATTTTTAAATAATACTTATGTATTATTTAAAATCTTTTCCCCCTGGTGTTCTGTTCCAAGAGAATTCCTCAGGGTATCTGGCTCTCATATGCCAGAAACAGAAGTCTAATTTTATGTGATTAGCAATCAATACCCTTTCACGTTCTGCTTCCAAGATGTTCAGTTTAATTCTACTATTAAACACCTCACTACAAATTCAGATTTGTGAGTTAACAGTTAGTCTCCAGGCATGGCTAAATATTAACAGTGGAGCCTTGTTAAGTCAGGAATGTGACAGATCAAGTCTGCAGTTAACACTGTCATTCAAATATGTAATTCTAGTAAATGCCAACTTTGTGCCAAATATGATGCTAGAAATTGGAGATATATTTTTTTAAAAGATGTGATCTCCAAGGTCCTCATAATCTAGAGGGGGAGATGGACCAATAAAGAGAAAATTACAGTTCAGTGTTATTTCCCCGGGGGGTGTGACAGCTCAGAAAAGGTCACCTAATCCAGACTCCAGTAAAAGTGGGAGGACTCTCTTAGAAGGCAAGGTTGCACAAAAAAGTTGCTGTCAGCAATATAGTTAACAAAACCTGATTTGGTCAATTGATTAGGATATGTTGTATTTGAGGCCAACTTCATATATTCCTTTCTACAGAAGCTTCTTATTTTACTTTTTTTTTTTGGTTTTGTTTTGTGTATCCCTAAGCAACATGTTACAGAAGCTTCTTATCTTAGCCATGGTCTGTGGTCACAAATGGTATACTTAACTCACATCAGACTTCCTGCAAACACATGCAACATATGATAACCATGGGCCTTGAAAAGAGAGAGATGGATGGATCCATCACATTTTCACTCTTACTAGAAGAAATAGCTTAGAGCAGATGGCCTTGTGGTGCAGTGTGGATAAGAGCATCTTTTTAAATGAAGAATAAAAGATATTTATTCTAGTGAACAGACAGCTTGGCTTCTCAGTAGAGCATTTAGATACATATTTAATATTCTGACAATTAAAAATTATTTTGCTGCTGTCCCTGACTTCTGTATATGGACAAATTATACCCATAGATCATATACCCACCAGTCCAGGACCCAGAAAAAAATTTGCAACACTTAGAGAAACTTTTTCAAAATAGTTATGTTCCAAAGCAACAGTAATAGATTGTTTAGTGTTTGTGGATGTTTGTCTCATGTTAGGACATTATAAAGGAGAGGATCAGTTGGTGAAGAAGGGTGAATCAGTAGTAATTGTTTGATGACATGTTTGCCGAAAACTTCCCAGAGAGAGTTCTAATATATCATTTAAAGTTTCAATTCAGTAAACATTTATTAAACACCTGCTGTGTGCAAAGACCCTCAGAAAACCAAAAGACAAGTAGCAGTCAGCCTCTAATCTCATACTTCCAATTAGAAGAACAAGATTAATAGAGAAATGACTAGATATGTACGTAAGGTAAGTAGAAAAGTACAAAATGTTTATGTGGATGACACTGTTTATGACAGAATAATAGCTTTAATTTTTCACAATGAACATTTTAATCAAAGTTTAACACATATGTAGAAAAGTGCACAAATTAGAAGTATATAGCTTGATGAATTATTGAAGAATAAACACACCAGTATAACTACCACACAGTTAAATAGATTGAATATCACAATTCCAGAAGCCCACCATATGCCTAGTCATTTTCTACACTCCTTATTAAAAGATAATGGCTATTCTGTTTTCCAACACAGTAGACTAGTTTTGCCTAGTTTTGCACAGTAGACTAGTTTTGGAACTTCATAAAAATGAGGCAGAGTAGACTCTTTTGTGTTTGGCTTCTTTCACTCAACGTTATGTTTGTGTGATTCATCTATGTTGTTGTGGCTCTGAATACATATTTCTTAATTAATTTATTCTCTTGTTGAAGACAAGATATTTGGGTTTTTAGGAACAATGCTTCTATGCATAATCATGTGTAGATACACACGTGGGTTGCTGGATCACAGAGTATGTGTACGTTCAGCTTTAACAGATACTGACAAATAGTTTTCAAAATGGTTGCATCAATTTATACTCTCACTGGAATTGTATGAAAATTAGAATACTCCACATCTCTGCCAACCCTGGGTGCCAGCCTTTTAAGATAGTTTTAATATGCATTTCACTGATGACCAATAACAATGAGACTTTTTCATATGTGTATTGGCCATTTGGATATCTTCTTCTGTAAAGTGCCTGTTCAGGTGTTTTGCCCATTTTTCAGTTGTCTTTTTCTTATTGATTTGCTGGAATTCTTTATATATGAGCCCTTTGTTGGTTATATGTATTGCAAATATCTTCTACTCATGAGTTTACCTTTTCATTTTCTTAATGGTGATGTTTTTGGGATGAACATAAATCCCCAATTTTAGCGTAGCTAATCTTTTCCTTATCAATAGTTAATACTTTTTGCTTCCAGTCTAAGAAAACCTTCTCTACTTCAAAGTCAGTAACATACTTTCTTATGTTATTATTCTCTAGAAGCTTTATTATCTTACCTTTTATATTTAGATACACATTCTATCTGGAAATAATTTTCAGGTATGGCATGAGGTAGAAATTAAGATTTCTGCAAACAGATACAGTTGAGTCAATATTGTTTATTGTTTGTTTGTTTGTTTGTTTGTTTGTTTGGAGATGGAGTCTTGCTCTGTCATGCAGGCTGCAGTGCAGTGGCCCAATCTTGGCTCACTGCAACCTCTGCCTCCCGGGTTCAAGTGATTCTCCTGCCTCAGCCTCCTGAGTAGCTAGGATTACAGTGGTTTTTGTATTTTTAGTAGAAACGGGGTTTCACCATGTTGGCCGGGCTGGTCTTGAACTCCTGACCTCAGGCGATCCGTCCAACTTGGCCTCCCATAGTGCTGGGATTACAGGCATGAGCCACCACGTCTGGCTGCCAATATTGTTTACTGAAGCGATTGCCCTTTCCCCATTGCCCTTCAGTGCTACCTTGTCATAAATCAGGTGCCCTTTTGGTTCTATTAATCTATTTGTCCATCTTTTGTGCCAATACCAGATAGTCTTAATAAATAATGTATAGCTTTTTGACAGGCAAAGGAAAGAGGGAGAGGTAGCCCAGGGAGGTGTAACTACAGCAAGAGAAAGAGTAGATTTCCCCTGCCATACAGTCTCCATCCCACCTCCTTGGCCTCCTCAGGAACCTGCCTCCATCAATGATCTCCCCTCATCCCTGAATCTTCACTCTGTGCTCTACTCTTTGCCATCAACATATAAACATGTCCAAGTTTCTGTAATGAAAAAAACAAAAAAAGGCTCTTTTACTTTATATCTGCTTCTGCAGCTTTCATTTCCTTTATGGCCAAGCTTATTGAAAGAATGATTTCATTTTCACTTCCTGTCTCCCATTAACTTAACATCTCACCTCTATGATTTGCACCTGCAGCTTGTACTTCCACCCACTCCCCCAGTCAAGGTCATCAATATATATTTTTTTAGTTATTATCTTGTTTTCTCACTCTTCCAATATGGTCTCCTTTGCTGGCTAGAATTACTCCATGCTCTGGTGGCACAGGTAGGAGTTGAAGTTAGTAACTGTCCTCTATTCATCTTGACCTAGGTAGTTAGATAAGTGCTTGTTATCACTTCACAAATGTTTTAGAAGAAAACATAGAGGATTATCTTTATGGCATTAGAATGCAACAATACAATTTTTCTTTTAATTTTATAGAGGTGAGGTTTCACCATGTTGGCCAGGCTGGTCTAAAACTCCTGACCTCAGGTGATCCTCCTGCCTCTGCATCCCAAAGTGCTGGGATTACAGGCATGAATCACCGTGCCTGGCCTTTTTTTTTTTTTTTTTTTTTTTTTTTTTTTTGAGGGAGTCTCGTTCTGTTGCCCAGGCTGGAGTGCAGCAGTGCGATCTCTGTTCACTGCAAGCTCCGCAGGTTCAACCTCCTGAGTAGCTGACTACAGGCATGTGCACCAGGCCTGGCTAATTTTTTGTATCATTACTAGAGACAGGGTTTCACCGTGATGGCCAGGCTGGTTTCCTGACCTCAAGCAATCAACCTTCCTTGACCTCCTATAGTGCTGGATTACAGGTGTGAGCCAAAGTGCCCAGCCAGGAATAATGTTTAGATAAGAAAAAATATTGGCTGGATGCGGTGGCTCACCCCTATAATCCCAGCACTTTTGGAGGCCAAGGCGAGTGTATTACTTGAGCTCAGGAGTTCGAGACCAGCCTGGCCTATATGGTGAAACCTCGTCTCTACTAAAAATACAAAAATTGGCTGGGTGTGGTGGAGCATGCCCGTAATCTCAGCCACTTGGAAGGCTGAAGTGGGAGAATCACTTGAATCCGAGAAGTGGAGGTTGCAGTGAGCCGAGATCACACCACTGCCCTCCAGCCTGGGTGATAGAGTGAGACTCCATCTCAAAAAAGAAAAAGAAAAAAAAAAGAAGAAGAAAAAGAAAAAAATACTATACAATCCATAAAGAAAACTAACAAATTTGACTATATTCAAATATATATTTGTACACAAGATACCACAAACAAGGTTAAAAGATGAGACTCAAAAACACAGGGAGAAGATGTTAGTAACCAACATAACCTAGAAAGAATTAGTATTACAGAATACATAAATAATTCTTGAAAATCAATAAGAAAATGATAACCAAAAAGGAAAATTACAAAAGTTTATGAAAAGGCAACTGACAGTAAATCTGTGGAAAAAATGGTTGTTCTCCTGAGTAATCATGGAAATGCAAATAAAAATCATAATGGAATACTGTTTCATACCAATCAGACTGGCACAAACTTTAGAATATGATAACATTAAGGATTACCAAGTAAATCAACAGGAATTCTCATATATTGCTTGTGGTCGTGTGAACTGGAATAATTATCTGGAAACCAATTAGACTGCATCAGGTAAGGTTGAAGATTCTAGTACCTGAAGACCCAATAATTCAGCTTCTGGAAATGTATCCTAGAGAAGCTCTCACATATATACATTAAGAGACCTCTATAATAGGGGTCAGTAAACTTCTTCTGTAAAAGGCTGGGTGGCAAGTATTTTAGGCTTTATGGACTACATGATCTCTAGCACAACTACTCAGCTCTGCTGTGAATGTTTTAGATAATATGTAAATAAATAGCATTGCTGTGTTCCAATTAAAGTTTATGGACACTGGGATTTGATTTTCATATAACTTTCATGTGTTACAAAATGTTATTCTTCTTTTGAATTTTTTCAACCATTTAAAAATGTGAAAACCAGTCAGGTGCAGTGGCTCACAGCTGTAATCCCAGCACATTGGGAGGCCGAGGCAGGTGGATCACTTGACCTCAGGAGTTCAAGAACAGCCTGGGAAACATGGTGAGACCCCACCTTTACAAAAACACAAAAAATTAGCCAGGCATGGTGGCACAAACCTGTAGTCCCAGCTACTCGGGTGGCTAAGGTGGGAGGATGGCTTGAGCCCAGGAGGTCGAGACTGCAGTGAGCCGAGATTTGGCCACTGTACTCCAGCCTGGGTGACAGGGCAATACCGTGTCTCAAAAAAAAGTAGAAACCATTCTTAGCTCGTGGACCACAGCACACAAAAATAGGTGGCAGGCTTGATTTGGTCCACTGGTTGTAATTTGCCAACCCCTCTTCTATAAGAATGTTTTCATCAGTCTTGTTTGGTAGCAAAATAATAGATACAACCTAAGTCTTCTTTCTGTGAGTGAATAAATTTTTTTATTTTTTTGAGACAGAGTCTTGCTCTGTTGCCAGGCTAGAGTGCAGTGGCATGATCTCCGCTTACTGCAACCTCTGCCTCCCATGTTCAAGCGATTCCCCTACCTCAGCCTCCAGAATAGCTGGGACTACAGGTGCGTGCCACCACGCTTGGCTAATTTTTTGCATTTTAGTAGAGATGGGATTTCACCATGTTGGCCAGGCTGGTCTTGAACTCCTGACCTCGTGATCTGCCCGCCTCGGCCTCCCAAAGTGCTGGGATTACAGGCATGAGTCACCACGCCTGGCCGAGTGAATAAATTTTAAAATGATGCTATAGGCTGGGCGCGGTGGCTCATGCCTGTAATCCCAGCAATTTGGGAGGCCGAGGCGGGCAGATCATGAGGTCAGGAGATCGAGACCATCCCGGCTAACAAGGTGAAACCCCATCTCTACTAAAAATACAAAAAATTAGCAGGGCATGGTGGCGGGCACTTGTAGTCCCAACTCCTCGGGAGGCTGAGGCAGGAGAATGACGTGAACCTGGGAAGTGCAGCTTGCAGCGAGCAGAGATCACGTCACTGCACTCTAACCTGGGCGACAGCAAGACTCCATCTCAAAAAAAAAAATGATGCTATATTCAGGCAGGGAATACTATCTAGCAGTTACATGAATTAGCATGGTAAATAGAAAAAATATAATTTTGAGTCAAAACTAACAAAAACCATAACGTTGCAGGAGAATATTATAATTGTAATATGACACAATTTAAATAAAATTTTAAACCCTGGGAAAGAATATTGCGCATTGTTTATGGATATATACGTATGTGGAAAATTATTTTTTAAACTCACAGGAACTGAAATTTGTGGAGAAAGGAAGCCAGGAGAGGTACACAGAGTCTAAGATATATGTACAATGTTATTATTTTTTCAAAGTTTGAGGCAAATTGGATAAGTAAATAAGATTATGTGGTTTTCCTTATAGTCTCTATACCTGCTTATAGGTTTGAAATATTTCATAATTTTAAAATTATTTAAGATACTAGTTTGCATAATATTAACTTGGTACAAAGTGCACATCTTGGTTTGGAAGAAAGTTTGGAGAAGTAAACAGAACTCTAAACTTAGGACATCTTAGTCCTAAACCCCAGGCTCTATCAGGAACTAGCAGAATGTAACCTCAGATACTTCTTTTAGCATCTTTGTATCAAATAGAGGAAGTCCTATTTGATTCACAGTGTGTCACCTGTTTGAAAGCCTTCTGAGAAGCATAAAACACTCTAAAAATCCAAGAAGGTATTCTTTTTTTTAAAAAAACACACACACACATACACACACACACACACACACACCCCTCATTTTAAATCTTTTTCATTGTGAAATACGGCCCACATACAGCAAAGTACATAAAACATTGACATTATCATAAAGTGAAACCATGTAGCCACAACCCAGATCTAGAATACTGCCAGCTCCTAGAAATCCCGAGTGCCCCCACCAACCTTGGCAATCACTTCCTTGCTTTTTTCCCCCAAGGTGGTATCTTTTTTTTTTTTTAATTAAGATGGAGTCTTAATCTGTCACCCAGGCTGGAGTGCAATGGCACAATCTCGGCTCATGGCAACCTCCGCCTCCCAGGTTCAAGCAATTCTCCTGCCTCAGCTTCCCGAGTAGCTGGGATTACAGGTGTGCATCACCACACCTGGCTAATTTTTGTATTTTTAGTAGAGACAGGGTTTCACTATGTTGGTTAGGCTGGCCTCAAACTCCTGACTTCAAGTGATTCGCCCTCCTCAGCCTCCCAAAGTGCTGGGATTACAGGCATGAGCCACCGCACCCGGCCAAGGCAGTGTTTTTGTCTGTAGCCCTTAGAATTTCCGAGTGCCCCCCCAACCCTGGCAATCCCTTCTTTGCTTTTCTCCCGTCAAGATGGTATCTTTGTTTGTTTGTTTGTTTCAAGGTAATATTCTTGCTAACTTTTGCTGGGACCAGAATTCTTACACTATGTCAACACAAAGATATTTGGAATGTCTGTGGGCTCAGGGAGAAGGGATTGGGAAGTTCCTGGCTTGATTTTTGCTGAGCACTTCCTTTGTTTTTTTTTTTTTTTTCACTAAAAGGAAGTCCCAGACTTATGGTGTGCCATAAATAGCAGTACAGCCTGCCACACACTTGAGTTTGTAATGTGTAGTAGGCACTGTGTTGGGGATTGTGTAAACTTATCTCATTTAATCCCTAAAACAGCCCCGTGAGATAAGAAAATGGAGGTTTTCTAAGGTCAAAGAGCCAAAGGGAAAGGTAAAGGAAAGAAAAGTTGTACTTAATTCATAAATATTCAAGTCTAATGTAATTTATTTAAATTTTTTTCAAGGTAAAATGCACAAAGCATAGCTCAATGTGACTGATTTTTTCATTTCATTTTGGCTCTTCGAAGTATTTATAGAATTGCCATTGATTTTACCTCTGTAGAACTTAAACTTTCTTTTTCTTGGATCAAAGAATTTTGGACACATTTAGGTTTCACTAAAATATATTTTATTTATAAAAGACTATACAAACTCTATGTATATGTTTTATTTGCATACATATAGTCATATGTAGAGTCATGTATATAGTCAGCCATACTAGAAATCTGCCAGTGTCGGTAATGAATGTTCAGTTGACAAAAGGTGGAATAGTTTGGCTGCTTTACTCTTTGGGCTCATCTAAACATACATGTCACAAACTCAGGATAAAAGCAAAGCCTCATCTGAATTGTGAAAATAGATAGTCCAATCTAACCTGGGAAGATTGCTTGCCTGCAGTAAATGGCCATCAGTCTAAGAGAATGCTCAGAAAGACCCTTCTAAAAATAAAAGCAGCTGACCTAATGGAGAAAAGAGACATCATTGGACATTTTGACTATGGTTTTATTTCACTAAATTGCTGAGTATATGCTGAGTTAGAAAAAATAACATTCAATATATAGTTTCCAAGTGCCCGCTCTGTCTAAGGCACTATGTGGCGGAGGTCCAGGGGACACAAAAATGAGTGAGCTGTCATCCCAACCATTAGGGAGGTTATAGTCTAGTGAGGGGTAAAGATAAAACATAACACGGATAACTACTTCTATGAGGCAATGTACGATAAGAATTACGAGAAAGCAGCAGATTGGAAATGAGCCAATAGTTATTTGAGTACTTTTTATGAGCCAGGTATGTTTCAAATGTCATCTTATTTCAATCTTACAATAATGTGAGGAGGTAGGTCTTACGTCCAATTCAAGGAACTGGGGAAGCACAGATAACTTACCCAGGACCACATTAGTAAATGGCACACTGAGATTCAACTCCAGATACGTCCTGCCCAAAAGCACTGTTTCTAACAACTCCAAAGGCTTAAGGGCCATGTGATCTACCAAAAGGGGGTCCTTTACTAACCATGTATCTCAGAATGATGAGAAAGGACCAAGGAGGATACAACATTCTATGATGACTTCAGACATCATCATGTGTGCCATCCAAGGAGGGCGACCTGGAGTTATTTTCTCAGTCTAGAATATGACACATTTCGGCTGGAAAACATGAAGCAAGATCTGATCAACAGGCATTCTCCTGCATCTGCCATCAGCTTCAAACTCTGCTTTAAAAAGACACAAGTGATTGTTTTTCATGTGATTACGAGCACGCTGGATATGTTTTCATAAAATAGAATGGAAAAACCCAACTCAGCCTTCCTGTATAAATTGTAGGGGTCCATTTTCATTTTCATTCTTATATAAGTGGTCATTTTGATTATTAATTTTCTTTTTGTTCAGGCGATTGTGCGGCCTGAGTGTCCTTCTCTGTTCAATTGCTTGCCTCCACTTGAATACCTGTTCTAGGTTTCTCGAGAGCTACCAGCACTGTCATCATTATTTTGCAAGGCAAATGAACATAAATATAGATTTTCATCATGTATAGAATCAACTAACAATCAGCAAAAGTTATATGAGTTGTGTGGTATAGAAGGGATGCCAGAAGATTAGCCCAGAAAGGACAACTCAGCACTCTGGTGTAACTTCAGTTCTGCCAGTAAGCCACTAGGCTGACTGTGTTGCCTCCTGGAAGCGTCTCTGTTTCCAAGCAGGCAATGACTAATGACGCTTGTCACCTGTTATCTTCCATGAAGTCCTAATAGAGTTTAATGAAAGATAACACCATTTCTCAAAATGGTATAAACCATAGTAGAAATTAAAATAATAGGAAATAATCTCACCCATGTTTTGCCTTGCACAGATTTGCTTGGCTTTGAGAAAGCTGGCTTTATGACAAGATTTGAGATTTTAGTCAAGATAACTACAATTTTAGCTTTTCAATGATGTTAAACATAGCTAAAATTCTAATGTCTGGTATCTCTGTTTCTATTTTGATGAGAACCAATATAAACATTAAAAGATCAAAAGCAACAATAATGTTGAGTGGTAACAGATGCATAGGCTGGTGAAATAGTGTGGGACAGCTGTATGTCTCTCAAACAATTCCAATGTACTAGGTGCTAATAAGACCTCTACAGTATGAAACCTTTACTCTCTATACTATGCATGATATAATGGATGAGGGGTTCGTATGTAGTCTGATTTTCATGAGTTATCTCAAGCCAGTAGGTTTTAAAAATCTCTAGTCACTTACAAGTATAACTCTCTAAATACTTGAGCCCTGAGGAAAAAAGTGAGAGTTCCCAGTGAAATTGAGGGACCATAGTGGATCTTAACAGTGTGATGTGCTTTGGTTAAACACACCGTCTACATGCTCTTAATTTGTGTGTAATGATCTGGTGAATTGTCAATCTGTCCTTTTTAAAGGAGCATGTAAGAAAATAAGATGTACATAAATGTGCACTGGTAAAATATGGCCTCATGTTCTCATTTTGAAACTGTTTTCACTGCACAGTGAGAATAAAAGTATGTGAGAGTTGATCTTTGAAGTCAATGGCGCTAAGGTTAATATGACAGGCAAATATGTGATTCACACACCCTTCCTCAGAAATGAGTAAAATGTGATCAAATGTTTCATTTTCTAAATATTTCATTTTCTTCAATGTATTTTTCACCATCTGGAATTACCTCATTTATTTGTATCCTTTTTTTTTTTTTTTTTGAGATGGAGTCTGACTCTATTGCCCAGGCTGGAGTGCAGTGGTGCAATCTTGGCTTGCTGTAGCCTCTGCCTCCCGGGTTCAAGCTATTCTTGTGCCTCAGCCTCCCGAGTAGCTGGGATTACAGGTGCGCGCCACCACGCCCACCTAATTTTTGTATTTTTAGTAGAGATGGGGTTTCACCATGTTGGCCAGGCTGGTCTCAAACTCCTGACCTCAGGTGATCTGCCCTCCTCAGCCTCCCAAAGTGTTGTGATTATAGGCGTGAGCCACCGCACTGGGCCTATTTGTATACTTTTAAATTATCTGTCTCTTCCATAGTCAAATGAAACTCCCATGAGGCAAGGGGTGCAGTGTCATGGTCACTGCTGAACCTCTGGTGCCTAGAACATTGCCTGGCATATAAATAAGGGCTCAGTAAATACTTATTAAATAAAGGAATTAATATAAGTTAAAAGCATTCAGTGAACTACTTTAGAAGTATATTTATATGTTTCTTGACTCAACTTGACTGACGCCTCCACGGACACAATGTCTACCAGCTTAGCTTAATACCTTATAATGATGGGATCAATACATGTTTAGTGAAGGGGTACAGGTAGAGTACAAAGTTCCAAAAACCATGGTACACTGGTTAGAAACAGTAAATCCTTTGGCATTAGACTTCAGCAACAGATTTGTTTTTTGTTTTTGATGATCTCTTCTTTTTATTTAAGCATGCTTTTTTTATTGTGATATAATTCATACTGGTGAGATGCACAGATCTCAAGTATATACTTGATGTGTTTTGCAAATGAATATACCCAACACCCACATGTAACTTACATGCTGATCAAGATATAGAGCTTTAAATCATTTCAGAAAGTTCCTCTGTACCATTTTCTAGTCAATTCACGTTCCCCCTTGCCTTTAAGCAATTGCTGTTCTGTTTTCCATCACTACTAGAGTAGCTTTGCTTGTTCTTAAACTTTATATTAATAGAAGCACACAATATATATTCTTTCATTTTTGGCTTCTTTTGTGAAATATGTCTGTGAAATTCATCCATGTGGTGCATACCACTACTGTGTTTCTTCTTATTGCTGAGTAATATTCCCTTCTATCAATATATCACAATTTATTCATTCTCCTGTTGATGGACATTTTGATTGTTTCCAGATTGAGACTGTTACAAATAAAGCAATTGTAAATGTTCATATATGAATCTTTGTGGATATATGTCTTAATTTCTCCTGGACAAATATATAGGAGTAGGATTGCTGGGTCACAGTGTAAGTAAGTGGTTTATCTTTTCTTTGTTTTTGTTTTGTTTTGTTTTGTTTTGTTTTTGAGACAGAGTCTCGCTCTGTTGCCCAGGCTGGAGTGCAGTGGTGTGATCTTGGCTCACTGCAAGCTCCACCTCCTGGGTTCACACCATTCTCCTGCCTCAGCCTCCTGAGTAGCTGTGACTACAGGCGGCCGCCACCACACCCGGCTAATTTTTTTGTATTTTTAGTAGAGACGGGGTTTCACTGTGTTAGCCAGGATGGTCTCGAGCTCCTGACCTTGTGGTCCGCCCGCCTCGTCCTTCCAAAGTTCTGGGATTACAGGCGTGATCCACTGCACCCAGTCGTGTACGTTTATCTTTATAAAAACGTGCCAAATAGTTCTTCAAAAGAAGTACTATTTTACACTCCAACCAACAATGTATGAGAGTTCTAGTTATTCCATATAATTGCCAATATTTGGTATTATCAGTCTTTTAAATTTTAGCCATTCTAGTAGGTGTTGTATTCATTGCACTAACTAGCAGTTTCCTGATAATTAATGACATTATCTTTTCATTTTCTTACTAACCATTTGTATATTTTTTGATGAAGTGTCTGTTTAAGACTTTTGCCCATATTTTCTTCGGGTTCTTCTTTTTATTGTTGAGTTATGAGAGTTCCTGATTTATTCTTGATACAGTTCCTCTTTCTGATATTTGATTATGATTATTTTCTGCAAGTCTCTGGCTTGCCTTTTTTTTTATTTTTTAGTGGTATCTTTTAATGAGCAGAGTTTGAAATTTTGGTGAAGTTCCAATTTATTAACTTTTTAATGGTTTCTGCTTTCTGTGTCTTGTCTTAGAAATCTTTGCTAAGCCCAAGGTTGCAAAATTATTTTCCTATGTTTTCTTTTAGAATTCCCGTCCCAAATTAATTTTTGTGCACTTACAAAAAAGATAACAGTTTTATCTACCTTTGTAGAAGCTCTCAGAAATGCTGGGACTCTATCTATGTAACTCTCCTGGGATCCTGTAATGAAAACTATTTTATTAAAACAAAAGTTTATTGCCTAAAATAAAGGTGATTTTGATTGATGAAACATGCATTTAAATAATTAAATTATTATTTAGTCACTTTATTCGAAAACTGAACACAAAGACAATTCTGAATCATTTCTATTAATGGAGACTAACATGGGCACAGATGATGTGTCTTGGATAATTTCATTATTGTTGTTTATAGTTGCAGGCTTTCTCCTTTGTTTTTATTTCTATGACAATTATATTACCTTTCATTTCATGTGTAAGCATCAGTAGTTTAAAGAAGGTAGCCCGGAAACATTTTGGAAGGTGGTCTGATATTGAATTATTTTCCTTCATAATCTAGAACACATAGACTTGACTGAAGATTTTCCTTTTTATTATGTTCTATGTATTGATTGAATTTCAAATCAGTTCATAAAAATTTTCCTTGTTAAAGCTATACAGCATTTGGTTATCTTTAATGTTAAATGAAATCACAGAATAATAGAAAAAGGTTGAGATTAGGATTCTGAGGATCCTTAGTTTGAACGTTGTCTTTCCCTTAACCTGCTTTTATTAACAGTATGAATTTAAGCAAGGTACATAATTCTTTTTTTTTGACATGGAGTCTCGCTCTGTCACCCAGGCTTGAGTGCAGTGGCACAATCTTGGCTCACTGCAAGCTCTGCCTCCCGGGTTCTGGCCATTCTCCTGCCTCAGCCTCCCGAGTAGCTGGGACTACAAGTGCCCGCCACCACACCCAGCTAATTTTTTTTGTATTTTTAGTAGAGATGGGGTTTCACCGTGTTAGCCAGGATGGTCTCCATCTCCTGACCTTGTGATCCACCCGCCTCGTCCTCCCAAAGTGCTGGGATTACAGGAATGAGCCACCAGGCCCAGCTGCAAGGTACATAATTCTTTTGAGCATCAGTTTCCTCAGCTGTAGAATGGGTAATAGCTATGTCGGAATTATTGCAAATACTAAATGCAATCTTGTATGTAAAATACCTGTCAAGTATTTGTTGATTAATAAATATTACACTCTTCCACCACATTTTCTAACTCTTGAGTTATTACCTCTAGGAAAGAATAAATATAATGATACACAAATTCCAGGAACTGAAGTTTTCCGTATCAGCCTATACAGTGTTCCTCAGACTAGGATCTAGAACCTCTTGGAGTCTTCAGACAGATTCTTAAGGGTTAGAGGATTCTCTAGAGGATTTTTAGAAATAGTTTTTTATTGGGATGATCATCTTAAAATATTAAAATAGGCAGGGTCTAAAACATCTGAATATTCACCTTATAACTAAATATTGTCATGAGATTTCAACATGAATCTTCATTGTTTGCCATGCCATCTTACTTAGCTAACAGATTGTCAGTGTGACAGTGTTTGTAACTGGCTGCTATTAGGCGGGCATGTCCTGCTATCTAAATGACAGCAATGGCTAGTGTCTGCCACCATGCTTATGTTGAATTACTTGTTAATGAGGTCAAAATTTCTTTTTCTCAGTGATAATACATACAAGAATAACATTTCCAATGACCAAGACTTTACCAAGAAAACCAAGTTTCTTATGGTTTTAATAAATCAATACTTTCATTTCACATAATGAAAATAACACGACTGACTAATGTACTACTTTGTAGGGGCTAATAAGAAATGAACAGGGACAGATTGAATAATGTAAGTGATATATTTGTACCAGGCGAAAGCCAAATGCTTTCAGACACGTTGTACCAATAAAAGTGTAACAGTAATTTGAATATTCTAAAATGAAAACAGGATGGAAAAATAATAAAATTCAACTTATGATTAACTTTGAAATGGTGTGAATGAGTGACTTTTGGTATCTACTAATCACCTTGTGAAATTCTGCCCTCTCAAGCCTCATTCATATGGCAGATGTGGTGCTGAGCCTGTTTGAAAAACCACAAGCTGTGTGATGCCTGTGTCAGAATTGTTTCACTACAGAAACCTGTCTGCCCTGTTTTGAGAGTGAGAGGGAATTTTTGAGGACACAGACTATCTCCATTAATCTTTTTCTCTTTTGCCAACAATTGTTGCAATATTTGCCAAATAGAGTCCCACACAGATATAAATAAAAAGACAGTGAGAAGCCTTGTGTCTTCTTTATCTTCAATGGTCTAACTACAAATTCAAGACTGAAACTTTAAAAATAGCTTTAAAATAGTCTTAATAATTAAAACTAACTTCAGGTAATCTTTCCTATTCCAAATTTCAGCAAAATCTGATTGGATATATATTTAGTGGTGATTTAAATTATACTGTTATATTAACCCCATGCTGCATTAAATGATACAGCTTTAGGCCGGGCATGGTGGCTCACACCTGTAATCCCAGCACTTTGGGAAGCCAAGGCAGGTGGATCACTTGAGGCCAGGGGTTTGAGACCAGTGTGGCCAACATGGTGAAACCCCGTCTATACTAAAAATACAAAAATCAGCTGGGTGTGGAGGTGCATGCCTGTAATCCTGGCTACCTGGGAGGGTGAGGCATGAGAATTGCTGGAGGCTGGGAGGCGGAGGTTGCGGTGAGCCTGGGCAACACAGCAAGACTGTCTCCAAAAAAAAGAGATATGGCTAATATGTTGGCAAACTCAAACTGCATTATCTTCTGCAATACATTAATAAATTAATGCTGTTAATTTGAATTTTATTGATTTGTACTTTCATGTCGAATTTGTAAATCTGCTTTTGTTTTAGAGCTGTGTAACAGCTATAGGAGAAAGGAGTTTATGCTGTTTTGTGTTTATATTTATTTAAAGAACAATAGAAGGAATTTAAGTAACAGTGGAGATCTTGGGAGAATTCTGTGCTTTAAAAGAGGACATACATAAATCACCTGTGAGAAATTCTGTTTTAGCTCTTTTAACATTACATTGTTCAGTAATGCCCTAACTCTAAAATTAAGTTTTCTTATTATTTCTGTACACATCTGAGCATTTAAAACAACTTACTTTATTTATTTTTTTTTTTTTAGTGGCAGGGTTCTCACTCTGTCACCCAGGCTGGAGTGTAGCAGTTTGATCATAGTTCACTGCAGCGTTGAATTCCTGGGCTAAAGCTATCCTCAGCCTCACAAATAGCTAGGACTATAGGAGCATGCCACTGGGCCGAGTGTGTGTATATATATATATATGCATGCCCAGTATACAGAGTCCCACACAGATATAAATAAAACACAATGAGAAGCCTTGTTTCTTCTTTATCTCCAATGGTCTAACTATAAATTCAAGACTGAAAGTTTAAAAATAGCTTAAAAATCGTGTTAATAATTAAACTAACTTTAGGTAATCTTCAGGTATATACACCCAGTATATACCTCTATACAAATATATAGATATACTGGGTGTATATTTATATATATATAGAGAGAGGTATATACTGGGTGTATATACCTGAAGATATATATATCTAGATATAAATATAGATATGTCTAGATATATATTTTATAGATATATCTATATTTATATCTAGATATATATAAAATATATATTTATATATCTAGATATATATCTAGCTATAAATATCTAGATATATATCTAGCTATAAATATATATAATATGTATCTAGATATAAATATATAATCTAGATATATATATCTAGATTATATATAAATATATAAATATATCTGTATAAAATATAATATATATTTGTATTTATTTCTATCTATCTATCTATCTATATAGATAGATATAGATATAGCTATATATAGAGAGAGATAGGGAGGCTGGGGTCTCACTAAGTTTCCCAGGTGGTTTTGAACACTTGGTCTCAAGGGGTCTTCCCACCTTGGCCTCACAAAACTCTGGGACCTCACCAGGCCTACGACCATTTATAAAGATTTTTCTCCCCTAATGGATTTATCTCCTGCCAACCTTCAAACATTTCTTTTTCTTGTATGTGCTAAGTCTTTTCCCACTTTTCAGAATGGAAAGAGTTTATAAGTCGTCATCTGGGAATGCAGCCTAACTCTGAAGGCGCATATAGCTTGTAGGGACATCAAGTTCATGACCCTGTAACTCTGATCGTCCTTCTAACTATAGATTCTTCTAACCATGTATCCTTTAATAAACTGATTAGTTGTAAGGTTTTTAAGAGAGAACATGAAAGAATTTTGATATACTTCTACAATCATAAAATTGAACATCAATTTACTGCTTCCTAGCTTTGAAGTCACAAAGCAGAAATAGCTTATTGGAAAGACAGGGCGTTAGAAGAAATATATCAAAGCACATTTTATTTGTAATTGGAAAATTTAACTCAACAGGAATGTCGTTTTTGCCTAATTTTTTTGAGGGGGAAAGAACAGTGTTTCTATTACTTTTCAAAAGCTGTGAAAGAAAAGAATTATAACCTCAAACACAGAAAAACATAGGGTTAGCAATAATTCCTGTGGGCTTAACTTTCTGTTCCTCTTTCTGTTTTTGGCTCAGCAATACCAGAAACTCGTATATGATTTCACACTATTTTCTTTTGGTACATCAGAAAATTGGATACCAATTAAAATTTTTCTCAATTACTGATTTTTAGTAGGTTCTTACTTCAAAATATTGTTACAGGAAGGGGTAAAACGACCACAGGAAGGAGAAAAAGCAAAACTCCAGTTATTGGTAAATGTGCCATATTCCTCATTCAACGTGCCGTTTTAACGCAACACAGGCAAACATTTGCCCTTTACTTTCTTCAATATATGAAATACTGTAACCAAATAAATACCAGAGGCTTTGATCTTTGGCCCTCATCTCACAACGCTCAGGGATATGACTTGAACAGTACGATTTTTGCTGTAGTTAAAAATCAGAATATTTAACACTAACAGTATTTCTTACGAGTAGGTCTGTCCCGTACTTTTGTATCCTAACAGGGTTAGGATGAGAGTGCAGGGAGGTATAAGGACGTACAAGAATGCTTCTCCAGTTCAACTCTAAGTGAACGATGTAATTCCTCAAATCCACCTCTCAGCCTGTTTTTCAGCGTTCCTGTGTTTGGCTGCCAGGGGCGAAAGTAGCGGTCGAGGGAAGACACCTGTGAAGGGGCGTGGCTACTCGCCCGGGTTCCTCCGTCCCTGACCCCAGAGGCGCCTGCGCAGAATGGACAGAGGCGCTGCTGTACGAGAGGGGTGTGGCCGCCCTGTCCAAGGTCCTCAGCCCCCGACCCGACGGGCGCCTATGCACACCGGCCGGAGATAGTCACGCAGATGCCAGTGGAGTCCACCGCAACTTAGAATGTAGTGCCGACGGCTCCAGAACTGAGTGGCCGAATCGTTGCAAGGACTCTCCCGGAGGGTTGAACTTTGGGTTCACTTCAGCAAAGTCTGTTGGCACAAGGCCCCAATGTCACCGGCGAAATATCGGTGAAAACTTCCATGTTTGGGGGAAGACCCCTGCCCGACCTAGTGACCTAGCGGGCCAACCGCCTCCCCAGCTCTCAGAGAGACTTCGGGGAGACGCCAAGCGCTCCAGGCCGGCCCTGTCCTCTGCGCTCCACTGCTGCCGCACGGACTGCCAGACTCCCGGCATGCTCTGCGGACTGAAGTCCGCGGCACGAGAAATCAAAGCCCCGGGGCCTGGGTCCCACGCGGGGTCCCTTACCCAGGGTGCCCCGGGCGCTCATTTGCATGTCCCACCCAACAGGTAAACCTGACAGATCGGTCGCGGCCAGATACGGCCTGGCGGTCAGAGCACCAATCTTACGAGCCTTGTGATGAGTTCCGTTACATGAAATTCTCCTAAAGGCTCCAAGATGGACAGGAAAGCGCTCGATTAGGTTACCGTAAGGAAAACAAATGAGAAACTCCCGTGCCTTATAAGACCTGGGGACGGACTTATTTGCGTGCTCGCTTCGGCAGCACATATACTAAAATTGGAACGATACAGAGAAGATTAGCATGGCCCCTGCGCAAGGATGACACGCAAATTCGTGAAGCGTTCCATATTTTGCGCGGTTCAACGAAGGTCGTTGGGCAAGATACGGTGGTGTTCCTAGAGGTTGTTCAAGATCTCTCGGGGCCTGCATTTTCCTGCTCGCGAGCTTGGCCCAGTAGACACCTACGATGCTGTCCGGGCCTCCCACCAGTCCTGTCGCACAGTGGGCACACTTCCTCGACAGCCTCCATCTTCGAGGCGCCTAGTTACGTTACTATTAAGTTACCTAGGTGATCCTCGTATCTGCGTCCAAATACTTGTTTTCATTGATTAAAATATGCTTTCAGGCTGGGCAATGAACATTCCTCCTAATCAAATTTCCCATCACAGAATCTGTCCGATTTATGTAAATCGGCCCTTTCTAAGTACTTCTTAGAGGATACATGAAAACAGAAGACTCGTGAAAACAGATCCAGATGGGCTTGCTACTTGTGGCCAGTATTCACATGGGTCCTGGAGCTCTTGAATCTATAGGCAAAGGCCAACATTGATTTCCAATAATACCAGCCCTTAGTAACATTCCTTTCCTTTGTGCAGCTCGCAGTCTAAGAGAAAGGGTGTAAGCACTCAGGTCTAAGATGATGGAGAATGGCACAAAGTAGGCGCAAGAAATGAGCGCTAATGTTTCCTTCCTTTAGTAGAGATTTATTAGGTTAGGAAAGATTTAGTAAGGATTTATTGAACAATTCATATGCCAGTTGGTCTTCTACTGAACAAAAGCCAAACAAGCTGGGGCTCTGGAGTTTGTGTTGTTTGGTGAGACAAGACCGTAAGTCTATTTCAGAATGAAAAGTTCAATGAAGAAGGCACAAGGTGACCTTTTTCCATTTCCAAAATGCGTATTAACGATCTATTCGCACACAACATTCCTCGGGTGACTCTGCTTCGTTCCCACTTCATAGATTTCACAAATTTTTTGTAATGAAAACCACTGTTTCGTCATTGGGTGCCACACGTTTTCGCTTAGATTCACACTGTTTCCTTAGTACTAATTAGCAGATACTGAAATGATCTTGACAGACTGCGCAAAATATGGAACGCTTCACGAATTTGCGTGTCATCCTTGCGCAGGGGCCATGCTAATCTTCTCTGTATCGTTCCAATTTTAGTATATGTGCTGCCGAAGCGAGCACGTTGAGAAGAAGTCACCCACAGGCCTTATAAGGCACGGGAGTCTTTCACCTATTCTACTTACGGTGACCGAACCGCGCCCTTTCCTGTCCATCTTGGAGCCTTTGGGAGAATTTCATGCAACGGAACTCATCACAAGGCTCGTATGTTTGGTGCTCTGACCGCCAGGTCGTACCTGGCCGCGATGACCTGTCAGGTTTACCTGTTGGGTGGGACATGCAAATGAGCGCCCGGGGCACCCTGGGTAAAGGGCCCCGCGTAGGACCCAGGCCGGGGGCTTTGAGTTCTCGTGCCGCGGAGCTCAGCCCGCGGAGCATGCCGGGAGCTGCCAATGCTGCGGCCGCCTCTGAGCGCGCGGCGGGGTCCAGCGCCCAGGCGAGCTGGAGACGCCCCGATAACGAGGCTGCTGCGGCACCGAGAGGGCCGGCCCGGGGTCGGCGCGCACCTTTAGAACAGGTCGTTTCACCATTAACTTCCTCTGATGAGTAATTTTTTTTAAAAAAGTAATTAACCGACCATTATCACACCTAGAAAAGTTAAGGTAATTCCTTCATGGCACCTAATATTCAGTCTACTTTCAAATTTCCTTATTTCAGAAATTCCTTATTACAGTCGAATTGTCATAGAGATCCAAACAAGGTCCCAGGTTGTATTCGGTTGCTACGACCCTGGGTGTCTATTGTCCTCTAATTGCCCTCGCCTCGTTTTTCTTCACGTCATTCGTATACTGAGGGATATTTGCCCTGTGGATTGTCGCAGATCTTGGGATTTGGCCCATTACTTACTGATGGTGTCGTTTAACTTGTTTCTCTAGCCTCCATGTTTCTTGAAAATTTATGGTTAGGGGTAATGGACTCATTAGATTCTGGTTGTGTTGTGTTTTGTTTTGACGCCCGCACGGCTTCAAACACAGTGGTAGGGTGTGTGCTTACTGCACCTCAGCAAGAGTAGTGTATCCGCTGGCTGTCCCCGTGTGAGTGATGCCTACCCCTGACCTGTGGGTGCAGGTGCGGTCAGCCGTCTGACCCCTCACACTATAAAGTCTCCCAGAAATCTTTCCTTTAATGATTTTAGGATACACCCATGAACAAGCCAAGTAGAAGGTCTGGTCTGGTGGTTTGCTTGCTTTTTGTTTTGTTTTGAGGACACGTTGTAATTGTACATATTTATGGGGTGCAATTTGATGTTTCGATACATATCTATGTTGTATAACGATCCAATCAAGGTAGTGTATCCACCACCTCATGCATTTATCCTTTCTCTGTGGTGAGAACATTCAGTAGCCTCTCTTCTATTTTGTGGTATACAAAATTTTACTGTTAACCATTTTCACCCTACCGTGCAATAGAGCATCAGAATTTTTTCCCTCTTCTTTAATTGTATCTTTGTACCCATTAACCAATGTTTATAAACAAACATTGTGAGTTTGTGAGTTATAAGTTTACTTGTGAGTTATAAGGATTTAACCCCTGGCCTGTGGTGGCCAAGTTCTGTATCCCATGGAAGAGAATTGAGAGAATAATAGGATCAGGGAAAGAAATTAGGAAAGAGTGTTGATGTCATTTGAGTCTCTGGATCATTTGATCCCATGAGCAGGTGCTTTCCATAGTTGTTTGGTTACTCGTTCTAACAAATTACTTTTATTAGGCTAGATTAAAGTTGTTTTTGCCAAATGCAAATATGAGATCTTAAACATTTGTGAGTTTAGCATGTCTTCACACTGCACACTTGCAACATTAAAACATTATTGGCTTCTGCTAAACTCAAAAATATTTAAGATGCCGTATTTGCATTTTGACAAAAACAACTCTAGTGTTAGTACCCGTGGTTAAGCATATATGAATTTCCAATCACGTTTTTTTTTAGGAGGAAATAGTGTTCTTTATCACATCCTTATAGGAAAGTTATGAGGTAGGTGGCTATTTAATTAAATAATATTTTGTATGATTTGACTCATTTGAGAACGATGAGTCTTTTTTTTTTTGAGACGGAGTCTCACTCTGGCAACCAGGCTGGAGTGCAGTGGTGCGATCTCGGCTCACTTCAACCTCCGCCTCCCAGGTTCAAGTGATTCTCCTGCCTCGGCTTCCCAATTAGCTGGGACTACAGGCGTGCGCCACCACGCCCCGGCTATGTATTTTTAGTAGAGACGGGGTTTCGCCGTGTTGGCCAGGCTGGTCTCAAACTCCTGACCTCAGGTGATCCACCTGCCTCAGCTTCCCAAAGTGCTGGGATTACAGGCGTGAGCCACCGCACTCCCCCCACCACCCTCACGATGAGTCTTACTTAATAGGAATTATTAACAAATTGGCTTTAAGAAATTTATTTAAAGGATTTTTTCAGTGAGACAAATGTTTTATTTTTATATTCTGGAACATTTGAACTCATCAATAAACATAATAATTTTAACGATTTACATTAACTGAAATAAAACAACTGCCTTTCCTTTGTGACATGTAAAACTATGGTGCATTTCGCAATCAATGACATTTTAGATCCAAAGAGATGTATCTTATTTTTTGGAAGAGGAAACTGAGGCTGATATAAGTGTAGTGACCTCCCTGGGCAAGATTGGCCACTGGTCCTACCATCTTCTGATGCCGAATTCATTGCTGTTTTCACTGCACCATTTGTAGTATTACTAGGTCATACTATTTGCAGTAAACTGCAAAGAAAAAGATAAAGACCTCAAGCCTGCCATTTTACAATTATATTTCTGAGTTCTGCTCATTTGACTGCAGAACAAGACAGCACACACTAAGTGGAAAGCTGACCTTGTTCTTTTTACTCACAGAAAGGGCACATTTGGTGATGTGACACAATTGAAAGTCAAAAACCACAGGTCATTTCCTCTTCAGGAATTTTGCTCTAATTAAAAAGAAGAAGAAACTCATCCTAAATCCTCACATCCTCTTTAGCAAGGAACAGATGAGTCATTTAGAACCACAGCATCAATGACCGGCGTCACCTGGTGTGAAATTGGTGAACTCCAGGTGGGAAACAAAGGTTATCAACCTGGGCTGCAGGTCGCAATCACAAGAGCTTTTAAAAATACGAGTGACTGAGTCCTCCCCTGGAGATTCTGACTTTGTTATTGTTGTTTTTAGACAGGGTCTTCACTATGTTGCTTAGGCTGATCTGGAACTCCTGGGTTCAAATGATCCTTCTGCCTCAGCCTCTCAAGTAGCTGGGTTTACAGGTGCACACCACTGTGCCTGGAAAGAGATTCTGATTTAATTGTCCTGAGTACGGCCGGGGTGTCTGTGAGATATCTTTCTGCATTCTCCCTCTGCCTCTCTCTTTCTCTCCACGCCTCCTGTGAGCTCTCAGCCTTTATAAGATCTTCTTTGGGCTTGTCAGCACCCTTCTTTCTTTCCTCTCTTCTCCTTTCTTTTCCATCAGACACACTACATCAGGTGAAGCTTGTTTCGAGTTCCCCACCAGGCCCCTTTCTTTGCTACTGGCTTCCTTTTATGGCCATACTTCCTTCCCTCATAATGCACCCACTGGCTCCCCAAGACTCCTCCTAAATGTCCCACTTACAATTGTAAGGATATTTAAAGACTCATCAGTCTGGGTTTTATTTCTTCAGGGCTCTGCTAACTAACTCCACAAACTAAAATATACTAGAACAGTATTTCTCAAGCTTTCTTAGTGATAGATTCCCAGACCCAACTTCTTACAGTTTCCAGAGGATTGACTTATGCCACTGTATTCAGAGAATCACTGGCATATCACCCATATGACCTATCTGTGTTTTAATGGCTACTTTTAATGAAATGAGAAAGTCACTCTGGTAAAGCTGATGTGAGATATTTTGGTGCTTGGAGCCCTTTCATGGCAACCAGTTCCCTAATGTGTAGAAGATGTGTAAACCTCATGTTCTGTTTTATGGTAGGGAAAAAACCATGTCAGAGAGGAACTTCTTAATTTCTTGTAATTACTACAAATTTAACTCTATATACACTCATCCACTTTTCTGAAATGTTATTTCAGAAAAATGTTATTTACAAATAGATGTTATTTGTATGGAAAAAACATTTGTGCCCAGGTAGAAAACTGGATTGTCTGGAAAATACAAAATCTGATTCACATTCTATGGAAGCTATTTTACAACTCTGTAGATTGTAGATAACTGATGGCAGTTAATAATTTCTGTTTATAGCTGTGCAAATTCTCTCCTGACTGGAAGTTCAATTGACTTCTCTTCACCACTATGGAAGAACCCAGTTTTGCTTCCATTTGCACATTCAACCTTCCTTTATTCCACATAATTTTTTTATTTCTCTTTTGAACTAGTTGTAACGTCTCCTGCGTTTCCGCATTGATTCGTGATAAAATCTTTAACGTGTGTTCATTTTTTATGTGTATGAGAGGCATGATTTTATCCACTTTTTTAAAAAAATTGTCTTTTTAAAAGTTTGGAGGTCTTCCAATGAGTTGTCTATTGGATTCATCTTAACAAAACCAGATATACGTTTCACCAGACTAGCTTGTGGGCTGCTTAAAGCCCAAACACATTTTTTTCTTGGCTGCCAAATGACAATAGAACTTTGGTGACTCTGTTTTTCTAATTTTAATATTTTTCTCTATTAAGTTTGTGATTTGTCTCTGTTTTGCTTCCAGCCAGCCAGTGTGTCTGCTGTACTGGGTGGAAACAATGATTGGGAATTTGGTGTCATGGTCTAATCATTTGGTAAGCTCTGTGAATGGATTAATATTTATAGAGATCTAGTCTCTGTTGGGTGACAGACTATAGAGAAACTAGTTTATTAGTCTTGTTTATACACCTTTTGTCCATTTTGGGCTCAAATCAATTAAGAATATTGTGCCCATCAAGAAGGGGAACAGCTCTTTGATATCTGAATTAGTAATTTTTTTTGTGCTTCCGTGTTTATTCTTGACCCGTGAGTGAAATTTTAGAATTAAAGCTATAAACTCTATGTCTGCATGTTTGTAATTCAGAAAGGTCTTTATCTCTCATTATATGAATGTGTAATGCTTTCCTAAATCCAGAGGGTGTTAACAACTTAGATTATGAAATCTCCTACATTAAAGGAGTCCGGTTCTGATTGATTTAAGACAAAGGTCCCCAGCCCCCAGGCAATGGACTGGTACCTGTCTGTGACCTGTTCGGAACCCGGCCGCACAGCAGGAGGTGAGCAGAGGGCATGCGAGCATTGCCTCCTGGTAGATCAGCAGCAGCATTAGATTCTCATAGGTGTACAAACCCTATTGTGAACTGTGATTGTGAGGGATCTAGGTTGCACCTTCCTTATGGGAATCTAATGCCTGATGATCTGAGGTGGAACAGTTTCATCCCCAAACCGTCTATCCCGCCAACCCCAGGGAAAATTTGTCTTCCAGGAAACCAGTCCCCGGTGCCAAAAAAAGTTGGAGACTGCTGGTTTAAGAGATGAATAAATGCTTACATAAGCATAGTATGCCAATAATGCCCAGAAAATAAGAAATGGAATTTCTAAAAATTTCAATGTGCTAGATTTAAAAAGTATTCCAAAAGCAACCAGCTTAGGAACATTTTAAGAATTCAAATTCACATAATTTAGGCAAATCTTTGGTAAACTAGACTGTTGTATTAATTTGGTTTAGTAAAAACAGCTGTGTCTTCTTTGGCTTATCAGTGTTATATATAAGTGTAGATTTTTATTGTGCCTGGGTATGTTTTTCTAAGTGTATGCAGGTTTACTGATCAAATAAGCTTGCATTACTTCTACTTAATGCTTGCTTATGAAAAATGTAAATTTGCGTTTGACCAAGTTGCATACTTGTTTTGGTGAACTTTTCGTTAGTCATTGGTCTGTAGCATGTCAGATTGAAGATAAGTTTCCGAGATCTATGTAAATTAAAGTCTTGGATCGGTTTTAAATTGGGCTAGTTAATGGAAAAATCACTGCATATCTAGATAATTTCTAAGTAACAATTAAAATATTAGTTATTAAGCATAATTATAGCTTTACTTTTGCTTTTTATTTTTATGTGCTATAGACAGGCTATCTCTTTGGGTCATATTAAGGAACGTGTTTATTTTTGCCACTTTGAGAAGTTGTATTAGGGATATTAGCCACTGTAGAAAGTTGTGTTATGCATATTGACGACCTCTGCTAATCTGATAAAATGCTGGGTTGTGACAGTTCACAATTATCCAGCCCCCCACTTTTCTCTGCAAAATAGAAGTTACTTTGGTTAAAAGTGATAGTTACATGGTTGACTACACTTAGAAACAGCTATTTCAAAGAAATATAACTCTGTATGTGCTTCTGTTTTTTTCCAAGGAAAACAGTAGTTTTGTCCTAAAGTAGCAGCATGAAATTTTTCATATTACCTTATTTTCTTTTAATCTTTGTAGTATAGTATATGTAGTGTAGTCTCTTTCATTGCTGATGTTGGTATTTTGTATTTTCTCTCTTATTTTCTTGATCCATCTGGCCAGAAATTTATCAGTTTTATTACATTTTTTGAAAAACCAGTTTTTGGGTTTTTTGGAAACCCAAAATAGAATTGTTCATTTTCTGTTGATTTCTGCCTTTTATTATTTCCTCCCTTTTGTTTACTCTTGGTTTAATTGCCTCTTCTTTCTCTAGTTTCTCATGGTAGAAGTTTAGATTGTTAATTTTAGACCTTTTTTCTTTCCTAATACAAACATTTAAAGCCATACATTTCTTTCTAGGCACTACTTTAGCTAAATCCTACAAATTTTATTGTACTGTGTTTATATTTTTAAATATTTTTCTTTGTCACATGGGTTATTTAGCCAACTTAGTTGATAATGTTCAAATCATGCATATCCTTATTTTCTGTATATCTTTCATCAGTTATTCAAAGAGGACTGTTTAAATTTCCAGCTGTAATTCCAGAGTTCTCAATCTGACCTTTCAGTTCTGACATTTTTTTCTTCATGTATTTTGAAGTTCTCCTGTTACATACGTATTTAGGATTGCTGTGTCTTCTTGATGAATTGATTCTGTTATCATTATGAAATGATCCTCAACATTCACAACTACTAAGATTATTCAAATGGATTTTCAATGATTTATAAAAACAGATTTAAAGCAGAAACACAACTTGCATTTTGCCAAGTCATATTCCCTTTATCCTGCTTTACTTTTTTCGTGGCAGCTCTTTCCATCACACACGTATTTATTTCTTTGCTTGCTTTCTGTCTTCCCCAACTAGAATAACATTTCCAAAGAGCAAGACTTCATCTGTTCTATTTATTGCTGTATTCCAACTGTCTACAACAATGCCTGCCACAAAGTCTGACCTCAATACTTTCTGAATGAAATAATGTATAATAAAGTCACACAACTGTAACAACATCTTTCCATGACTCTACCTCACTTACTTCATGGTGAGACAGGGTTTGCTCACATGGGGGCGATTTCAGAAATAACTTCTACACCGTGATGTCTTCTCATGCTGCTCTTCAGCGCAATCAGTATCACAAAACAATGTTGTCTTGGGTTCTCAGGGTCTTAGGAAGCTATTAATGAGATTATTCTTTGAAATTAACTTTTTTTTTTTTTTTTTGAGACGAAGTCTTGCTCTGTCACCCAGGCTGAAGTGCAGTGGTGTGATCTCAGCTAACTGCAAGCTCCGCCTCCCAGGTTCATGCCATTCTCCTGCCTCAGCCTCCCGAGTAGCTGGGACTAAAGGCGCCCACCACCACACCTGGCTAATTTTTTTGTATTTTTAGTAGAGACAGGGTTTCACCGTGTTAGCCAGGATGGTATTGATCTCCTGACCTCATGATCCGCCTGCCTCGGCCTCCCAAAGTGCTGGGATTACAGGCATGAGTCACCACGCCTGGCCTGTAATTAACTTTTTAATCTTAGCCACTTCTACTCTAGCTAGGTTTAACCTGAATCATTCTAGAACAGTGGGTCTGAGTGACACACACCCCTGGACTCCTATTATGAGCCTCCACTCACTTCTTCCCCTGGTGGCTGTTCAGGCCCTCCTACATGATCGCCTCTATGGGCCAGCCTCACTGCTTCTAGGAATGGCTCTGTATATTCCTGGGTTGTAAAGGTGGGTAGGAGTTAATTTCTCATGCTAGGACCCAAGGTGCATAAAGCCTTTACATTTCACATCTCTTTATTGACGCTGTGATTTCACTCCCCCCATCAACTCTGTTCATTCACACAGCTCATGAAGGTTTTTGTTTACCAAGAAGTCTAAGTTTCAATCTACCAAAAAAACTGAGGCTGCCCCTGTTGTCATATTTGATAGTGTTAATTGCAAGTAAAACACTTATTAATCAAATCTTCCTGTCCAATTATTTTTACAGAGTGAAAAAAATTTCTTTTTAATTAATTGTGTGTTTTGGGTGTCATGGAACGATATTTTGGTCTGATGGTCAGAATTCAAACCCCAGTCCCAGCCCTTGAACAACCCACATTCTCTTATGAAATGGGGATAATAACTACCCTGCTTGCCTTTTAGGGTTGACAGAAAGATCTGTGAGAAACGCTTGTGCCTTTACATTGCAAAGCATAGCAGGTGTGTAAATTGCTGTTGTTGCGGTGAGAAACTTTTCAGTTTTAAGGTTTGCGGTGATTGGAATTTTTTAAATTTATTTTTTATTTTAGTTTTTTTTTTTTTTTTTGAGATGGAGTCTCGCTCTGTCTCCAGGTTGGAGTGCAGTGGCACGATCTTGGCTCACTGCAACCTCCGCCTATTGGGTTCAAGCAATTCTCCTGCCTCACCCTTCCGAGTAGCTGGGACTACAGGCACATGCCACCACACCCAGCTAATTTTTGTATTTTTAGTAGAGATGGGGTTTTACCATGTTGGCCAGGATGGTCTCATCTCTTGACCTTGTGATCTGCCCACCTCGGCCTCCCAAAGTGCTGGGATGACAGGTGTGAGCCACCATGCCCGGCCGGATTTTTATAATTCATTAATTCAAAAACATTTGGGCATTTGCATCAGAGACCTTCACTACATCCTGAAGAGCACTTGCCTACAATTCTTAAGCTGAGGAATACAACCCAGTAGTCAGCTGTTATCTTGGAAATTATGACCAGTTAAAAACAACAACATTGGAAAGGAAACGGTGTAACTTTAAGGGAAAGCAAACTTAGGGCCAGTCACCTTCCCTGCCACCCAAAGCTTAGAATATTAGGTATTATCTGTTTAACATGTTTCTTAATTTTTTTAACACAAACGTTTTGTACATTTGGGTCCTGTTTATTAAATACATGATGAAAATGAGAGAGGTAAGATCTGCTGTCTCTTTGAGGAAATTAAGACTTAAATGTTTTACTACTTGTACCTACTATTAGCCAATTGATCTTTGTTATTGCCTAGAGTGAGTATCAGCAGGCTCAAACTGTATTCTTAGTCAGCTGTTAAGGTTCCAGTATAATCACCTAGTACTTCAGAATGGGGGGGGTGGGGCAAAACCCAACATTCAACTATCCAATGATGCTTCCACTAGAAACGTCCTCATTCTTGTGATGTATAATCCTGGTTCATGCTAAGTTTATAAACTTCTTGTTTTCTGTATCCCTCACTGGCTGCTCTATCCATAACCCATAACCCATAACCACTGAGACCCCCAGCCTTAGTGCTTGGATCCTGCTTCCACTTCAATAACCTTGGGTAAGCTTAGCCACTTGGGATTTGGTATACAGAGTGTGCATATGTGCATCTCTGGTTCAATAGGGGATACAGGCCAGTGTGCTCAGTATGTCCCTTCTGTGAACTCATATGATCCAGATTCCTGGGTCCCAGCACTGGGAACTGTGATTTAGTAGGTCTGGAGAGGAGCCCTGGAATCTGTATTTGAACAGGCACCCAGGGGATTCTGATGCAGGGCTCTGTGGGCTAGCTACCCTTTGTAAATCACTGTGTTCTCCAATTGTTGGCCTGGTTTTTAATCTTTCCTTTTTTTTTTTTTTTTTTTTTAATCTTACATTCCAGGAGCCTAAAACTAACTAACCTTCCACAAGTCAATACAGGTTTCTTTTCCCTGTCACCTTGCCTGGACCAAAGTTTTGAAAATGTAGTCATCTTCTTCCTCCTCTATTCTGCCTTCCTCCTTTCTTCTTGGGCCTCCTCCTCCTCTCTCATGGAGTTATTCACAAAGTCCAGTTGATTCCTCCTCTCCAGGCTTCATTCACATTACATCTCATTCTCTTGGAGCTCTAAGCCCCCACCCACACTGCCTCATACCTGAACTATCCAAAAGTCTTCTAGCTTTAAGGCTGGGCGTGGTGGCTCATGCCTGTGGATTCTAGCACTTTGGGAGGCCAAGGTGGGCAGATTGCTTGAGCTCAGGAGTTGGAGACCAGCCTGGGCAACATGGTGAAATCCCATCTTTACTAAAATACAAAAAATTAGCCAGGCCTGATGACGCACACCTGTATAATCCCACCTACTCAGGAGGCTGAGGCATAAGAATTGCTTGAACCCGGGAGGTGGGGGTTGCAGTGAATTGAGAATGTGCCACTGCACTCCAGCCTGGGTGACAGAGTGAGACTGTGTCTCAAAAAAAAAAAAAAAGAACCACCACCCAAAACAGAAGTCTTCTAGCTTCTCTCCTCTTCCTGTAATCCCTTTTGTGCATAATTGTCTGCCATTTGTACAAACACCATTTTCACCATGTCACTCATCTCTTTAAGAAACAGTAGTGATTCTCTGCCTTCCACATTAGAATTTTCTTTTCTATCAACTGCACTCCTCATTACTCCAAAATATTGCCTACAGTCCATTATTTACACACAATTTCTTTACTCTTGCCTTTGATGATATATTCTCAAAATATATTCATTAGAAATTTCAATGGTCACAGAACTTACTTTGGTAAAGGAGATTTTGCTACATTGACTACATTATTATAAATCCCTTCCCATAAGCAATGGCTAGAGTTGCTTATGGGAAGGGAAATCAAATGGACTGATGCTGATTAGAGGAGGAACTTCCATTCTTCTATTTTGTCACAGAGTTAAACTGCCCTTTGATGGTTTCCTTAGACTAAATTAGATTTATTTTGCTCAATGAACTTTGACCTTGAGCTTTTTTTATTTTTTTTTTATTTTATTATTTTTTTTTTTTTTTGATACCGAGTCTCTCTCTCTCGTTACCCAGGCGGGAGTGCAATGGCACAATCTCGGCTCACCGCAACCTTCACCTCCCGGGTTCAAGCGATTCTTCTGCCTCAGTCTCCTGAGTACTGGGATTACAGGCAACCGCCACCACACTCAGCTAATTTTTGTATTTTTAGTAGAGACAGGGTTTCACCATATTGGCCAGGCTGAGACCTTGAACTTTTTTTCCCTCGCTCTGTCGCCCAGGCTGGAGTTCAGTGGCACCATCTCGGCTCACTGCAAGCTCCGCCTCCCGGGTTCACGCCATTCTCCTGCCTCAGCCTCCCTAGTAGCTGGGACTACAGGCGCCCGCCACCATGCCTGGCTAATTTTTTATATTTTTAGTAGAGACGGGGTTTCACCGTGTTAGCCAGGATGGTCTCGATCTCCTGACCTCGTGATCGGCCCGCCTCGGCCTCCCAAAGTGCTGGGATTACAGGCGTGAGCCACTGAGCCCGGCTGGACCTTGAATTTTTTTTATTTTCATTTTTATTTTTATTTTTTTTTTTTGAGGTGGAGTCTCGCTCTGTAGCCCAGGCTGGAGTGCAGTGGCGCCATCTCGGCTCACTGCAAGCTCCGCCTCCCGGGTTCAAGCCATTCTCCTGCCTCAGCCTCCCGAGTAGCTGGGACTACAGGCGCCCGCCACCATGCCCTACTAATTTTTTATATTTTTAGTAGAGACGGGGTTTCACCGTGTTAGCCAGGATGGTCTCGATTTCCTGACCTCGTGATCCGCTGCCTCGGCCTCCCAAAGTACTAGGATTACAGGCGTGAGCCACCCCGCCCGGTCTGGACCTTGAACTTTTAAAGGGAATGGAGTACCTTTTAATACATTGTCTGTTGATAAAATTTCCCTAAAGCTGGATGGCCAACATTTTGGGTCAATATATAGATTGTTTTGAACAACTTAAAAAATATTACCTGTTTTGAGCCGTTCTTATTTAGTTAAACTGAATCTGTAATAATAAGACAAAGCTTTTACCCATTTTGAATTTTAGGAACAATTATTCAGAAATTCAGGAGAGATACCTGATCACTGTTACAACAGATGTTTTGTTCTTCTTATTCCAGTCCTTTTATATCCCTGGTAGCTATGGAGAAGCTCGTGTTGGAAACGATTTAAATACTTGGTAAATCAACATATGTTTCTTTTCAGAGCACTTATCATTGAGATTGACTGCTGTTCCCCACCTGGAGAAAGACAGTTCTTAACCTTTTTTTTTTTAATTTTTCAATCATAGCTGCTATGGTTTGAATGTGTCCCTTCCACTTCCAAAATTCAAATGTTGAAACTTAATGGCTAATGTAATGCTGTTAAGAGGTGAGACATTTAAGAGGTGATTAGGTCAGGAGGGCTCCATCCCTTGTGAATGGGATTAGTGCCTTTATAAAAAGGCTTAAAGGAGGGCTTAATGTTGTGCCATGTGAGGACACAACATTCAAGGTGCCATCTTGGAAGCAGAGATCAGACCATACCAGACAACTGAACCTGCTGATGCCTTGATCTTAGACTTTCCAGCCTCCAGAACGGTGACAGAATACATTTCTCTTCTTTATAGATTACTCAGTCTTAGGTATTTTGTTATAGCAGCGCAAATCATACTGAGACAATAGCATAACACCCCTAAGGTATGCCCCTCTTCCACAATCAAAGAGATATACTGAATCAGTTGTTCTCAAAGGATCTCTCACTTTTCTTCTCTCTGGATAAGGTGGGCAGTGTATGTGTTACTTGAACAAGCCCCTCGGGTGGTTCTGAAACCCTCACCTGTTCTCTCACAGCTTTCAAATCTTTTAACTGCTGCTTCTTTAACCAAAATTTATTGGTTTATCAGTTTCTGAAAGATTTGTGGTAAGATTTGCCTCTTTATTTATAGTTCTGAAAAAATTTTCATTGTAACTCTTATTTTTGCTTTATGTAATGAGGCACTTATAAGTTCAAGATTGTTATATTTTGTGGGTATATCTTTTTAATTTTATTTTTATGTAGTTTACTTTTTTAATGTAGTTTACTTATCCATATTAATGCAGTTGTGGTTAACTTTTATATTGTATCAATATTGCTAAGTATGTATCCTTTTGGTTAATATTTGCTTGGAATATCTTTATCCTTCTGTGTATTTTCTAGTCTTTGGTGTGATTTTCAAAATTATGTTTGTCATAAATAGCATTGTTCAGATCTTAAAAATTAAACCAATCTCATTCCATTTTAAAATATGTAGATTTAATCTGGGGGTTAGCGACTTTTTTCTGTCAGCCAGTAAATATTTTAGGTTCTGTGGGTCATACAGTATCTGTTACAGCTACTCAAAAGCAGCCTCAGGCCACGTGAATAAATGGGCATGGGTAGATTTGTTCTGCCAGCTATAGTTTGCCAACTCCTGCCTTAATCTATTTACATTTTTGTGATTGTTGATATGTTTGGCTTATTTTGTGTTTCCTGTTTACCATTTATATTACTTAAGGCAGTGTTGGCTGAGGTTACAGATTAATCCGGAGACCTCAGTGGCTCAGCACATTGAAGATTAGATTTTACATGATAAAATAATTATATTTAATATTTATATATATAGTAATACTTATATAGTTTATAAAATAATTATACTTTATGTATATTATAAAATATAAAAGTTATATTTTATCTAAAATATAAAGCAGTTATATTTTATCTAAAATATAAAGCAGTTATATTTTATCTAAAATATAAAGCAGTTATATTTTATCTAAAATATAAAGCAGTTATATTTTATCTAAAATATAAAGCAGTTATATTTTATCTAAAATATAAAGCAGTTATATTTTATCTAAAATATAAAGCAGTTATATTTTATCTAAAATATAAAGCAGTTATATTTTATCTAAAATATAAAGCAGTTATATTTTATCTAAAATATAAAGCAGTTATATTTTATCTAAAATATAAAGCAGTTATATTTTATCATGTGAAATCCAGTCAGTGGCACAGATAGGATAGATGGTCTGCCCCTTGCAGTCGTTCAGGAAACCAGGCTCCTTCCTTCCATCTAGTGGCTCTGTCACTCCGTATGTGTGGGGTGCATAATCACCACAGAAAGGGAAAGAGGCAGTGGAGTAGACACACCTGCTTCTTTAACCACATTAGCCTGGAAGTAATTTATGTCACCTCTCACATTTCATAGATGAGAACTAGTCACATGGTCCCACCTAGATGCAAGAGGGACCTAGGAAATAAAGTTACTGTGGCAGCCACTTCCAACGACCCTCCCTCACGTGGTAGAGGAACACAGACCTTTGGCAGACATCTGGGCACTTCTGCCGCAATCACCCTTTCTCCTTGCTGCCTTTTTTTTCTTTTCTACCTTCTGTGGGATTTTTTTTTCTCTATTCCCCTTCATTCCCTTTGTTGGCTTGGAATATATATGATGTATTTTTCTTGTTTTATTAGTTGTCCTTACAGTTTTAACACATACTTCAATTTTGAAATGTCTATAAGGCCTGTGTTTATTCAGTATATCTCTTCTCCTATGGATAAGAAAATAATCTATTGATTCCTCCCCTCCCCCTGTACAGATACTCCACGTATCTTTCTTCTTGTTGTTGTCTAGAGTTTTATTTTACCTTTAAATAAACCCCCCCAAAACCCCACAAAATAGTTATTTTTATGGTTAAGAATTAAATATACCACTATTATATTTTTGTCAATTTCTCTCCTCATTGTTCTCTGGATTGTTTCTTCCTGAAGTGCATTCTTCAGTTTTTAAATGTTTTTTTCAGTGGGAGTCTGTGAGTGGTAAACTCTGTTTGTCTATTATGCCTAAATAGCTACATATAGAATTCAAGGTAGATAATTAGTTTCTCTCAGTATGTGGGAACTATACTCCATTTTCTTTTGGCATTGATTGTAGCTGATGGAAAACCCATTGTCAGTCTAATTGTCATTCCTTCATAGGAATTTGTCTTTTCTCTAGTAATTTTTACAATGTTTTGTAGTTTGACAACACACTATGGTTGTGAATTTATTTTTATTGATTCACCTTGCTTTACAGAATGCATTTCGAAATGTGGTTTCTTGTGTTTCTTCAGTTCTTGCAAATTTTTAGCCACTAATCCTTTGAATACTGCTGCCCTTCTAATTCCAACTCTCTGTTTTTCTGCACTTGATTATATTTTGAAGGGTATCTGTATATTCTCCATGTCTCTTAACTGCCCATTCATAATTTTTTCTCCTTCTCAGTAGTGTACTCCCAGCATAGTTTTTCAATTCCCTAATCTTTTTTTGAGAGTGTACAGACTAGAGGTGATCTAATTCATTAAGCTTTTCGGTTTCTGTATTTTTCATTTATCATATTTTTCATTTACCTCTTCTAATTTCATTTGTGCATGTTTTCATTTCATCTTTTAAATGAATGTTATTCCTTCCACTATCTCTGTGAAGATCCTGAAAATATATATACCCTTTTTGGATTATTTTTTCCATTGCATTTGCTGTGTTGGCTGACATTTGTTGGTTTTCTTCATTTAGAGAGTGTCCCTCTTTCCCTCTTTCTTCACTCATTCCTTCCTGAATGGTTGTCTCTCCCTTAGTCCCCCTGGAATGTCAGCTCAGAACCAGGTATTTTATGGGTAGTGGGGACTGAATAGGTCACAAGTCCAGTCCCTGCGTTTGTGGCAGCTTGCTCAGGATAAGTTACTTTAATTTCAGGACTGTGACAGTTTCCTTCTGTCTCCCTTTGTTTGAAGCTTCACAGGAGGCTTAAACGTCAGGCAGCAGCTGTAGTAGCTCTTATGTCACTGGTAGGATGGGTGGGAGACACTGGTATAGTCCTGATTTCTCATAGTGAGCTTGGCTCAGGGTACCCACCATGTGTGGAATTCCCATGAATCCTGAAGAGCTGAAATCAGTTGGGCCAAAAGAGATCATTATCTTGCTTTAGAGCATCCCTTTTAAATATCTTTTTACGTTTTATCTGTTCTTGGTGTTTGGAGTAGTGATGGGATGGGTGTAGTCCCATTCCTCTTCTTTTAGAATCCGTTAGATCCTGATTTGCATGCCTTTCCCTATTTGTTTTTAATTGGTGACCATGCCATTCAGCCTGATTTTTCATATATCATTGTTGGATCCCCAAATGTATCCCAGAATAAGCAAGCATGAGTTCTTCTATAATTTTCCTCAGGGACAGATGGTGGTGACTGAGCTGATGATGGGTGTGTATTGGGCCTCAGTGGCTGTGTCAAAGTATGGTTAGGACATGGCTGGCTTGAGTGTGAGTCCTGGCAGGGCCACCGTGTCCCCTCCACTCTTGCTCCTCCTAACACCCTCTTCTCTTAGCTCACATGGCACGGACTGATGCCCCAGAGGAGTCTGCAGAAGAATGTGAGAAGGCTGCTTTTGGGTTGGGCTGACCCAGACATGAGACCTACTATCTTTTTCAACACTGCCTTGAACCTAATTTATTTCTAGTTCTGAACTATGGAATGGGGCAGCACTGTGTGGCTGTGTGTTGTGCACTGTTCCCAAGTATAGAAAGCCATGGGGGCCAAAATCCAGTTAGCATTCCATCCAAGCTGTGCACGCATGGTGCTGTGTCCATCCAGAGTGAGGGTTTTTTTTTTTTTTTTTTTTTTTTGAGACGGAGTCTTGCTTGTTGCCCAGGCTGGAGTGCAGCGGTGTGATCTTGGCTCACTGCAACCTCCGCCTGCCTCAGCCTCTCGAGTAGCTGGGACTACAGGTGCATGCTGCCATGCCTGGCTAAGTTTTCATATTTTGGTAGAGATGGGGTTTCATCGTGTTGCCCAGGCTGGTCTCGAACTCCTGAGCTCAGGCAATCTGCCTGCCTTGGCCTCCCAAAGTGCTAGGATTACAGGTGTGAGCCACCGCACCTGGCCCAGAATGAGAACCTTGTAATTCACACAAAGACGTCAATTAGACAAGTGTGGCCATCCAAGGACACATCTACTGCCTCTTTCCAGGTCTCCCTTCACCTCAGTTAAACTAGCTTGTAAACCTCTTGTTTGTCACCCTTAGAGACAGAGTGTTGTTGAACCCTGTACTAGGGATACTTTCCCACTGGGGTATGGTGAAGGGATGATTAGGGTCTGGTGCTGGTTGTCAAGCCATCCTACTGACTGCTGGAAGAAGCGTCAGAAGCTGGGCTTCCTTTCTTATTTCAGTGTAGAGCTGGCAGATGAGGTGCAAGCTACCCCTTTTGAATGGGTTAGACTTCAGCCTTTTTTTTTTTTTGAGACGGAGTCTCACTCTTGTTGCCCAGGCTGGAGTGCAATGGCGCGATCTTGGCTCACCACAACCTCCACCTCCTGGGTTCAAGTGATTCTCCTGCCTCAGCCTCCCAAGTAGCTGGGATTTCAGGCATCCGCCACCACGCCCAGCTAATTTTTGTGTTTTTAGTAGAGACAGTGTTTCTCCATGTTGGTCAGGCTGGTCTCGAACTCCTGACCTCAGGTGATCCGCCCGCCTGGGCCTCCCAAAGTGCTGGGATTACAGGCGTGAGCCACCACGCCCGGCCAGACTTCAGACGTTTTATCCAACTAATGACATCCTCAAACTGCCAAGTGGTCAGATCAGCTTTGACCTTTATTCCCTCTAGGAGTCAGTTTTTTGTGCACAATGCCACTGACACTTTGGACCTGGATCTAATTCCCGCCTTCATCTCCTCTGACTTGTTACATAACTTCTTTTGGCCATAAAAGTATTAGACTTTGGCCCCAGGGAAGGAGTTGCTAGAAATCCAGCCCTTGGTACAAGGAGAGTCATGGTAAATATCACCTTGCAGTCCTGCCTTGATACTAAGTATTAAGTAATATTATAGCCTGATTCCTTGTCAAGGAACCCTTCTCTGCTAGTGACTAAGATAGCATAAAAGCATGTGGTTTCCAGAACCAAATGTACACTTACTTTCATTTTTTTAAAACTGATCTTTAGCATCCTTGCTACTTTTTTTTTTTTTTTTTTTTTTTTTTTTGAGACAGAGTCTAGCTCTGTCACCAGGCTGGAGTGCAGTGGCGTGATTTCGGCTCACTGCAACCTCTGCCTCCTAAGTTCAAGCAATTCTACTGCCTCAGCCTCCCAAGTAGCTGGGATTACAGGCATGTGCCACCACGCCCAGCTGATTTTTATATTTTTGATAGAGATGAGGTTTCACCCTGTTGGCCAGGATGGTCTCAATCTCTTGACCTCCTGATCCACCAGCCTCGGCCTCCCAAAGTGCTGGGATTACAGGCGTGAGCCACTGCACCTGGCCCCTTGCTACTTTTTATAATTGCCAGAACTCACAAGAGAATTCCTTCAGGGAGGTTTAGGAGATGACATAAGGAAGGAAAGACTCATTTGCACTCAAGAGGAAAAACAGTAATTATGAGGACAGAGGAAGCTAGAGAAAGAAAATCAAGGAAAAGACACTGGGAACAAATTTATTCAATCCAAGGGTTTAAGGTAGTGGTTGGTAGATTTGAGTTGGGAGTGTCAGTTTAAGAATATCTTGTACCAGCCACTGTCCTTGAAACCAGCTTGTAGGGACAAGGGTATGAGATTGAGGGACCACAAGGAATCTACCTTATATAACTGGGGTGGGGGAAGGATGAGTCAGCCTAGCAAGACTAATGTTTAGAGTTGTGAGGGCTTTTGATGAACTTATCTTTTGGGAAGCATTTTATTTGGCTAAAAGGATTTTACCAGCAGGGTGAGGGATGGGGGAAAACACTGATGTTTGGAGTGGGACAATGTTTGAATGGGAAGCTGTTTTCAGCTAGTCACAGAGCAAATGCTGTAGTCTATATATGCCTCCCATGATTACCATAAAGAAAATATCAAACATGGGCTGTCGAATACAGGAGAGCAGTGGTGGATACAATTCCTGGAGAATTAGATGGGCATGGGCCCTGACATTATGGAATTTACCAAATTACCTGTAAAATAGAATCTCAGGTATCTGTTTCCACTTAGACTACAGAAATCAAATGTAGAGATGTGAATGCTATTGGTACTGTGGGGGAGATGGAGAAATTATGCATAAGAACTAGGGAGCAAAGAGTGTGTTCTTATGACCGCCACGTTTAGAGAGCAGAAAGGGGAAGTTTGTAGGTAGATTACAGGTTCTGTAATGAGGATGGAATTCGAGTCCCACCAGAAAGTAAAGTTTTCATGAATGTGCCATTTGAGATGTTGAAAACCTAGAGTCTGGAAGAACTTTCGCACACTGTGTTCGTGTTTTATTCTATATCTGTTCCCATTCGTTTCTACTTTTCTATCTATATAAGCCTCAATTCCTTCTTTCCTACCCCTACCATTTTACCACCTACTCACAGTAATCCTTCCTCATCATCATCAAAAGAAATTCTGCAATCTACCTCTTCTAAGGTAACTTTCCCATCCACTGGAAAAAAAAAATGAGTTCTTGTAATGCAGGCTTTGTGTGCTTTAAATACATCATCTTATTTCACAGTCCCCACAATTCCAAGAAATAGTACTATGAAGGATCTTTCAGGAAATCTCCAAGTGATGTTTAAAATCAGGTGTTTAAAGCCAGGCCCCCCTGGGGGGCCTGACTATATAAAAGTGTTTCCACCTCACAGGAACAGAGGCTACTAGCAAATCATGACCACCATTTTAAACCAGGTTGACAAAGGTCACTGCAGAAAATCCTGGAAGATCCACTCTCACTAATGGAAAATGAATAACTTTTAGGCTTTGCTTAGGCTCTTTTAAATAAACGCATCTAAGAGTCAGGTTTGAATCAATGGGTGTAAGTAGTAAGTCAGGGAATGTTGGCACCTTTCTAGGTAAGTAGAATGAAGTAATATTCTTTGCTGAGGAGGAGAGGGGTTGAAATTGCTGTATTGTTGAATCCATTGAACATATATTGGAAGACATGGAAGACTGACCAATTTATTTCATAGTAGTGGACCTGAGCTGGCTAATTTGCAGTAAACTTTGTTATTCAGACACTATTTTCTAGCTCAAGACAGATGGAATCTTTGATCTGAAATATTTTGCTGTGCTCAGAGAGCCCATAGCCAAGGTATAGCCAGGCATGGTGAGTTTTCATTTACTAGAAGTCACTCTGATGGAATTGTGTAATCCAAAGCATCAGATTCAGGGAAAGATGGGGGCATTGAGAGAGCATAGAGATCCCAGGGGCTATTTTTATTTTTTTTTATTTTATTTTTTTTTCCCAGGGGCTATTTTTATATGTCTTTGGAGACAGAGTCTCACTTTGTTGCCCAGGCTGGTTGGAGTGCAGTGGTGCGATCTTGGCTCACTACAACCTCTGACTCCCAGGCTCAGGGAATCCTTCCCACCTCAGCCTCCCGAGTACCTGGGACTACAGACACATACCACCATGCCTGGCTGATTTTTGTATTTTTTGTAGAGCCAGGGTTTTGCCATGTTGCCCAGGCTGGTCTCAAACTCCTAGGCTTAAGCCATCTGCCTGCCTCAGCCTCCCAAAGTGCTGGGATTACAGTTATGAGCCTCCATGCCCCTCCATGGGCTATTTTTCAGAGTGTTAGAAGATGACTAGTAGCATGTGGGCATAGGGAATGGGAGCGAACCATCTTCTCTAAAAGGCTGATGGGAGAAATTAGTTCTTACTGACCAAATGATCAAGTCAGAGACTCATAGAGCTTCAGTGATGGATGGAGCTTTAGCAAACAACTCCCTAATTGTGCAGATGAGAAACTGAGGCTCCAAGAGATTTGTCCAAGGCCACTTGGGAATAGACAGAGTAGAATTCCAAACCATATCTTCAGAGTCTAACTTTATGCCATACTATGTGAAATTGCGTTTATTTTTTCAAGGTTTCTAGTTCAGTCCTGCATTTGATATGGCCAAATGAGTCTTGTGCTTTGTTTTCTTAAGAAAGAAAATATTATTTTCTTGTTAGCAGTCATACCAGAAGCTCACAAGTGGTTTACACACCAGATAATAAACTCCTATTCGTGGTCTGAGAGAAAGGTTGAAAAAAATTTATGTAAAATATAAAAGGTAAAAAACATAAATATCCCAACCCATTAGTGGATCCAGTTCTTATTAACATTCCTTTTTCCTGCTACATCTCTTTATTTTTATGATGTCTTTGGGCTTCCCAGAGTGAACGATGATTTGTCTTGAACAAAATAGAATTGTTCTTGAATCCTGCTGGTGTAAACGGTAATCTAAATAAATGGAAATAGATATAAGTCCCAGGAGTAAATCAGACTGCTTGCTTAAAAAAGCAAGCACATAAGTCAATATTTTTTTTCTGATAGTAAGAAAAATTCACAGAGCTGAAACTCTATCTCCTTACCCACATGTAGACCTTACTCAAGCTATTTTTTCATTTATTTATTTGTAGAAAGATAGGTTTTCTCTTTTCTTCCTTCTCTTTATTATCACTAATTTTTGGGAGAGGTCTTTGGTAAGTTGAAAACTGACACACTTTTGCACATGAAAGGGGGCATTACTGATTATGCTGCTACAAAGTTATGGGACTGTCAGATCAGAACATTTAGTCACAGACTATACCTATACATCCTCCCGGACCTCATGGACATAACTGAGAGGTTAGGCCTTTGCTCATTCAAAAACAGTTATTCAAGCACAGATGCATCTGCCACTGCATTAGGCACTGAGAATGTAAAGCCGACAGCTTCTATGTTAGTACCATATGAGCTATTCTTTCTTCAGCCTAGACTTTCATAACATGGAAAAGTAAGGCAAAACCTTCAGAGCCGAGTCCACCAGTTATGATTCTGCTTAGCAGGGCTTGTGCATATATGGCTTCCACCTGGTCTTGCCCCCCTGGTGGTGGCTGCACACGCTGAAGCATGATGAGTCAGAGCCGTGTGATTTTGTTCTGCCTCTGCCCTGCATAGGCTGGTTTTAATCAAACGAAAGCCTAATCCTGTAGTGAATCTTATTAAGCCCTTTGCCCTTCCCCATTCCATCTGTTACATGTCTCAATTTCTGTCCCCCAAATGGAATAAGCTGTGTTTTTTTTCTCAGATTTTTTTTTTTCTTTTTGTGTTTGATGTCTTTCAGAGATAGGCCTGGAGTCAACAATTACAATCAAGCTGAATTGAGTCTGGCAGAGGATTTTCAGTATCCCAAGTTACTTTCAATGCTCCACTTGTCTTATCAGCAAAGCCTCTTATTTTCAAATCTAGTATACTGGGAAGCTCTGCAGTTGGTTTCACAGGCTTTCCTGCCAGGACCACAATTACTGTCTCCCCAGGGTTTAAATACTGACAGAGCCTTGGGGCATGCAGTTATGGTGCCATTTTCTTGGATCAATAGGTATATGTCCTTCCTAGCCCTGCTATAGAACTCAGGTAACTGCTGGCAGGTGGATCACAGTCTTGCCTTAGTGGGTCTTTCTTATCTTTTTGATCTATTGCCTAGTTTGTCTTACTAACCGTATCATTCACACACATCATAACCAACTTAATTTGAAAATAGGCCTCCAGGTCTCTGTCCAGGGAATAGCAAAAGAGTACAGACAAATCTTCCCCAAGGCACATATTTCTGTTTATTGTAGTTTCTCTTCTTGACAGGTAAGAAGAGATAAGGTTTTACTCTAGAGGAATGAAAAATACATAAAAGGTGTTGATGATATGGCAAGTTCCAAATTTGGTTCTCTTTCAGCAATCACAGCCCCTGACATCTGGACTCTCTTCCTCTCTTGTTTTCTATTGGTGTTAATGCCTGTTTCTTTCCTTTGTAAGGTTCCTTGAGGGGAGTGTTCTTGTGTCTCTGTCATCTTTAAAGCTCTTCCTCATGCTGGTGCTAAGTACATTGTTTTCCACAGATAAGATAATTGAATGTTTCTAAACTCAGTACATATCTTTGGTCTGTAAATCAGTAGTTCCTTTATTTGATGCTTCCTTATACTGAAAGACTCACTGAAAGGTTCTTAGATGGAATGCAGTATAACCACTTGAGTGTTAACCACTCAAATGTCCTTTGAGCAATAAGGCCTTGCCAGAAAGTCTGGAAAATATGAAAGTCACTCCATGTGCAGTTCTGTGGGGTTTTTCTGTTACCCTCGGAGCAGAATCTTCAGTCCTCTAAAGATGCAGGTAAAACATGGAATTGGTGCCACATCTAATCTTTTCACTGTCATGCTTACTGCTGTTGCTAATATATACACACAACCCCACTTTGCAATGGATGGTAGGAAAGGTATCTTAGACCCAGGAACACTCAGCCAAACTGGGGCCTGGGACCTGCCTTAACAGGAGCATCTGACAACCTGGGTTGTTGGCTCCCAAATCAAATTAGGCTAGTATGTGTCCCATCGTGAACTGGATGGGGATCAATCAGGACTAACAAAAAGCAAAGAAAATAAGACGTAGGACAATTTGCCACTTGATTCTACATTCTATTCCTAATAAGTTAGTGTTTCAACCCAGCTGTAGCTTGCTTTCTACCCTATTTGACACTTTCATATTGTTTCTCTCTATTAATAGTCATTGGGCTTCTTGTCAGCTTGGGATTATTATGTTTCATTACTGTTTCTGGATAAAACTCCGGTTGCTGGGAATTCTATTTGTGTTGTGTTTGAGAGCAATACAAATTTCTGCTTCACTGATGGAGATGGTGAGAGATGGGCCATTATGAACAAATGAAGATAGTGCAGCATTAGGGAACTTCAAATGAGTTTCCAAGTACATAAGATATATGCAAAAATGTATTATAGCCACTTTCTCTATTTGGAAAGTCAACTCCCTCTTTTTTAGGTCTGGGTGTTAAGAAACTTGAGATAGTATTTCATGTATTTATGTAGTGAAAGCCATGAATTTGGTGGGCAAAGAGGTGTCATAAAGGACCAAGTCTGCATGGACATGCAGTGTCCCTGCACAAAGCCCATCTCTAGTCACCCAAGTATGTGCCCCTTCCCTCAGTCAGTCAGGAGGAAGGGGAGACTTTTTGTTATTTGCCCAGAGTGGTTGCCTTTTTTCAACGGTAGTAATATTAAGCCTACCAAGAAGAAGGAAAACTACCACCAAGATCTTTGTCTCCATTATCAAGGCACATTCCCGAATCAGCAAAGACACAGAATACAGCCCTTTGATTCCAGATAGGTGGTCTTTGCCTAGCTCCATCATTTTGTTCTGTCATGAGGAGCAATTCAGGAATGCTGGCTATTAAATTTCTTCTGGATGGCTCTTGCCTCCACGCCCTTTTTGGGGCCTCATAATTTTACACTTAAAAATCCTGGCCAGACGCAGTGGCTCACACCTGTAATCCCAGAACTTTGGGAGGCCAAGGCGGGCAGATCACGAGGTCAGGAGTTCAAGACCAGCCTGACCAACATGCTGAAACCTCGTCACTATTAAAAACAACAAAAAAAAAATTAGCCAGGCATGGTGGCACGTGCCTGTAATCCCAGCTACTCAGGAGGCTGAGGCAGGAGAATCGCTTGAACCCGGGAGGCGGAGGTTGCAGTGAGCAGAAATCAAGCCACTGCACTCCAGCCTGGGTGACAGGGAGACCCCGTCTCAAAAAAAAAAAAAAATTCTTATTCAGCCCTGACTGATACCAAACAAAATATACCTACTAAATGCAGAGTTTCTAGTTCCTGAGAATCCCTGGTGATTGATGCCAATTGTAGTGCTTTCAGCAACAGCTGAGAAAGCCAACAGAAACCTAGAGAGTTTTTAATGTAAGCTTAAACAGCCAGGTGAGGCTATGTTGGAAGGCTCTCTTGAAGTATACAGATTGCGAGGAGATATGTGGGCTCTGGATTGACAGGGAAGTTTTATTCTGGTAAAACTGTATATAGGCTCAAGCCAGTTTAGTCAAGGACAGGTCGTTTCCTAGTGTAACTTGAACTTAGGTTTGAGGAAGGGAGCTAAATTTCAGGAACTTGAACTTTTAAACTCAAGTTTAAGAAAAGCAATGAGATTGCATACTCTTTAGACATGGACCTACTCATTAAGTTTCTTTGCAGCTACTAAGATAGTGTTTTACCCTTGGTGGACACTCAATAAATAATAAACTGGATTGAGTTTTCTGAAGGTAAGAAGCAAGTTGGTGGAGAGTTCTGATTCTGGTATCTTTCAGTCGCTTTCCTCTCTACAATTCTGTGATTCTAGCAAGGCCAGGAGGCAGCAGGTTTGAGAATAGGAAAGAGATTCAGTGTGGCTGAAACATGGAATGTGAAGGAATTCTGATGAGAGATGAGGCTGGAGAGGTATATGAAAGCCAACTTATTATTATTATTATTTGAGATGGAGTCTTACTCTGTTGCCCAGGCTGGAGTGCAGTGGCACAATCGTGGCTCACTGCAACCTCTACCTCCTGAGTTCAAGCAATTCTACTGCTTCAGCTTCCTGAGTAGCTGGGACCACAGGCGTGCACCACCATGCCCAGCTAATTTTTTTTTTTTTTTTTTTGAGATGGAGTCTCACTTTGTTGCCCAGGCTGGAGTGCAGTGGTGTGATCTTGGCTCAGTGCAACCTCCGCCTCCCGGGTTCAAGCGATTCTCCTGCATCAGCCTCCTGAGTGGCTGGGATTACAGACATATGCCACCATGCCCGGCTAATTTTTTTGTATTTTTAATAGAGATGGGGTTTCACCATGTTGGTCAGGCTGATCTTGAACTCCTGACCTTGTGATCTGCCTGCCTTGGCCTCCCAAAGTGCTGGGATTACAGGCGTGAGCCACCGTGCCTGGCTGCTAATTTTTTTTAATTTTTAGTAGAGATGGGGTTTCACCATGATGGCCAGGCTGGTCTCGAACTCCTGACCTCAAGCCATCCGCCCACCTCGGCCTCCCAAAGTGTTGGGATTACAGGCATGAGCAACCACACCCAGCCTGAAAGCCAACTTGTACAGGTCTCTTCAGTTGGTGAAGGCATTTGGGCTTCACCCTAAAACAGAGCGGAGTAACAGAAGGGTTTTTAGCAAGGGGTGTGACATGCTAAGATATATATGTTATAAAGATTACTGGGCTTAATGTAAAGAATGGATTGGAAGACAGGTAAGGGCGCTGTTATTGCAATTTGGGGAAATGAGGATTTTGGCCTGAACTAGGCTAGTGAGTGGAGAAAAGTAGATGGATTCAAGAGAGGGAATTGGCAGGATGTGAGGAAGTTTGGGTGAGGAGGAGCAAAGGGTGAAGCATGATTCCCAGGTCTTTGATTTGGGCAGTGATGGAGTGTGGTGCCATCAATAAGACAGGGACCATAGAAAGAAATGGGTGAGGAAAGGTGGTAGAGAAAACAGTGGGTTCAGTTTTCTACAGTTGGAGTTTGAGGAGCTTGTGGGACATCCTAGAGATGTGTAGGTGGCAGTTGGATGAATGGACCTGAAGTTCTGAAGAGAGCTATCAATTGAAGTACAAATTTGGGAGTTTATGATGTAGATATGGGAATAGATATGGGAGTAGATGCATTTTTTCAAGGAAATACCAACATTTATTGTCTTGGCAGAAAGGGAGGTACAAAATAAACCTAACTGTGAGTAGCCAGAGAGCTAGAAGGCAAACACAGAGAGGCATACTTGGGGAATAGAGAATTTAAAGACAGAGGGAAAGGTCCACCTTCCTCACCTTTGGGTCATCCAGTCTCTAGGTTCCTAAATAATTCAGTGTGCTTTTGGTCAGTAAGTCCTAGAATAGGGGGGGGAAAAAGCATATCAAACCACTGCTGTGTGAATGCTATAGCCCTAGGTCATTGGTCTGTTTTATTTAAACATATCTAGGTTCTGCTCCCTCTGAGGATTTTACCTAATGTTAAAGAGAATGAGAAGAAATACTCTTTATACATTATAAAACTATGCTAATAGTAACCAGCAGGGAAATTGACCTATAAATACTCTGAGCACATTAAGGTAAGCACATTTTTTTAAAGTTACGTCTTTTGGCTATGGTCTAATGTGATGATTAGTGAAAATGGAATTGAAGAGTGACAGGAAATATTAATGGCAGGCAGCACACAGTCGTTTGGCCTTAGAAAGAACAACGGACTTTATCTGTTCCCAGAGGGAAAATTTGATGAGTAATGACCTTGATACACATTTTAAACACTCTGACAATGAAGTAATAGGTGCTGCTTTTGCTCTTTGACCAGCAGATTCTCCTTTGCTGCAGTTAGGTGTACTACTTAAAGCTTGTTTAGAGGGCCACCTAAGGGTACAGGCAGAAGCATCACAACATCTATATTTCTGTTATAGGCAGTGATGAGTACTATGAGCCTCTTATAAGAGGCTGCAAGGGGTTGCTGTACCATCAGGCCTACTTTCCTTGGAGAGGGAATAAAGCAAGTCCAAGGTGCTCAAGAAGGTACACTTTCCCAAAACATCCCACTCCCCACGTTGCTGATTAAGATCTAATGATTCACATTTAGATGCCCTTCCACCCCCATCCCCATCCTGACAACACAAAATTTGAGTCAAGCCTCAACCTTGCTAAGTAAACAGATTTGTACTTGTTACTCTTAGCAGCACTGGAGTCTAAAGACAGACTATGTGGGAAGGCAGATTCTTAGTTACCTCCTCCCCAAGCTGTTGCAGGAATTTCAGATCCCTGCTTGCCAAAGCACTTTTATGGGGTTAAGAATTTTTTTGTGTGTGTTGGGGATAGGGGAATGTACAGCCTTGAGTGACTCATGCCCTTCTCTGGGCCTCAGTTTTTCCCTGTTAGGAGGGAAAGGAGCTGTATTAGGGGATCCTTGAGTTTCCCTAAGCCTGGCCTGTATCCCCTCACCAACTGGATCCACGAGCCAGAGCCTGCTTTAGCCAGGCCCATTCTCTGGTTGGCTTGGCTGGCTTTAGAGGGCTGCAAATAGGCAAATCACTATTTGTCAGTCTGTAGAGAGGAAGCTTATTTGCAGTGGGAACACCGTAGGAGGAGATTTCTAAGTTGAAAATGCAGGTACTCCTCCTCTGGGGAATGGAAGAAAGACAAAGAGCCCATTAAGGGTTCTAGAAATCAGAATGGTTAGATTCTTCCTGGCCCTGTCAACGTTTGCCTATTACCCTGGCCTCATCGGTTGGCATTTGCTTGTGTGAAAAGGTTCCAGGTTTAGAGAAAGGGTGTCGGAGGCAGACAAACCTAGCTCTGTCACTTGGTTGTTGTGTGATCATGTATGAATTGCTGGAATTTCTGCACCTCATTTTCTTTTTTAAGGATGTTTCATAGGCCTGCAGGAGGACTAAATGAGATACATAATACATGTGAAACAGGAATGCAGAGCCTGGCATGGGAAGGGGTTACCTCCTTCCTCCTGCAGTCCTTCTCTTCACTTTCATCTTTGCTCACATGTTATTCTCCCTACTGGAAACTCACCTTCAGTGCTCTGTGAGGCCCTCCTGTCTGTGCCAGTGCTCAAGTCCTCCTGGTACCCTAGCATGCATTGCCTCACCTCACATTTTAGTAACAGCCTTCTTATATTCTTTCACTGGTTTTGCCCATCTAGATTACTGCTCTCTGAGGGAGGTATCCTGTCAAATACTGGTAATCTTTCTTCAATTCCTGGTAAGGTGTTAGGTACATAGTAGGGGCCTAAGCAATATTTGAATGAATGATTATAGAAAGAACCAGTTACAGAGAGCAAGAGGGGGCAGTATGGGCAGTGGGTAAGGCCTGTATGGATGCTAAAACCAGCCTGCCTGGGTTTGAATTCTGGTGCTGCCAGTTTTTAGCTTTGCAACTTTAAAAGAGTTGCTGAACTTTACCCCTCAGTTTTCTCATCTGTATAGTGGCAGTGGTAAAAATAGTACCTTTCTCCTAGGGTTATTGTGAAGATTGAGTAAGTTAGTATTTACAGTGTTTAGACCAGTGCCTGGCACTTAATGCTATATAAGAACCCACCATTATTATTTTAAAGATCAGACACGCTTGAGTTGAAAGCCTGCTCTACTACTTACTAATGATGTGACTGCAGGCAGAAATTATTCAACTTCTCTGTGCTTCAACTTCCTTCTCTGTAAAATAGGGATAACCTATCAACGTAAATAGTGATAAATAGAGATAAACTATCAACATAACATGTACTTGATAACTGGTGGCTATTAGAAGCCTGCTTCAGTCTCCTAGAAACAAGAGTTCAATCATGACTGCATGAAGAATCATTGCAGTAGCCCAGGCCCTGTTTAGGAAACTGAAAACCTGGAGCTTACCCTGACTGGGAAGGAGTGAGAAGACCTGAATTAGGAGTTGTGGATGTATTGAAGGAAGGGATAGGGAAGTTACTTTGTGCTGGTTGCTAAGCTGTATCACCAAAATCCTGACCAAATTAAGTCAGTAAAAATATATTTGGAAGGAGCTGGAGACTTTTGCCCATGTGAAATTCCAACACAGGCTCATACCTGCCACCTTTCTGCATATCTCTTATTGTATGAGGTGTTTCTCATGTTTTGTCCTTATGTAGCCAGCTGTGTTACTGTCATGGTGATGCTCCTGGTGTGTGAGAGTGGAAGTATGCCATCCCATCTTCTGCAGGCCAAGTCGGTCTGTTACTCTCATTCTCAGAGAAGGTGAGATTTGCCAGTGCAGAGCTTACATATCTGGAGGTGCCACTTGCCCTCTTCTTCTGAAGCTGCTTTGAGACTCAGAGAATCCTGATTCTAGGGTTCAGTCTATTGATTCTCACTTCTGAAATCTGATTTGATCTTAAGTGATGTTTTAGATTCTAGGGGGATCTAACTTCTGCCAGCAGTGAGGGGCTGACTTCTCTCCACTGTTGAGGACAGAGGCAATCTGAGGGTTATGGTCTCAGTAAGGAACCCCACTTAGTCCATGGGCTTTTCAGGGAGATGTAGGAAGGGAAGAGTAAGCAAAGGAGAGGCAGGCAAGCCTTGGTACTAATAGCTTCTTTCTCAGGCGCTTTGCTATCATCTGGATGTGTGCTTAGACTTTTCATGGTCCAAGCTTCTCATATCCCTTTCTTCTCTCTGTCCCTCTACTACTTCTTTGTTTGTCTGTCCCTCTGCTGCTGCTTTGTTTGAATTTAATGGTAAATTCTGCAATGCAATAAATTCTTGGGTAAGGTGATGTAATATATTTCTACCTCAAAATTATAGATTTGCTGCATGCTTGCTGTATAATCTCATGATAATCAAAATCTTGTGGCTTCATTGTCAGCAATGCCAACAATTGGTTTCAAATATCAAGATAACAGTAACCACTTCCTTGTTTCCATTACTTCAGAGTTCTTTATGATTATAGTTTTATCTTAACTATATTCAGTCAGGAGAATTGACCTTTGATTAACGTCATTTTGCAGAATAAAATTCAGATATGGGGAAGTGAAGAGAAGGCAGTTAATTATGTTCAGATGATGGGCCTAAATTCAGTTCTCATTCTATATCAGTTTGATGGTACTGAACCTGGATGTACACGTGAGGAGTTTGAAAAAAATACCAATACCTGTGTCCTGCGTCAAGCCAATTAAAAATCATGATCTATTGGGGTGGTGTCAGGGCCAGGGTATTTTAATCTTTTCATTTGAGTCTGATGGGCAAACAGGGTTAAGAATCACTGCTGAATTTACCAAGAAGGCAGGACTTTTAATTTTCACTGTTTGAATGAGGAAATTATATGAATAAAAACCAATTTTCAAAAAGTAGCCGATAATATTAAAACATGTTTTCTGCCATTATTTTTCAAACCAATCAGCATTTTGCAAATGAAGGTTTCTAGACAGCATTAGTTACAAGGCTTTGTGTTTTTCTTTTTCTTTTTTTTTTTTTTTGAGACAGAGTCTTGCTGTGTCACCCAGGCTGGAGTGCAGTGGTGCAATCTTGGCTCACTACAACCTCCGCCTCCCGGGGTCACACCATTCTTCTGCCTCAGCCTCCTGAGTAGCTGGGACTACAGATGCCCACCACCATGCCCAGCTAATTTTTTGTATTTTTAGTGGAGATGGCATTTCACCGTGTTAGCCAGGATGGTCTCGATCTCCTGACCTCATGATCCGCCCGCCTTGACCTCCCAAAGTGCTGGGATTACAGAGCTACTGCACCCAGCCTGTGTTTTTAAAGAGTAAAACTTCAGGGTACTAATATTAGCAGTGGCGAATATGTACAGGTCTGCATCAACTGGATTCTTGCCTCCTTGGAGTAAAGAAGTTGTCCAAGCGGCATAAGGCAGAGTGAGAAACCAAGGCAAGTTTTTGAGCAGGAGTGAGAGTTTATTAAAAAGTTTTAGAGTAGGAATGAAAGGAATAAAGTATACTTGGAAGAGGGCCAAGTGGGCAACTTGAAAGATCCAAGTGCCCAGTTTGACCTTTTTTTTAAAAAAATTTTATTATTATTATACTTTAAGTTTTAGGGTACATGTGCACAACGTGCAGGTTTGTTACATATGTATACATGTGCCATGTTGGTGTGCTGCACCCATTAACTCGTCATTTAGCATTAGGTATATCTCCTAATGCTATCCCTCCCCCATCCCCCGACCCCACAACAGTCCCTGGTGTGTGATGTTCCCCTTCCTGTGTCCACGTGTTCTCATCGTTCAATTCCCACCTATGAGTGAGAACATGTGGTGTTTGGTTTTTTGTCCTTGTGACAGTTTGCTGAGAATGATGGTTTCCAGTTTCATTGATGTCCCTACAAAGGACATGAACTCATCATTTTTTATGGCTGCATAGTATTCCATGGTGTATATGTGCCACATTTTCTTAATCCAGTCTATTGTTGTTGGACATTTAGGTTGGTTCCAAGTCTTTGCTATTGTGAATAGTGCCGCTATAAACATATGTGTGCATGTGTCTTTATAGCAGCATGATTTACAATCCTTTGGGTATATACCCAGTAATGGGATGGCTGGGTCAAATGGTATTTCTAGTTCTAGATCCCTGAGGAATCGCCACACTGACTTCCACAATGGTTGAACCAGTTTACAGTCCCACCAACAGTGTAAAAGTGTTCCTATTTCTCCACATCCTCTCCAGCACCTGTTGTTTCCTGACTTTTAATGATCGCCATTCTAACTGGTGTGAGATGGTATCTCACTGTGGTTTTGATTTGCATTTCTCTGATGGCCAGTGATGATGAGCATTTTTTCATGTGTTTTTTGGCTGCATAAATGTCTTCTTTTGAGCAGTGTCTGTTCATGTCCTTTGCCCACTTTTTGATGGGGTTGTTTGTTTTTTTCTTGTAAATGTGTCTGAGTTCATTATAGATTCTGGATATTAGCCTTTTGTCAGATGAGTAGGTTGCAAAAGTTTTCTCCCATTCTGTAGGTTGCCTGTTCACTCTGATGGCAGTTCCTTTTGCTGTGCAGAAGCTCTTTAGTTTAATTAGATCCCATTTGTCAATTTTGTCTTTTGTTGCCATTGCTTTTGGTGTTTTAGACATGAAGTCCTTGCCCATGCCTATGTCCTGAATGGTATTGCCTAGGTTTTCTTCTAGGGTTTTTATGGTTTTAGGTCTAACATTTAAGTCTTTAATCCATCTTGAATTAATTTTTGTATAAGGTGTAAGGAAGGGATCCAGTTTCAGCTTTCTGCATATGGCTAGCCAGTTTTCCCAGCACCATTTATTAAATAGGGAATCCTTTCCCCATTTCTTGTTTTTGTCAGGTTTGTCAAAGATCAGATAGTTGTAGATATGTGGCATTATTTCTGAGGGCTCTGTTCTGTTCCATTGATCTATATCTCTGTTTTGGTACCAGTGCCATGCTGTTTTGATTACTGTAGCCTTGTAGTATAGTTTGAAGTCAGGTAGCATGATGCCTCCAGCTTTGTTCTCTTGGCTTAGGATTGACTTGGCAATGCAGGCTCTTTTTTGGTTCCATATGAACTTTAAAGTAGTTTTATCCAATTCTGTGAAGAAAGTCATTGGTAGCTTGATGGAGATGGCATTGAATCTATAAATTACCTTGGGCAGTATGGCCATTTTCACGATATTGATTCTTCCTACCCATGAGCATGGAATGTTCTTCCATTTGTTTGTATCCTCTTTTATTTCCTTGAGCAGTGGTTTGTAGTTCTCCTTGAAGAGGTCCTTCACATCCCTTGTAAGTTGGATTCCTAGGTATTTTATTCTCTTTGAAGCAATTGTGAATGGGAGTTCACTCATGATTTGGCTCTCTGTTTGTCTGTTACTGGTGTATAAGAATGCTTGTGATTTTTGCACATTGATTTTGTATCCTGAGACTTTGCTGAAGTTGCTTATCAGCTTAAGGAGATTTTGGACTGAGATGATCGGGTTTTCTAGATATGCGATCATGTCATCTGCAAACAGGGACAGTTTGACTTCCTCTTTTTCCTAATTGAATACCCTTTATTTCCTTCTCCTGCCTGATTGCCCTGGCCAGAACTTCCAACACTATGTTGAATAGGAGTGGTGAAAGAGGGCATCCTTGTCTTGTGCCCGTTTTCAAAGGGAATGCTTCCAGTTTTTGCCCATTCAGTATGATATTGGCTGTGGGTTTGTCATAGATAGCTCTTATTATTTTGAGATATGTCCCATCAATACCTAATTTATTGAGAGTTTTTAGCATGAAGGGTTTTTGAATTTTGTCAAAGGCCTTTTCTGCATCTGTTGAGATAATCGTGTGGTTTTTGTCTTTGGTTCTGTTTATATGTTGGATTCCATTTATTGATTTGCGTATGTTGAACCAGCCTTGCATCCCAGGGATGAAGCCCACTTGATCATGGTGGATAAGCTTTTTGTTGTGCTGCTGGATTCGGTTTGCCAGTACTTTATTGAGGATTTTTGCATTGATGTTCATCAAGGATATTGGTCTAAAGTTCTCTTTTTTGGTTGTGTCTCTGCCAGGCTTTGGTATCAGGATGATGCTGGCCTCATAAAATGAGTTAGGGAGGATTCCTTCTTTTTCTATTGATTGGAATAGTTTCAGAAGGAATGGTACCAGCTCCTCTTTGTACCTCTGATAGAATTTGGCTGTGAATCCATCTGGTCCTGGACTTTTTTTGGTTGGTAAGCTATTAATTATTGCCTCAATTTCAGAGCCTGCTATTGGTGTATTCAGAGGTTCAGCTTCTTCCCGGTTTAGCCTTGGGAGGACATATGTGTCCAGGAATTTATCCATTTCTTCTAGATTTTCTAGTTTATTTGCGTAGAGGTGTTTATAGTATTCTCTGATGGTAGTTTGTATTTCTGTGGGATCGGTGGTGATATCCCCTTTATCATTTTTTATTGCGTCTATTTGATTCTTTTTTCTTTTCTTCTCTGTTAGTCTTGCTAGCGGTCTATCAATTTTGTTGATCCTTTCAAAAAACCAGCTCCTGGATTCATTAATTTTTTGAAGGGTTTTTTGTGTCTCTGTTTCCTTCAGTTCTGCTCTGATCTTAGTTATTTCTTGCCTTCTGCTAGCTTTTGAATGTGTTTGCTCTTGCTTTTCTAGTTCTTTTAATTGTGCTGTTAGGGTGTCAATTTTAGATCTTTCCTGCTTTCTCTTGTGGGCATTTAGTGCTATAAATTTCCCTTTACATACTGCTTTGAATGTGTCCCAGAGATTCTGGTATGTTGTATCTTTGTTCTTGTTGGTTTCAAAGAACATCTTTATTTCTGCCTTCATTTCATTATTTACCCAGTAGTCATTCAGGAGCAGGTTGTTCAGTTTCCATGTAGTTGAGTGGTTTTGAGTGAGTTTCTTAATCGTGAGTTCTAGTTTGATTGCACTGTGGTCTGAGAGACAGTTTGTTATAATTTCTGTTCTTTTACATTTGCTGAGGAGTGCTTTACTTCCAACTATGTGGTCAGTTTTGGAGTAGGTGTGGTGTGGTGCTGAAAAGAATGTATATTCTGTTGATTTGGGGTGGAGAGTTCTGTAGATGTCTATTAGGTCCTCTTGGTGCAGAGCTGAGTTCAATTCCTGGGTATCCTTGTTAACTTTCTGTCTCATTGATCTGTCTAATGTTGACAGTGGGGTGTTAAAGTCTCCTATTACTATTGTGTTGGAGTCTAAGTCTCTTTGTAGGTCTCTAAGGACTTGCTTTATGAATCTGGGTGCTCCTGTATTGGGTGCATATATATTTAGGACAGTTAGCTCTTCTTGTTGAATTGATCTCTTTACCATTACGTAATGGCCTTCTTTGTCTCTTTTGATCTTTGTTGGTTTAAAGTCTGTTTTATCAGAGACTAAGATTGCAACCCCTGCCTTTTTTTGTTTTCCATTTGCTTGGTAGATCTTCCTCCATCCCTTTATTTTGAGCTTATGTGTGTCTCTGCATGTGAGATGGGTTTCCTGAATACAGCACAGTGATGGGTCTTGACTCTATCCAATTTGCCAGTCTGTGTCTTTTAATTGGAGCATTTAGTCCATTTACATTTAAAGTTAATATTGTTATGTGTGAATTTGATTCTGTCATTATGATGTTAGCTGGTTATTTTGCTCATTAGTTGATGCAGTTTCTTCCTAGCCTTGAAGGTCTTTACAATTTGGCATGTTTTTGCAGTGGCTGGTACTGGTTGTTCCTTTCCATGTTTAGTGCTTCCTTCAGGAGCTCTTTTAGGGCAGGCCTGGTGGTGACAAAATCTCTCAGCATTTGCTTGTCTGTAAAGGATTTTATTTCTCCTTCACTTATGAAGCTTAGTTTGGCTGGATATGAGATTCTGGGTTGAAAATTCTTTTCTTTAAGAATGTTGAACATTGGTCCCCACTCTCTTCTGGCTTGTAGAGTTTCTGCCAAGAGATCCGCTGTTAGTCTGATGGGCTTCCCTTTGAGGGTAACCCGACCTTTCTCTCTGACTGCCCTTAACATTTTTTCCTTCATTTCAACTTTGGTGAATCTGACAATTGTGTGTCTTGGAGTTGCTCTTCTCGAGGAGTATCTTTGTGGCATTCTGTGTATTTCCTGAATGTGAATGTTGGCCTGCCTTGCTAGATTGGGGAAGTTCTCCTGGATAATATCCTGCAGAGTGTTTTCCAACTTGGTTCCATTCTCCCCGTCACTTTCAGGTACACCAATCAGACGTAGATTTGGTCTTTTCACATAGTCCCATATTTCTTGGAGGCTTTGTTCTTTTCTTTTTATTTTTTTTTCTGTAAACTTCTCTTCTGGCTTCATTTCATTCATTTCGTCTTCCATCACTGATACCCTTTCTTCCAGTTTATCGCTTTGGCTACTGAGGCTTCTGCATTTGTCACATAGCTCTCGTGCCGTGGTTTTCAGCTCCATCAGGTCCTTTAAGGACTTCTCTGCATTGGTTATTCTAATTATCCATTCGTCTAATTTTTTTTTTCAAAGCTTTTAACTTCTTTGCCATTGGTTTGAATTTCCTCCTGTAGCGCGGAGTAGTTCGATTGTCTGAAGCCTTCTTCTCTCAACTCGTCAAAGTCATTCTCCGTCCAGCTTTGTTCTGTTGCTGATGAGGAGCTGTGTTCCTTTGGAGGAGTAGAGGCGCTCTGATTTTTAGAGTTACCAGTTTTTCTGCTCTGTTTTTTTCCCATCTTTGTGGTTTTATCTACCTTTGGTCTTTGATGATGGTGACGTACAGATGGGTTTTTGGTGTGGATATCCTTTCTGTTTGTTAGTTTTCCTTCTAACAGACAGGACCCTCAGCTGCAGGTCTGTTGGAGTTTGCTAGAGGTCCACTCCAGACCCTGTTTGCCTGGGTATCAGCAGTGGTGGCTGCAGCACAGCAGATGTTGGTGAATCGCAGATGCTGCTGCCTGATCGTTCCTCTGGAAGTTTTGTCTCAGAGGTGTACCCGGCCGTGTGAGGTGTCAGTCCACCCCTACTGGGGGGTGCCTCCCAGTTAGGCTACTCAGGGGTCAGGGACCCACTTGAGGAGGCAGTCTGCCCATTCTCAGATCTCAAGCTGCATGCTGGGAGAACCACTACTCTCTTCAAAGCTTTCAGAGAGGGACATTTAAGTCTGCAGAGGTTACTGCTGTCTTTTTGTTTGTCTGTGCCCTGCCCCCAGAGGTGGAGCCTACAGATGCAGGCAGGCCTCCTTGAGGTGTGGTGGGCTCCACTCAGTTCGAGCTTCCCAGCTGCTTTGTTTACCTAATCAAACAGGTAACTCGGCAGTGGTGGGTGCCCCTCCCCCAGCCTTGCTGCCGCCTTGCAGTTTGATCTCAGACTGCTGTGCTGGCAATGAGTGAGACTCCTTGGGCATAGGACCCTCCGAGCCACGTGCGGGATATAATCTCCTGGTGTGCCGTTTTTTAAGCCCGTTGGAAAAGCGCAGTATTAGGATGGGAGTGACCCGATTTTCCAGGTGCCGTCTGTCACTGCTTTCTTTGACTAGGAAAGCAAATTCCCTGACCCCTTGCGCTTCCTGGGTGAGGCTATGCCTCACCCTGCTTCGGCTCGTGCACGGTGCGCTGCATCCACTGTCCTTCACCTACTGTCTGGCATTCCCCAATGAGATGAACCCGGTACCTCAGTTGGAAATGCAGAAATCACCCATCTTCTGTGTTGCTCACGCTGGGAGCTGTAGACCGGAGCTGTTCCTATTTGGCCATCTTGGCTCCTCCCCTGCAGTTTGACCTTTAACTTGGGGTTTTATATGTTGGCATGCTCTGGGGTATTGCATCTCTCCTCCCTTGAGTTTTTCTTGGGGTGGGCTGTCCACATTTGCAGTGGCCTGCCAGCACTTGGGAGGGGCTGCATGCACAGTGTGTTTATTGAAGTTGTGCACATGCTCATTTGAGGTGGTTTTTCCTTGTCAGTTGAGTGTTCCTAGAGGAAGGTCATATACCAGTTAAATTCTGCCATTTTACCTCTTTGTGTGCATGCCTAAGTCCACTAACCCAACTCCTGAGAGCGTATCAGGAAGCTGCTGATCACCAGCTTCAGGTGTTATCTATCTGTTCGGAGACTACCTTTCCCTGGCACTGGCTGTGAGCTGTTATAATTTTATTATTTTAGAGAGACAGTTTAACAACTGCCTATTACCTGATGGTTGTCTGACTGACATTCCTTGGTGTGTGTTTGTGGGGAAGCAAGGGTTGTCCTGTCCTGCTCATGTCTGTCTAGCTATCTACTTTAACATTTCCTCCCTAAAGAGTCAAAGACCCAATTCTTTGGGAGAATGGATAAAGGTCAGTCTTCTGTAACTGCTTTCTGCTGACAGAGGGGCACTGATGGTTGTTCTGTGGGTTTTGGTCTCTTGTTAGTTGTCAGGGCAGGGTAGCTCTATGGGTTGGTGAAAGTGGTATACAGCCAGGTCTAAGGGATACAGGCAGGATTTTGCCTCTGTCATGCCACTGATGGGCAGTCTAGGACTCTTCTGTAGAAAGATGACTTGAAAATTGAGAGGACGGTATCCCTCACTGAGGATCATCTGGAGCTTGATGGCCTGAACATGAGAGGAGATAAATCGGGTTATTAGATTTAAAAGACATGGACCAAAAAGGAGCAAAAGTAGGAGACTAACAAGTAGGCCTAAAAAGGGAAGAACCCAGTTGAACCATTTCTAGTTTCCTTCCCAATTTAACGAACCCTGAGAGGCTTGTTCCCGTAAATTGGATTTGGGAGTTGTGTGATGTTGCCTTGTACGTTTCTTGATTGTTTTACCTAAAAGCAACATTTTTCATCTGAGGCTAAACAAATTCCTCCCTGTGCTGCCATTAACCTGTCTAGCCCTTGATGATTTTTGGAGGACTATAGCTGCTAAATAATTTATTTGTTCTTGCATGGTTGTTAAGGTCTTAGCCATGGCATCAATGTTGTTGGGTATTTCCTTTGAGAGTTGGCTATAGATTAAAAAGGACTTTATAATTCTAGCAATTTCAGTTCCTGTATCAGCTATAATGCCGAGTCCCGTGAGAAGGAGAATTAATTGGATAGCCCTCCTCATCCTGGGCAAGATGAAATGCCCATGGATTGCTACTGGAAGAGACAGATTGCCAGGGACTCTGAGGACGTCTGGGCATACTTCAGTTCAGTTAGTGGGGAGGCACTGGTGAATAGATTGGCCACAAAGACAGAAGGCTCCTTCGGTTTTAAGACAAGTAGATATGGACAAACAAAATAAGGGGGTGAGGACAGCTCCAAAAAATCCCAAGGCTACCGACACACCCAGGTAGCTGGTGGCCATACTCATGCCTGCTGAGAATGGGATGCAGGTTTGGCTCTGGTTAGTTTCCTTGGTTTTATTTTCCCAAAATAGAGAATTTCAAGTTTGGTCCAGTAGAGCCCATTCTGCTGTAGAGTTGAGATTGGCAATTTGCAGATATTAGTTATAATCCGCAGGCCAAAACCAGAAATTTTGAGCACTGCATGAGGTTGGGCATCCCTGGCAAAACTGGATGGACTTATCTAGCAAAGTTCCCTGAGGAAAGGTAATAGTTGGAGGTTTGGGAATCTTGGTTGATGGCAAAATTCATTGCAGATGTATGTTCGGTAAATTTGTTGATGAGGATCTACAGTGAGAGTAACACTACAAACTGTACTGGGGAGAGCACCTATATCCATTCCATTTTTCCATGTACCTGTAACACAGATAGGGGCTATTCCCATTAAAGTGATATTAGAAAAGATGGCTCTGAAAATGGGAGATTCCTTGTGGATATCAGGGAAATCTTGCTTTACTTTTGCAAGAAGGCTTGCAGGCTTGAACATCCCTTTCAGATTAGGGTCCCACTGATAGAAAATATGTAATTCTGCCTCTATGCTTGTCCAGTCTCTGGGCGAGGCTGCATAAGCTCTTCCTGGTGTTTTAGCGGAAGAGCTAGTACATAATCAGCAATTGGTGGAGTAAGGGGATTCTGTGCTTTGGAGCAATTGTTGAGCTTTTGCCAATAACAGGAAATGAGGATGGTAATACACTGCTAGTAAAGGAGTGAGAATGAGAACCCGCAGGAGTAGGCCCATGGTGACCTAAGGTGATTGTAAAAAAGAGAAATTGGTCACAAAGCAAGCTGCCACTGGAATTCCTGGTGGTGTACAAGTTAGGTTGAAAATAGTGATAACAACCAGAGCTATTGTGAGTAAAATTCCTAATATTAAGATCACCTTACTTTGAGGTGAAAGGATGTTTGAGGGCATTACTTATCTTTTTGCTTAAAGAGGAATTTCAGATCTTCCAGTGCCTCTCGAGTATATTCTATAACTGAGGGTGTTGGTTCCAGTTCTGATGTTTCAGGGCTTTTCCACAGCTTCACTTGGGTACGATGTATCCAGCTGGCAATCTCTGGTACTTTAATGACTGCGGGGGTAATAATAGCACAGTGAAGGGGCCCTTCCAGATTCGAGTTAGTTGGGAATTCGGAATTCCATCCTTCCAAGCTTTAATGAGAACTAGTGAGCCTGGAGGATATAGTGGTGGAGATTTTTTCCCTTCTGATTTTGGGTTTGTTTGTAATCCATATTCCCAGAAAGCCTATTGGAAGCCTGCTAAAGAGACATACTGGGTGATTTTGGCAGTTTCTTCATTTAGTAATAAGTCTAAATATAAGAATGGTCTACCATAGAAGGCTTCAATTAAGGCTTTGAAGAGGCTTAATTGAAGGGAGACTTAGGGGCAATATGAATCTGAAGGAGGGCTAAAGGTAGGAGGTCCACCCATGGCTGTGTTGTTTCCTGACAGAATATATCGAGGATGCATTTGAGGGTTTGATTAGTTTTTTCTACTTTTCCTGAAGATTGTGGTCTTCAGGCAGAGTGAAAGTACCACTTTATGCCTAGGGCACTACTAACCTGTTGAGTTACTTGGGAAATGAAGGATGGACCATTGTCCTTTGCAATGACCTGGGGAGCCTGAATTGGGGAATGAGTCCCTTTAGGGGGAATTTAACTACCTCCTGTGCATTTTTAGTCCTTGTGGGGTAGGCTTCTACCCCTCCTTGAAGGTGTCTACACAGACCAAGAGATACTTACACCCAGCATGCAGGGAGCTGAGTGAAATTCATCTGCCGGTCCTCCCCAGGGTATGTACCTCTCTTTTGTATTGGATTTATTAATGGAGGGGGCTTCTGTCTTTGGGGATTATTTATGGTGCACAAGGTGCAGGCTTGACAAGCCTATTGAATAGTTTTGTCTAGTCCCTTCCCACTGAGCACCTGTTTACAAATTTGCCATAGACTGTCCTATCTAAGGTGGCAGGAGTTGTGTAAACTCTTGCTGACTTTCCATTTGGAGTCTTTAGGTAGATAGAGAAGTTCTCCCAACCTGTACCATCCACTGGTTTCTTTTTTATACCCATGTTGGAGGGCCCAATCTATTCCTTATTGGAGAGGGGGCAGTTCACTGGGGAGAGAGGGGAGCAAGGGTCCCATGAAGGTATCTTTTGAGATGGCTGCCTCTTTTCTGTTGGTCAGCTAACCTATTTCCCCATACAGTTTCATTGGAGCCCCTCTGGTGTCCTTTACAGTACACTACTGCCACTTCCTGGGGCAAATGAGCAGTCTCTAATAGCTCTGAGATTTGAGGCCTGTACTTAATAGGAGTATCCCAAGTTGTTAGGTACCCCCTTTCCTTCCAGACAGGCAGGTGGGTGTGAAGCACCAGAAAGGCATATTTGGAATCTGTATAGATGGTTATTCTTTTCCTTTCACTTAATTTTAGGGCTCTGGTCAGTGTGATGAGTTTGGCTAATTACACTGAGGTCATCGGGGACAGAGCGTTAGCCTCTGTAATTTGGTGAAGAGACACTATAGCATACCTGCATATCTAATTCTATTTCTGACAAAGCTACTCCCATCTGAAAACCATCCAGATTATCTAGGGGCTGATCTCTTAAGTCTTCCAAGCTGACATACGTTTGACTAAGTATCTCACAACATGAATGTGTTGAGTTATCCTTTTCTGGTAGTGGCAATAAGGAGCCTGGGTTAAGGGTGGGGCACCACTCAACTGTGGGTTTTCTAACAACAAGACTTGGGACTTCAGCAGTCTGTTGTCAGTGAGCCATTGTGGTCCTTTTATGTCCAATAAGGGGCCTATTTGGTGGGACATCAGGAGCAGGATTGGCTGTCCCATGGTGATTTTGAGGGCCTCCTGGAGTAGGATGGCTGCTGCAGCCACTACCTTGAGGCAGTGTGACCATCCTTGTGCTACTGGGTCTAGGTTCTTTGAAAATTAACTTATAGGATGTTTGATTGGCCCAATGGTTTGAGTTAGAACTCCTAGGGCTACACATTGCCTTTCAGTGATGAAAAGCTGAAATGGTTTGGTTAGTATGAGTAGCCCAAGGGCTGGGGCTTGTGAGAGGGCAGTTTTTAGCTGTTTAAAGGCTTGCTCTTGATCCCTTCCCCAGAGAAATGGATCCCTATCAGTCCCTTCTTTTAGTGCCTGATATAAAGACTTAACAATTCCACCATATCCCAGTACCCAAAGTCTGCAATATCCTGTGATCCCCAGAAAAGTGCAAAGTTACTATCAGGTGGTTGGGGTAAGTATACTAAGGAAGGCTTGTATCTGTTCTGGGGAGAGCTTATGTTCTCTGGGGGTCAGGATTATTCCCAGGTATTGGACCTCTTAACTTGGTAGCTGTGCCTTGGCCTTGGATACCTTGTCCTTGGATACCCTCTGTCTGTGAGGAAATTTAGTGTCTGGACTAGATGTTGGATTCCTAACTCTTGTAGGGGAGCAGATTGATAGGTCATCCATGTGCTGTAGGAGATGCCTTCCCCACCTCAAGAATTAGGTCCTGCAAATCTCTAGCTAAGACTTGCCCAAACAAATGGGGACTATCTCTGAAGCCTTGTAGAAGGACTGTCCAGGTAAGCTGTTGACTCCTTCCTTTTTCATTTTCCCACTCAAATGCAAATAGAAATTGGGAAGTTGGGTCTCAGAGGGTACAAAAGAAAGTGAGTTTGAGATCTAAGACTGAAAACCACTGAGCATCTGAAGGACTTCTGCTAGAATTACATATGGGTTGGGGACTATTGGGTATATAGAGACTACTGCCTCTTTTTTGATTTGCAGGCCCTGGACCATCCTGTATTCTCCATTGCTCTTTTTAAAAGGTAAGATAGGCATGTTACAGGGTGAATTACAGGGTAGTAGTAATTCATGTTCTAGAAATTTTTCAATCAGCAGCCAAAGTCCCTCTTTGGCCTCCTGCCAAAGAGGAAGCTGACTTCTACAAGGATAGCTAGAAGGATCTTTAAGCTGAATTGCTACAGGCATTGCCATTATGGTGTTTCCTGGTATTCCTGGGGCCTGGACCTCTGGATTATTGGGAAGGTCTGTGGGCAGCTCATCCTTGTGTGTGGTTTCCTTGAGGCATAAGATCGCATTTGGAAAGGGAGTGTTGGCCCTGGAGGAAAGATTAACTGAGCCCTGAGTCTACGCAAAATATCTCTACCCAAAAGGGGCAGAGGACATTCTGGCAACACTAAAAATGAATGAGCAAAGACAGTTTTCCCCCATAGGCAGCATGGAGGAAGAGTAAACCTCTGGGTTATGGGTACTCCATTTACCCCCATCACCTGGCGGATTTGGAGGATTTGGAGGATAATTGCCAAGGAAAAGAGATAAGCACCGAGCAGGCCACTTCCATGTCCAAAAGAAAACTTATAGTACTACCTGCCACGTCCAAAGCAGCCCTTGGCACTGTCCCTTCAATAGTGATGTTCAATCCGGGAGCAGACCAGAGCATAGGGCCCCTTTAGCTCAAGGCCATCAGGGTTGAGATTCTGTCCCTGGGACCCTTCAGCCCTCAGGGCAGTTCTGTTTCCAGTGGCAGAGCTTGTGGCAGAGGGGGCAAGCCGCGCAGGGCTTCTTCCCTTTGTCCCATCGGGGCAGTTTGCCTTCCAGTGGCCTGGCTTCCCACACTGATGGCAGTTACCTGGGAGAGTATTCTGAGTGCAACCTGGAAAGGGCTGGCAGACTTGTAGGACAACCAGTAGAGCTTTTCCTTTTGCCTCTCATTTTGCTGAGCCCTTTCCTTTTCCTCCTGGTCCTGGTTGTAAAAGACCAAGGAAGCTATTTTAAGGATGTCAGGTGTAGGGGTGTTGGGGCCTAGTGCTAGTTTTTGGAGTTTCTTCTGAATATCTTGAGTTAGGAAACTTGAGTTAGGAAACGGCCCTTTAGGACCAGTTACCCTACTTGTGTCTCTAGGTCTAGGTTAGTATGTTTCACTAGGGCCTCTTATAGCCTCTCTAGGAAAGTGGTGGGGTTTTCAAGAGGGCCTTGATTTATTAAGGCAAATTTAGTATAGTTCACAGGCTTTGCTCTGCTAGTTTTCAATCTTCTACCAGACAGAGAAACATGTGGTTCCTTGCCCACATACCCCACTGGTTATTGTATTCCCAATTGGGGTTGACCTGGGGAACTGTGGTGACCCCACAGAGTAGCCACCAGAGTCAGTCATGTACATTGTGTTTACAAATTGTTGGGCTGCCTCCATAACGTAGTCGTGTTCTCCCTTAGACAGTGTTTACCCTAGTATGACTGAGAGGTCCCTCCAGGTGAGTTCAAATGTTAAGCCCAGTTTACAGGAACCCTTTGATGTATTTGTCAGGGTCCTCCAGAAACTTCCCTAGTTCCATTTTAATTTGGCTCAGGTCTTGCAGTCAGTCTGGACTCTGGTGGGTACACTAGGGTCATTAACCTCCTGAAGGGGGCATACTTAAGAGGGTGGGGTCCAGAGGATGGCCCTGGGTAGGGAGGGGAGAGCACCAGGGCTGGGAGACTTGGATATAATAGGGTAGAAGGGGCAGTGGGGTTTGTGCTAAGCTCTGTCCTTGGTTCTTCTGGGGCTTGAGCCCTGGGTAAACCTTATAAAAGGTCTCCCAAACCAACCAGAGGGGGCTGCCTGACTATGGCTGCTATCATCCCTGGATCCATTTTATAAGCCCAACAAAGGTCAGGGTTATTTTCTAGAGTCATGAAGGCCTGTACATAGGGGATTTTTGTCCCTTTTCCCTGTTAGTGGCAAAACAAATCTAGTTGATAGATTGTACTAAAATGTGTGCTTCCATTCGCTAGCCAAGATTCCTAGTCCTGGAGCTTGTATTCAACCCAGGCTGTGTTATAGAAAAATATTAACCTTTTCTGTGTTACAGAAAAATATAAATCCAAACCTTTAGCGTTTGGGGGTCAAACTTTTCCCTGTTCTTGCGGATGCTTCTGAGGGGTGTGTCCTGTGGTATGGAGACATGATTATCCATCTGTGAAGAGAGAACAGAGGAGACAAAAAGGAAAAAGAAGGCATACCCTCTTATTTCCCTGTCATCCTTTCCTGAACAGGGCATCCCCCATTCATCCTTAGGGTTCTGAAATGAACCAGTCTTACCAGGTACCCTTAACCTTGATCCTGTCTCATCACAATTACCCACTTGAGAACAGAAGAGATAGCAGAGTAAATAGGGACCCCCTATTCATCTTTGGGGTTCTGGAATGAACTATTCTTACCAGGTACTACTAACCTTGACTTCACCTCTGTTCTAATGGTAATTTGTTCTGTGCCTATAGCCTAGGACCAGCCTTTATCTCTGTCCTATGGGTACTTTTGTCTCTTGTACCTATGACCTTGAGCTGGCCTATATCCTTGTCTCCATGTCCTTACAGTGACTCTCACTTGGAGAATTCTAGCACAAAATGATTATCTCTTTTCTTATAATCCCATTTCCCATGTTTTTTAGTAGATGAGAAGCCTGTTTTTCAGCAAATTACTACAAGGGACTGAATTCCCCTTTCTTTGAATATGACCTTGAAGGTCTTGATGTATATTGAGAGCATGGAAGTGATTAGAGAAATGGAAGAAAATTTGTATTTGGGGTTTTTCATCCTCCCAGGGTAATCTGCAGAACAAATGCTTAAACAGGTAGGACAATCTCTCTGCTCCAGGAGGAAGCAGGAGGAAGCAAGGGGGATACTCACGGAAAGCCTCATATGCTCACAAAAACAGCAGCCCTTGAATTTGAGAGGGCAATATTTGTGTACCTTCTTGACATAAAGGAGGAACCTCCGAAGGACTTGGGGTTTGGGATAAGGGCTCACAGATGGCAAAGGAAGAATTTTCCCTCATTCCAAAGGGTTGCTAACCCCCAAAAAAGCAAGTAGGTGGAGTCCTTAAAGTGCCACAGAGTGAGATCCTATGCAGAACTGCTTGAAAAGCCACCAAAAACTTGGCCCTGGAGCATAATAGGAATGACAAGCGTATGGCAAATCATAAGGAGCTGTCAGAGCTGGGGTTCCAACTGGTGTGTGTCCCATCAGTGAGCCAACAGACATCTGCAAGGGAGCCCATTTCTTCACTGCTGTGCAAGCACAGCAAGAGCTATGGCTGCACGAATAATAGGGAGTGTGTGTTTAAGGCAGAGAAGGAAGTCGTGTCATGTGAAGTGAAAACAGAGAAGAGACAGACTTGCCCCTAAGGCGGACAGTCCTGTAGGTGTACAAGGCCATTTCAGAATATACACAGAGATAACAGGAGAGTAGGTGGTGCAGGCGTTTGGAAAAGAGCCAGTTTTCGTTGAAAAAGCAGAGGAAACCCCAGACATTGCACAGTCTTAGGGTTCAGCCCTATGACTCTTGCAAGCCTCCTGTTCAGGAAGGCCTTTAGTGTCTCAGGTCTACTTGGTGCAGACTCCAAGGTCCTTCCCACCCCCATGAGCCACCCATCAGGGTGAGCTGAGAGATCAGCTCAGTGAGGAGCCGAGCCTCTTTGGCTGAGAGGACTCGTTCTGGGGGTTGCTTAGTAAGCAGGAGAGAGAAACTGAGGAGAGGGAAACCATGTATGGGAGTTGAACACCTTCAGCCAAAGGTGAGGCATAGAGGTGTCTTACCACTATGGAACATATCTGAGTCACACACCAAAGTATGTTAGCAGTGGCAAATCCATACAGGTCTGCACTAACTCGATTCTTGCCTCCTCAAAAGAAAGAATTCATCCAAGGAGCATGGGCAGAGTGAGAGACTGAGGCAAGTTTTTGAGCAGTAGTGAAAATTTGTTAAAAAGTTTCTGGGCAGGAACGAAAGGAAGTAAAGTACACTTGGAAGAGGGCCAAATGAGCAACTTGAGAGATCCAGGTGCCCTGTGTGACCTTTGACTTGGGGTTTTATACAGTGGCATGCTTCTGGGGTGCATCTGTCCTCCCTTGAGTTTTCCTTGGGGTGAGCTGTCCATATGCAAAATGGCCTGCCAGCACTTGGGAGGGGCCACATGCAGTGTGTGCCGAAGTTGTGCACGTGCTCATTTGAGGTCTTACCAGTTGAGTGTTCCTAGAGAAAGGTCATATATCAGTTAAACTCTGCCATTTGCCTCTTAGTGCAAATGCTTGAGCCCACTTGCCCAGCTCATGATCACCAGCTTCAGGTGTTTTTTATCTATTGGGAGACTGCCTTTCCCTGTCACTGGTTGTGACCAATCCTTATTATTTTATTATTTTAGAGAGACAGTTTAACAATTGCCTGACATTGGGGGTGGTGGGGGACCTCTCCTGCCCTGCTCATGTGTGCCTAGCTACATACTCTAGCACTAAGACTGGAAATAACTACTTGCCATTTATCAGGACCTTGGATCATGGATATATTGGTGTTAACCATCTGTGTGCTCTCTTTGGTATATGATTATGTTAACCTTAATGATTCCCAATGAAGTTGAGCAGAGTGCCCCTAAAGGACTTTTCTGAGTAGCTATTTCAGAGTTAAGATTTTTTCAAACGATACCTTCCAGCACACCCACCAACCTCCCCCATTGTAATCTGCTCTCTAGGTTAGTGTGGGCCTGGGTTATGTAACTGAAGTAATCAGCCCTGGTAGCTGATGGAGTGTATCTTTTGGGTATCTGAAGGCAGAAATTATGTTGAGAGCCATAAGTTCCCTTGACTCTTTATTAAGTGTGACATATTAATCCTCGTTTGTAGAGCTTTATGTGGAAATGTCAATCTAGTCGTTGTGGAAAAACCTGGGCTCAGAAATGCCTTGCATTTCATTTGAAAGTATGATGCAGCTACAGCTGGGATTCGGTCTCTTTTAGGGATGGGATTCAGGGCAAAAGGGAAACCATTCTGTGAAGATTGGCCCTAGAATGGCACCTTTGTCTTAGTTCCTCTTGATTTACTTTGGGATCCTTCAAGTTTCTAGCTTGGCTGGGTTGCTTTTGGAGCCAAAGATAGTTCCAATTCAATTGTTAGCATTAATGAGTTCTTACTAGCATTTTGTGAGGAGTACTGCAAATCATACCACAAAGGGTATGAAACCCTAGCTTGTGGGGCAGGGAGGGTGAGCTAGATTGTTTCTTCTTGGATTAATACCAGACATATTTCCCTTGGTGGAGATCCATTCTTCTCTGTGTGGGAATGTTTAACGTTCACACTGTTAGGTGAGGGTCTCGTTCAGATAATTTTTTTAAAATGCACATTTTAAAACTTATCTTAAAAAAATCCACAAACCCAACAAAATATTTCTTTTTTCATGATGACTTATTCAGAAATTTGAAAGGCCAAAAGCCTTTTTGATGTATGTGAGAGCTTTCTCTGTCATATGGGGTCTACCAGTCATTTCAGCAAAGAGTTAAGTGAGGCCAAGGAGGCTTCCCTGGCAGCTTGGAAGCTTTGTGCAGCAGCCAAGCCGCGGGCTGAGAGAGGTGGATACTCATTTGTTTGTATATAAAACTTTCATTCCCAAAGTCTTAGATATCACATACAAGGAAAGATGATTGTGAAAATCAGTGATAAACTCAAGTATTTCTCGCCTGTTATGATTGCATTTGTTGTATCCGATTCTGCCTGACAGTATTTGCCACTTGATTGTCTAAACAGAGTTTTAACTGGTAGCAGGGTGAGCATTAATTATTCACATCTAGCAGCTGGCATAAATATGATTGTGTAGGCCCATGTATGTTAATGAGTCTTACAATAAAGCCTTTCGCTTGGAGATCTTCAGCCCTCCCTTCTTTTTGTACCATTTGTGAACTTCATTCTGGAATTGTGTGGCTTGGTAAGGTATAATGTTCTTTGCTTCTGAGGAACTGTGCTGAGGGCTTGTGCAGAGAGTGGCCCATCTAGAAATGTCTCTCAGGACCCTGAAGGCTCCCTTGTTTCCTTTTCCTGTTTCCAGTCGGGCTACAGCAACTGGGTCTGGATATAGCAACAGCACCCCCTAGTGTATTATAGGGTGAGCATGGGTTCCTGGTTAACTCAGTAAGGTGAGGTGTTCTGGCTTCATAGAGTGGAGTGTGAGAAACTGGCAACTTGGCATTTATTAAACAATATAGTTGAGGCTAAATATGCAACAGCAGCATGTCTTCCAGGTTTTGACAGCTGAGAAAGGAAGATAAAGACAGCAGGAAGATAGGGTTTTAGATTACTTTACAAGGATATGAAGGCTAAGGAGAGCCACAGGAGGGAATCAAGAGGTCACTGGGGAAGGGAGCTGTTCCAATGAATAGTTTGCTATTCTTCCAAAGAATCCAAATCTTGGCCATATGTGCAGAAAGGCCTGGCCACAAAGGCCTTCCATTGTTGGCTGAGACTGGAGACCTGCGATGGGGGTTCAAAGCCTTTTGTTAGATGTGAAACTGAAATTCCAAACACTCCAAGCAGTGACTTAAAGGCTACGAAAGTATAAATGACAGGTAGATATTTACCTCAGAACATAGTTTTGATTAAGGAAACTAGACCTTAAGAGAACAAAATGGGGGTGGGGATGGACTATAGAGAGAAGAAAAGAGGGATGCTTTCTTCATTTTGTTCATTTAACGAATATTTGCTGTTGAGCTGCTATTCAGTGCCAGCTTCTATTCTACATACTGGAAATACAGATGTGAATAAAACAGAGTTTCTCTCCTCATGCAGCTTACATTCTTTACAGTTGCCAATAAGCGGGTCACTACAGATCAGTTCTTATGTTTGTATTTTTGAAGTGTGATTTATTTACAGGCAGAATGTGATTTGAGGACATGGAAAGTACCCATCGTTCAAAATTGTTCCCCACCAACCAACCAGTTTTTTTCTGAAATTTCTCAACCAAAACCCCTTGTTAGTTGTTTTCTGAGAGGAGTAGTAATGAATCCAGTTGCTTTGACCTACACTTACTTCTAGTGAAAATGAATGACCTGATGAGACCTAGAGGGATGGGACACTGGGGGGTGGAATTACAATATTGGGACTAGCAAGCTGTAGCCTTGGTGAGTTTGTTTCAGGACCAAGTTTTCCTTATCTATAGAAGTAGCTGTATTCCTGTCAGGTCCCTTCTAGCTCTTATTCTATTTTGTGTGGCAGATAGCATCCAAGAAGATGTAGGACCGGGTGCGGTGGCTCACACCTGTAATCCCAGCACTTTGGGAGGCCGAGGCAGGCGGATCATCTGGGGTCAGGAGTTTGAGACCAGCCTGACCAACATGGAGAAACCCCGTCTCTACTACAAACACAAAATTAGCCGGGCGTGGTGGTGCATGCTTGTAATCCCAGCTACTTGGGAGGCTGAGACAGGGGAATTGCTTGAACTCGGGAGGCGGAAGTTGCAGTGAGCCAAGATTGTGCCATCGCACTCCAGCCTGGGTAACAAGAGCGAAACTCCATCTCAAAAAAAAAAAAAAAAAAAGAAGGTGTGTAGAGCATGGGGCACCCCTGGGACCCCTGGAAAATTATTTGGGGGTAGGAGTAGGACCAGATTAGACACTGAAAAAAAACATGGAGAAGGAACATGATTTGACAGTCAAATTTAGGCTATTTAAAAAAATATTTCTAGGGCATTTATTCTTGGGTTCAATTTCTGACTATAAATTATCTGGAAGGGAGGGTGATACTATGAATATGGTTTTTGCAGATTTTTTGGGAAAGCCCAGTTGGTTTTACTTTTGTGGGTCAAATTAGTTTTGAAGATTATCTATAAAGCTTTCAGTGATAGACCTGACCCCCAAGCCACAGCTGCTTAAATAGCTGTGTGCTGTGGATTTTCTTGTTGTGCAGTGTTTCCTTTTAACTTTCCTGTTCAGGGCAGAAACAGAGTAATGCAGGCCCATATTCTTTGAATCCTAGAGAGCAAGTGACCTACTTACTATTGTACCTGAAATATTCAACTAGAGTATATTTTAGGAAATACTTTTTCAGCTTTAAACATGACTTTGCTTCTGTGAATAAACACTTCAATCGAGAGACACTGACAGGTATTCTGGGCTGTTCTCCTGACCCGTTGTGTAACTTTGGATACTGTATGACTTTTCTCCTTGGAAAGAGGCAATGTAAAATCCATGGGTTTCTTTAGAAAAGACAATTTGTAACTACACCCTTATAGGTGCATGTGATGAAGATTAGTGAAAGTTTTCATTGGGTTTAGAAATTTTAGAAATGCAGGAGGCCGGGTGCGGTGGCTCAAGCCTGTAATGCCAGCACTTTGAGAGGCTGAGACAGGAGGATTGTTTGAGACCAGGAATTTGAGACCAGCCTAGGCAACATAGTGAGACCTCATCACTACAAAAATTATACAAAATTAGTCGAGAGTGGTGGCACACACTTGTAGTCCCAGCTACACAGGAGGCTGAGGTGGGAGGATCTCTTGAGTCCGGGAGGTTGAGGCTGCAGTGAGCTGCGATCATGCCACTGCACTCCAGTGTGGGCGACAAAGTGAAATGCAGGAGTTATTTGCTGGGTTCTTTAACAGCTGGAAGATGTGGGTTCTGGTATTCATAGTTTATTGGCCAGGATTTTCTTTATTTTGTGGTCCTCCTCTTTGCAGGTTTCAGCCTCCCTGTGAAGACCAAAGTACCTGTGTAAACAGGATTCCAGGATGGAATATGAGTAGGTTTTTTGTTTGCAAAATTTCTTACTATACATGGCTAACTTTTAAAGAAGTAACACAATGGACCAACCGAAAGACAGAAACCTTGGGTAGCTTTGTAATTTTCTATGTGTGTGTTCTGCCACCTGCTGGAGAAGGATCACCACGCTTGGGAAGCTGGCTGGCAAAGCAGGGGAGGGTGTGTAATCTGGCTCCTTCAGCCCTCTTCTAGGACTGGGCAGAGTACAGGAAAACTCACAAAATGCTGTGGTGTGCTTGGTTTTCTGTTGGATCTCCCTAATTGGCAACTAGAGTTATCCCACAGGGATTTCCCCTTCAGCCTGCTGAGCTCACGGCCAGCCACCTCAGGCCCAGGCTACTCTGTGAGCCCCGCTCAGGCCCAGGCTGCTCTGTGAGCCCCGCTCAGGCCCAGGCTGCTCTGTGAGCCCTGCTCAGGCCCAGGCTGCTCTGTGAGCCCCGCTCACATCATGCGCTGGCCTCATTCCTCTGAGTATCCAGTATGTTGACTGGGATCGCCTTGAAATACTTTAAACTGGTTCAAAGTGGAAACAAAACAAAACATTAAATCCAAAGTAGGGGGCAGGGTGGCCACCTTTGTTGTGACATCTATAAGAGGGCCAACTGACCTATTCAGGAAAAGAATGGCCTTTTTTTCCTGAGATTATAGTCTCCCTCCTTTTTAGTGTTAAAATGCATTTTTACAGAATGATTCTGAGAGATGAGGGTTATCACTGTAAACGTATATTTGCTTGGCAAAAGAAAAAGCAAATGTAAATCAGTTCCCTAATTCTTTTAATATATTTTCCTATCTGTAAAATACCAAAGTCTGGCCAAATGCAGTTTGCTACTCCCTGTGGTCAGTCTTACCTTTCCCTTTATTTGACAACTTAGGCAGAAAAGTGGGGTCAACAATCCTCAGTTGTAACTTCCTTATTTTCCCTGTCAAATTCTCCATGGATTTTTCTGTGCTGTGACCCACATAGAAACACAAAAATAATAGTGTGGTGGAATGAGGATAATGTTTCTTCACTAACTGGGTCACTGTTTTATAGATAAATTTTGGTCTAGAGTAAATGGTTGGCCTGATTTTGCACCCCTTTGGATCATTTTGTTCCTCTGGAGTTCTGGATGGAATGTGACCTTCCTGGATGGATGTGTATGTGGGACTCCCATGGGCAAGACTTAGATTTTTGGCAGCCAGACCCTCAAGGCAACTGGGAGAGGATGTGGAGGCTCAGCCTCCCTGTTATTTGAAATTTCTCAGAGGCACACAATAATTTTGAAAGATTTTTAAATGGGAATAAGACATTTTAATATCTATGATTAATTTAAATAATTTTATCAACTGAAGTAATGAAACAGACTTCTGTATTAAGGGATATAATTACAGAAGAATATTATTTTTAAAAAATGTTTTACAGCCTCAATTTAAATAAATTGTAAAGTTTAAAGAAAAAATGTGGATCTACTCTGATTGAGACAGGTTTTGTGTTTGGCTTTATGGAGTCTAAATTGAAAATTGCTAGTGTAGAAAACCTGAACTGAGATTTATTTTTGAGAAGATATTTAAAGAGAACAGATAGTTGAGATCTAAGTAGGTAGAGGCTGGGAAAATGAGTTTGTACTGAAGCCAGAACACATGGTGTCTTCACTGGAAATGAATGTTCCCAAAGAATAAACTTTTGTTTGTGTGTATTTATTTATCAGTAGTAACAATTGCTTTTGAATGAGCTAGGACATTTATGATTATAGGGTGTGGGTTTCTTATGGGCACACACAGAGACTGTGAGCTCAAGGCCATGTGAAGAAGGTGGAAATATCTTCCCCGGTTAATTTTCATGGGCCAGATTGTTAGAAATATGTCCAAGAAGTGACTTCATAAAACTTTGAAACTTGGCTGAAAACCCTGGCAGATCTGCATCATCTGGTAAATATTTAAGACCTTGTATATATTATTTTCAAGGAAAGGTAATAAACTGTAGAATTTTTTTTTTCAACAAAAATGAAACACTGTGGGGTTGTTAGCTTTTGCATCAGAACTTTGGTAAGAAAATGTGTTTGTTTTGGTTTTAGGTTTTTTTTGGTTATTTATTTATTTATTTATTTTTTTGAGACAGAGTCTTGCTCTGTCAGCCAGGCTGGAGTGCAGTGGCACGATCTCGGCTCACTGCAAACTCCCTCTCCTGGGCTCAAGCAATTCTCCTGCCTCAGCCTCCCGAGTAGCTGGGTTTACAGGCGTGTGCCACCATGCCCGGCTAATTTTTATGTATTTTTTTAGTAGAGATGGAGTTTCACCATGTTGGCCAGGGTGGTCTTGGACTCCTGACCTCAGGTAATCTGCCCGCCTCGGCCTCCCAAAGTGCTGGGATTACAGGCGTGAGCCACCGCGCCTGGCCCGTTTTGGTGTTTGTTTGTTTGTTTGTTTGTTTTGTTTTTTCCCCAGAGGGGGAGAAAAGAGATCTCATTTCTGATAGATTTAGGTCAGTTTAAATTCTTTTTCACTGAGGTTGACCTGATCAAAGTTTGCCTAGTGACTCAGCAAAGTCTTGCCATGTGGAGGCTTCATTTTTCATCACCTGTTGGTTTTTCCTTTTCTTAAAAATTTATTTCTTTATAGAGACATTTTGATATCATTTTAAAATCTCAGCACGTGACAAATACAAACTGAAAGTGCGAATTCTCATGTAATAAGAAAATTAGAAAGCAGACAAATATCAAGGCCATCTTTCCTCAGGTGATAGCCTTTTGTTAATGATAGTATCTTGGTTTCCTCAGGTGATAGCCTAATTAATGACATCATCTTGTATTTCTGTCCTAATGAAATTCACTTCTGTCATCTCAGGTAAATGGTAAAGAACTCATGGGTAAAGGTAAATGGGTAGAATACTCACGTTCCTATTTTAAAACTTGAGAAATAGAATCACAGATCAAGAATGACTTTCCTGTCTCCCTTTTTCTCAATTCATTGTTCTACTGGTAATAAGGATAACACAGATGTTAACAACTTACTTAATGCCAAAACACTTTACATGTATTATTTTATTTTATTATTTCTTGTGAGATAGGTATATTCCCATTTTTTTCAGATGAGGAGAGAGTGACTTTCAGAGATTTTTTTTTTTTTTTTTTGAGACGGAGTCTTGCTGTGTCGCCAGGCTGTAGTGCAGTGGCGCGATATTGGCTCGCTGCAACCTCCACCTCCCTGGTTCAAGTGATTCTCCTACCTCAGCCTCCCAAGTAGCTGGGATTACAGGCGCGTGCCACCACGCCCAGCTAATTTTTGTATTTTCAGTAGAGACGAGGTTTCACCATGTTGGCCAGGATGGTCATCTCTTGACCTCATGATCTGCCCACCTTGGCCTCCCAAAGTGCTGGGATTACAGGTGTGGGCCACTGTGGCCAGCCAACTTACAGAGATTTTAAAAATTACTGAAATTTACAAAGCTGGAAAATGGCAGAACTGGGAACTGACCCATTTCTGACTTCATGGCCTGTGCTTTAAACTGTTACACCATATGTCTGTCCAGTTATATGCTACAGAGAAAGCAACTTCCACAGGCCAGTTGAAGCCAGCTGCCTTTTACTGGGCTCCCAGCCTGGTTACCGTCCTCCTATTTCTGACATTAAGCAAAGCAGAAGGTTGATTTAGACCTCCCAGGAAAGGGTTCTGGAAAAGCTACAGGACCCTGTTCTTGAGCTCAGGGTCATCTGTCACTGGTAAGACCCCTCTCTAAGATGTTTTAAAACAGCATGTCAAAGACACAGTAAATGAATATATCCTCTATGTAAAGGCTTAGTAAACAGCAGCTCAGTAATTGCCCTAAGTGTAAGCAGGCAAGCCAGAGGCCTCAAACTGGACACGCCTTCCCAGTGTGTAGGCAGGCATCATCTCATAAGATTTACTCCCACCCTGGCCTCTTCCCTTTTCTGTTGACTTGGCCAGAGTCTCAGCTTTTCCTTACCAAAGATCAAAACTAAGACTTCTTGGCTCTCCAAATCAGATCGTCACTAGAGTTTGGCCTGCTGTCAGTAAAGACAAGCTGAGTTGGCCTGAACTTTCCTCCCTTGGCATCCCAGGAAATTGAACCTCTGCTGAAGGACCTGAAAACAACACCTGTCTGTCTCATACCGTAGACATAGCTTTGACTCAAAAACTGAACGTTCCTGATGCCAGGTAAATGGTATCTCAGGGGATGCCATCCAGACTCCCCAGCTTTTAACCCATTTATCTTTAGAAACTTAGCTTTTCTCTTTCAGACCCTTGGCCTGTAAACATGAAATTCTATTTGGGTACAAAGCTAATTCCAGAAAAGGGGGTCCTTTCTGGACTACTTCTGTTTTTGCATCGTAGTAGCCATCTATTGTTACTTTGTTGATTATTAATTTTCTAAAAGGAATAGTTTTGTAGGACACATACTCTAGACCCTATTTGTGCAAAATTTACTATAATGGAAGTTGCCTTAAATGCCTGACTCTGCACTGTTTGTTTTAGAAGGAGAAAAGACATTTAAACTCTGCATTTATCTTTCTGCTTGGTTCTGTGAGCTAGTGAGATTTAACTCTTCAATTTCCTCATGACTCAAAAATTCAAATATCTTAGCCACCCACCACAACAAAATATCACAAGTGTTCTTAGAGCTTTAGGAGGAGGAAGAGTGTGGTCAGAATGCTGCCTTCTTTCTAATACCACAGTCAAAAAACATTTTCTCACTTACTGATTCAATACAGAAAAACTGACCTTTCATTTTAGCTTTTGCATGTTAAGAACATGATTTCTAACATTCCATTCATTACAGCAAAAGCTCATTATTTTAAATGTCTCAGATGTTCATTATCATGCCATGTTTCCTCTTCTGCTTCCTAAGAGAGGAGGTAGTGTCACTCACATCTGGCAAATGGGAAAGAGTTAAACAGATAAGCCATGACTCATCAACCAACTCAGCTCTGGCCCCAGGCAGCAGGTGGTTCTTTTGATCTTTCACTAAATGGGGACTTTTACAGGAAACAGTCCTTGAGGAAGGCAGTTTAAGTAACTTGGCAGTTTTGTAAGCAGCATGCATGTAAACTAGAAGATAATCTTTTCATGCCCAAACATATTATAAATTAGGGATGGAACCAGATGCAAAAGGGACCCCAAACATGAGATTTCTGTATTGCACACATTATTCAGTCATGAGCCATGGAAACATAATTGGTAATGTCTTGCCTGTGTCTTGAATCCCAAATTGAAGACGGGGAATGAGGGGCTCTATATTTAGAAGGTTATGTATGATACCAAAGAAAATTACCAACATGGGATCAAGGAGTGAACAAATCAGTTTGAAACTGAGCAAGAAGATGGGTGCATCACCAGGAGGATGAAAGAGGATCAAGACTTGTAATATTCGAATGGGGAATATGCATCTATATCTGTGAGGTGGGGGTGGGTAGTTAACACTAGAACTATACTACAGTTACAACCAGGTGTCCAATATATGGACATTTATATTAAAGATTACAAAAATTTTAGTTTTTCTTTTTCTTTCTCTTTTCTTTTCTTTTTTTTTTAAGACGGAGTCTTGCTCTGTTGCCCAGGCTGGAGTGCAGTGGCACGATCTCGGCTCACTGCAACCTCCGCCTCCTAGGTTCAAGCAATTCTCCTGCCTCAGCCTCCTGAGTAGCTGGGACTACAGGCATGTGCCACCACGCCCGGCTATTTTTTTGTATTTTTAGTAGAGATGAGGTTTCACTGTGTTAGCCAGGATGGTCTTGATCTCCTGACCTCGTGATCCGCCCGTCTCGGCCTCCCAAAGTGCTGGGATTACAGGTATGAGCCACTGCATCTGGCCTATTTTAGTTTTTCTTAACTCCCTTTATTATCCCTTGAAAGAAGTCTTGTGACTTTAAGTACCTTCATGGGCCATGCAGTTAATATCCTAGTAAACCACGCTAGATGTAAGATGGCAGGGAATGGTAGGCCCTATAGCAATTGGACATTGATATTAACACACACACACACACACACAGACACATACACATACACACACACACATATGCCCTATAGCAACTGGGCATTGATATAAATACAGACACACACATTCTCATGCATATACATATCTACCTTCAAGAATTCTTAAGGTCATATTTCAGCTATTATTATTGTCACTAACCTGGTTCCCTGAGAGTATTTCACAATGCCAGGGAAGGGCAAGAAAAGAGGGGCTTCAGGACCTACATTTATAGGGCAGCAGTCATGTTTAAGTCTTCTAGTAAGCTCTCATCCAGCAGCATTGAGATAAACTAAATCAAATGGGTTCTAATGTTGGCTGTGGTAGATTCCATGAGATAGTGCCTCAGATGGTATTTGGATAATCTAGTCCCACTGAATGTTCATAAAAAATAGAAAGTTCCTCACAGGCAAGAGAGTTTAAAGAGATACACAAAGTAAGCTAAGAATACTTTGGATATTGTCTATTATACATTTTATGTATTGTCAGTAAAACAACCATTTGCATCTTCTCTTCAAACTACTAACTTTCCCTTCCTCATCCTTGCTTTCAGTTCATGACATTGCTTCCTATTTCACTGAGAACACTGAAGCTGTCAGGAAGGATGCCCACAGACCCATGCTCTCAATCATGTACTTACCAACATCTGTACCCCTGCATTCTGTTTTCACTCTCTTATTACATATGAACTGTTCATTCTCCTGTCAAAAGTCAGTTCCTCCTCTTCTGCATTGGATTCCACCACCTCTCACCTAGTCAAGAACATAGCTCCGGAGATTCTCCTCTCTTCATATATCATCAGTTTCTTCCTCTCTAGTAGGACACTTCCGTCAGCACACAAACTTGTCTCTCATCTTAAAAAATCATTTTTTGAGTCACTTTCCACTCCAGAAATCAACTCTTTTCTTGCCTCCCCATTTGCAGCAAAATTCCTTGGAAAAGTTGTCTACTTTTGGTGGTCTCTGATTCCCCTTCCTCTATTCTTTAAAAACTGCATTCAAGTTTTTCACTCTCCCCACGGCCCACACCATTGAAACTGCTCTTGCCAAGATCACAGGCAGTTTCCAGTTTGTTAAATCCAATGGTCAGTTTCTTGTTGCCAACTAATTTTATGTATCAGTTGCATTTTATATGATTAATTCCTCCCTTCTCCTTGATATAGTTTCTTCGCTTGGCTTTCAGGATTTCACATTCTTGGATTTCTCCTACCTCACTGGTCACTGTTTTTGGTCACCCTTGCTGATTACTCTTCTTATTGGACTCTTAAATTGTTGTGCTCAGGACTCAGTCCTAAGGCTTCTTTATCTATATTCACTCCCATTGTGATCTCTTGTGGCTTCAAATACTACCTATATGTTGATGGATCCTAAATTTATATGACTCAACCAAACATCACTCCTTAAGTCTACTTGTATATCTAACTTGACATCTCCACTTGTATGTCTAGTAGGTATCTCAAAATTACCATCTCTAAAACTGAATTTTTAAATCTCCCTTCCTGTGCCAGTTCAGATTCTTGGGAATATATGTCAAGATGGAATTAGAATTTCAAGAGATTTACTGGGGGAGAGTGGAGAGTCATGTCAGCAAGATGGCAGAGTCCTTCCACAACACAACAATTAGACAGCTATCCATGAATGAAAATAGCTTTAGGAGAGCCCAGGAGTCCAATTAAGAAGCTGCAGCGAGCTTGCAGTGAGCCAAGATCGCGCCACTGCACTCCAGCCTGGGAGACGACAGAGCGAGGCTCCATCTCAAAAAAAAAAAAAGAAGCTGCAGCAACATAGTGGAGAATTAAAAAAAAAAAAAAAAAAAACAACGGGTGGCATGAGAATAACTGCACTGCACAGAAAGGCTAGGAAGAACAGTTTCATTTTGCCTGCATTATTTCATTCCCCAGGCCAGCATAGCTCAGCACCAAGAGAGCACTCCCAGGCCTGTGAGTTCCCCTCATAGAGCAAAGTAGAGCAGGGTGAGCAACCTGCTTCCCCAGCCTTTTTGAGGGACTGCCTAAAGGACCTTCTTTGGTTGCACTCCACTAATACTGCTGAGGAGATCAGCATAACTGAGACATTTAGAAACAGATAAGAACAAAAGAGAAGGGTGGGGGCTATCAATATCACTATCAGCCATGGAGTGGGTGCCACCATGGTTCCCAGTGGACTGCTCTGCAAAGGACCTCAGCAGTCATCACAACTGCTATTAGCCCCCTGGAGAAGGAGACACTGCTGCACGCCTGCCCTCCTGCCCGCTGAGAAGGAGTTGCTGCTGCACCACTCAGGCTGGAGACACCACTCCACCCCCTTGGCAACTGCATGCATGCCTGTACCCTGGTCTTTCTGCATACACCTGTGCTCCAGACCCTGACTCTCAATTGCTTCATGAGTGCCTGTGTATTGCACACCAGCATCACTACCGCCGTGGACATGCCTGCACCTTGGACACAGGTACCACTGCTACAGCAGATGTGCCTGCACTCCTCAGCTTCATAGTTGTTCTAAGAACACCTGTGTTTCACACACTGGTGACACCACCATAGTGGGTACACCTGGGCCCTGGATTCCAGAGCCACAATCACTCCATGCATGCCTGTGCTCCAGACCCTGGATGTGGCTCCAAGAAGGATTCCCTTGGCCATGGGGGATAAAGAGAACAGGAGGACTCCAGCGGCCTTCACCACTGAAGATCTCAATAGCCTTTGCTGCCATTGAAGACACCTGCAATCTTAGCTGACACTGACCTCAGGTGATGGAGCTGCAAGAAACTACAGTGCTATGACCTCATCAGTGTTGGAACTGCCATGGTCCACCCAGACAATACCCTCACACTCATCCATGGGTGAAGGTCCTTCCCCACTGAAACCATCCAAAGCCTGGAAGAGGTGATGGCTTCCTCAAATGTATAGACATCAACGCAAAGCTATGAGAAACAAAAAATCAAGGAAACATATCACCAACAAGGGAACACAATAATTTTCCAGTAACTGACCCCAAAGAAATGGATATCTACAAATTACCTAACAAAGAATTCAGAGTAATCTTAAACTCTGAGCTACAAGAGAATACAGATAGACAACTAAACAAAAATTGGGAAAATAATACATGAAGAAAATGAGAAGTTTAACAAAGAGATAGATGCCATAAAAGAGAACCAAATGAATTCTGGAGCTGAAGAATACAATGATTGAAGTGAAAAATTCAGTAGAGAGCTTCAACAGCAGACTCTGTCAAATAGAAGAAAGAATCAGTAAACTTGACAGATCATTTGAAATGACCAAGTCAGAGGAGCAAAACAAAACAAAAAAAGAATTAATAAATCTGAAGTGACTTTTAGGGCCACTTTAAGCAAAACAATATGCGTATTATGGGAGTTCCAGAAGAAGCAGAGAAAGAGGCATAAGGCTTAATTAAGGAAGTAATGGCAGAAAATTTCTCAAATCTGATTAGAGAAATGAACATCTAGATCCATGATGCCTAAAACACCCCAAAGAGCCTGAACATTGAGAGATTTTTCACCAGGACACATTATACTTGAATTGTTTAAAGTCAAGAAAAAATAATTCTTAAAGCAGAAAGAGAAAAGCAACTCATTGTAAATAAGGAAATCCCCATAAAATTTTATGGCAGCAGATTTCTAAATAGAAACTTTGTGAGCTGAGAGAGAGTGGGATAATATACTCAAAGTACTGAAAGAAGAAAAACTACCATCCAAGAATACTATACCTGGGAAAATTGTTCTTTAAAAAAGAAGAGATTAATGTCTTTCTCAGAAAAACAAAAATTGAGTTTGTCACCACTAGATGTACCTTACAAGAAATCCCTAACGGAGTTTTAAAAATAGAAATGAAAACATGCCGATCAGCTGCACAAAAGCATATGAAAGCATAGATCTCACTGTAAATATAAATATATAGACATACAAATATTTATGTAACAGTGTAATGGTGGTGCATAATTTAACTTTAACCCTAATATTAAAGTTAAAAGATAAAAATTTGTTAATGGAATCACAATACAAAAAGAAACAAACTCTCACTACAAAACACAAAGTGTGTGTGGGAGGAGGGGAGTAAACATGTAGTGTTTTTGTATGCAATTGAAATTAAGTTATCAACTTAAACTAAACGGTATAACTACAAGATTATTTTATGCAATCTTCAAGCTAACCATAAAGAAAAAACCTACCATAGGTAAACAAAAAATAAGGATAAAAGGAACTAAGGAAAAGGAAGAAAGCAAAAGAGGAAAAGAGGGAAAATAAAAGCAAAAAAGAAAACAATTAACAAAATGGTAATAGTAAGTCCTCACTTATCAATAATTACCTTAAATGTAAATCCATTAGACAGACTCACCACTCAAAAGGCATAGAGTGGCTGAATGGATTAAAAAACAATATATACTGTCCACAAGAAACTCACTTGAGATTGAAAGACACCTTGACTGAAATTATAGGGATGGAAAAATGTAGTTCATGCAAATGGTAACCAAAATAAAGCAGAAGTGGCTATATTTATATCAGACAAAATAGATTTTAGGTTGGAAACTGTAGAGAAAAAGATGGTCATTATTAAATGATATAAGGGTCAATTTAACACGAATATATAACAATTTTAATTATATACACACCCAACATCACAGCACCTAATTATGTCCACAGATGTTGATAGATCTGAAGACCAAAATTGCCATCAATACAATTGTTGTAGGGAACTTCACTACCCCACTTATGCTAATGGATAGAACATCCAGACAGAAAATCAATAAAGAAACAGCTGACTTGAACAATGCTGTAGACCAAATGGAGCTAACAGACCTACACAGAACTTTCCATTTAACAGCAGAAGAATAAACTTCTAAAGCACACATGGAACATTCTCAAGGATATATCACATGTTAGCATATAACACGTGCCATTTGTTATGAAACAAATCTTAACAAGTAGAAGAAGATTGAAATCTTTTGAGGCATCTTTTCTGACCACTGTGGAATGAAAAGACATCAAGAAAACCAGAAAATTCACAAATACATGGAAACTGTGCAACATGCTTTTGAACTACCATTAAGTCAAAGACGAAATAAAAAAAGAATTTCAAAACTATCTCAAGACAAGTGAAAACAAAATCACCGCATATCAAATCCTGTGAGATGCAGCAAAAGCAATACTGAGAAGGAAGTTTATAGCAATCAATGCCTACATTAAAAAAAAGAGAAAGATGCCAAATAAACAACCTAACTTTACATCTCAAGGAACTGGAAAAAGAAGAATAAGCCAAAGCCAAACACAAAGCTAGCAAAAAGAAGGAAATAATAAAGATTAGAGCAGAAATAAATTGAGAATAGAAAAACAAAACTAAGAGCTGTTTTTTGGAAAAGATAAACAAAACTGACAAACCCTTAGCTAGACTAAGAAAAAAAGACTCAAGAAGAAAGAGCATTATTACAATGGATACCCCAGAAATAAAAAGAGTCATAAGATACTATTATGCCAACAAACTGGATAAACTAGAAGAAATGGAAAAATTTCTAGAAACATACAACTTACCAAAACTGATTCAAGAAGAAATAGAAATTTTGAAAAGACCAATAACAAATAAGGAGATTGAACCAGTAGTAAAAAATCTCCCTAGAAAAAAAGGTGCAGAATCAGATAGCTTCACCGATGAATTCTACCAAACATTCAAAGCAGAATTAATACAAATCCTTCTTAAACTCTTCCAAAAAATAGAAGGAACACTTTCAGACTCATTCTATGAGGCCAGCATCACCCTGATACCAAAACCAAACAAAGACATTATAAGAAAAGCAAATTACAGGCCAATATCTCTGATGAACATAGATGTAAAAATCCTCAAGCACATACTAGCAAACTGAATTCAACAGCACATTAAAAGGATCATACACCATGACCAAGTAGGATTTATCTCTGAGATGCAAGGATGGTTCAACATATACAAATCAATGTGATACAACATGCTAATAAAATCAAAGAAAAATATGATCATCTAAATAGACAGAAAAATGCCTTTGACAAAGGCAGAAAAAACCTTTGACAAAGTTCAACATCCACTTATGATTAATACTCTCAACAAAATAGATATGGAAGTAAGTATCCTCAACACAATAAAGGTGATATATCTAAAGCCTGCAGCTAACATTATCATCAATGGGGTAAAACAAAGCTTTCCTTCTAGAATCCAGTACAAGGTACAGATACCCACTCTCACCACTTATTTTTTGATGTAATACTGGAAACCTTAGCCAGAGCAGGAAGACATAAATAAATAAATAAAAAATAAAAGCATCCATATAAGAAAGGAAGAAGTAAAATTATCTCTATTTGCAGGTGACATAATCTTTTTTTTTTTTCATTTTAACTATGTTTATTGTGCACTTAGTAGGCCAGATACTCTTCTGATATTGAGAATACAGTGGTGAATAACACAAACTCCATGCTTTCAAGATTCCCACACCCAGATACTAAGACATATTAAAATTTACAGCAATTAAAACAGTGTAGTTTGGTACAATAACACATATAGCAATGATACAAATTAGGGGAAAAAACCCTGGCTTCTATAACAAGTGAGTATACATTAAAGACATTATTGCAGAATGGCTTCAGGATTAATTTGATTAATTTAGAGAGAGCCTATTTCAGGTCTTCCTAGCTCATCCACACACATCACCTTTCAGTGTTCTTTGTAGGTACTTAAAACTTAAAAAAAGGCCCAGGCGCGGTGGCTCCTGCCTGTAGTCCCAGCACTTTGGGAGGCCGAGGCAGGTGGATCATGAGGTCAGGAGATTGAGACCATCCTGGCTAACAAAGTGAAACCCCGTCTCTACTAAAAATACAAAAAAATTAGCCGGGCGTGGTGGCGAGCGACTGTAGTCCCAGATACTCGGGAGGCCGAGGCAGGAGAATGGTGTGAACCCAGGAGGCGGAGCTTGCAGTGAGCCGAGATCGCGCCACTGCACTCCAGCCTGGGCGACAGAGCGAGACTCTGTCCCAAAAAAAACAAAACAAAACAAACTTAAAAAAGATAATGTGGCACAAAATTTGTAAGATACTTTGAAATTCATAATTTCAGATGGATGTGGCTGGTAAGGATCTTAACAAGCCCCCAGTTTGGGCTGACTTTTACTAATGAGGAAAATTATTAGGATTAAGCAGGGTCTTGAGGAATCACCTGTAAAGGCTCAGACTTTAAAGTGCTTCCCCTCCCTTCCCTACCCCAACATTTGGAGAAATCTCTCACTAGATGGCCTTTCAAACAAATGAGAAACACATGGTTCTAGGACAATTGATTATTTGAGAAAAAAGTGTACTCAAATAAATTCCAGATAGAATAAAGGTTAATGTGAATAAACAAAAACAAAGAGAATATGGGTAATTCTTTTTTTAAAATTTATTTCTATTTTTTATTTTTTTTGAGACAGTTCTTACTCTGTTGCCCAGGCTGGAGTGCAGCGGCGCAATCATAGCTCACTGCAGCCTTGAACTCCTGGGCCCAAGCCATCCTCCTGCTCAGCCTCCCGAGCAGCTGGGACCACAGGTGTGTGTCGCTACACCTGGCTATTTTTTATTTTTTGTAGAGATAGGGGTATTGCTTTGTCGCCCAGGCTGGGCTCAGATTCCTGGCTTCAAGCAATTCTCCCACCTTGGCTTCCCAAAGTGTTGGGATCACAAGCATGAGCCATTGTGTCTGGCCTGGGTGATTCTTTATCTGACATAGAGGTTGGGAAACAGAACAACAACAAAAAAATTGATAAATTACATAACTTACAAATTAGTAAGAAAGATATGACCATACTAATGGAAAAAAGTTAATTCAAAAACTTTTGACCCTAAACTAACTTTTTGGATATTAGGCTTCCTGAAGTTCAAGAGTGACATATTAGGCTTATTTGTAATGTTTGAATTATACAGGAAACATTGTCAAGTGTGAAGTGGTGTTTAGCTTCCTTTGGGTTATACTGATAGAGATTTGTTGTTAATATGTGTTCCAGGATTGTATGAGAGTTCTAAAATTCTGATATGTCTTAATATATGTTGTAATGATTATGTTAAATTGTTGTAAGCCACAGAAATAGCCACATTTGTCAACTGTGTCTTTATGGCTGTCTTAAGACTTTTGTCATCCATAATTGATGTTTTGCTGTGATCCTTCTCAAAAAAAAAAAGTGACTTATAATCAGCTACAGTCCAAGGCTTACTTCTTTGGAGTTCATGAAAAGAACTCTTGAATGCAGGTTTCTGGTAACTTTGGAGAGTGTGCCATTGGATTAGACAGAAAACTTCCAAGGCACTAATTGAAAGGCTGATGTGTTCATAAAGATGAATATGAAGTAGAGCAGGAGTTGATTACATGGACTGAAATGAACTAATGGAAGACTGAAATAATTTGTATGGCTTTTGTTGTTTGAAATATTGCTACTTCTTTTTGTTTTTTCAGAGTCTGAATAATCTTTTTATTTTGAGCTATTTATAGCCTTGAAATACACTTTAAGTGTATTGAGTATTCTAATTTCTCCAGAATTTGTAAACTATTTATGAATATTCTTAATTCATGGCATTTGTCTGTATAAAGTTAATAACCACGTTTTCTTTTGTAATAGGGCACAATTGAAACCGGTTACTTTCTCAGGACTTTGACTGAAATGGCCTTGTGAAATGTTCTAGCAAAGCCAATCTAGGAGAGTCTATATGGACAATGATTCTTGTTGCACTTTGTGTGGGTAATCAGGCCCAGTATACGGGACTGAAGTTTATTTTGAAGTTAGGTCGGTTCTGCTGTGATTTGTCTTTGGTGGAAGTGGTAGACTGGAGACAGAAATATTGTATGTCCCTAAATTAATATAGCTCCCAACAACCAATCCCTCATTATACCTTTAACTGCAACCACCAGACACAACGGCTAGGAATAACAGCAGGGGTAGGAATGGGAGTTAGCGGGATTGCAACTTCCCTATCCTATTACCAACGCTTGTCCAAGGATTTTATGGAAAGCCTGGATAACATTGCTCAAAGTATTGTCACCTTACAAATTCAGATAGGCTCCTTGGCAGTGGTCGCTTTGCAAAATTGAAGGGGACTAGATCTCCTAACTGCTGAAACAGGTGGCTTATGTATTTTCCTAGAAGAAGAATGCTGTTTTGATGTCAGCCAATCAGGATTAGTAAGGGACACCACCTGAAAACTAGCTGACTGGGCCTCTAAAATATGACAACAGCTGGGGCACCTAAAGGGCACTAAGTTGGGTTTCATGGCTCCCTCCCTTGGCCAGCCCATTATTAATGATTATATTTGCCTTGGTTTTTGGACCATATTTGTTAAATCTTTTAACCAAATCCATTTCCTTTTGCCTAGAGACCACCAAGTTAGATGATCATGTGACAAGATTTCTAGCCAGTTTCAGGTAAAGACACCACCGGCCATCAAGAAGCTACCCTGTCTCCCCTAGACAAAGCAGGGTGAGAGTTACGTGATCTCCAGTAGGTAGGGACTGTGTCCCAAGTTAGCATGAAGCAGTTACAGAAGAAAGACCCTCAGTCTCTCAGCCTCCCGTAAAGATTTACGAGGATCACGTCTCTCAGGGGGAAAATGAGGCAGGAGAATAGGGTCTGGAGACAGGGAACCTAAGGCTGATTCACATTGACTTCCTAGAACTGAATCAAAAGGAAAACCCCACCTCTCCATACCTAAGTAACAAAAGGATCAGAGGCTACTCCCTTTGCAATCCCCTTGCCTTTTCTGCATTGCAGATGAAACATGAAAGTGCCTCTGATTGGTCCCCTCCTGCAACCAATCAGACTGGTCATAAGCCAAGTCCTCATTTACACAGGAGTATAACTTTGTAACTTCACTTCAGCCTCTGATTGGTCACTTTCTGCACCAATCAGACAGGTCACGGGCCACTACTTCATTTACACAGGGTGTACGCCAAGTAACCAATGGCAAACCTCTAGAGGATATTCATTGCTTTGTGCGTTTTGTTCAATTATTTGTCCAAAATGCCAAGAACCTGGACACCCTCCACCAGTAACAGTTTGACCAGTTATTTATTGTATTACTTAGGACTGCATTTGGCTGCATATAAGAGAAACCTGACCGAGGCCTAATTAAGCACAGTGTTTATTCTTCTCACTACCAAGAAGTCAGAGGTCAGCAATCCAAGCTGGTGTAGCAGCTCCTCCAGGCATGTCAGCAAGGAGCCAAGCTCTGAGTCTTTTTACTAACATGACCCAAAGCACATGGCTGCCTTCCTTATGCCTAAAAGTGGCTCTGGTACTCAGGTTTTATCTCTGCACTCCAAGTAGGATGAAAAGATAAGAGCAAAGGCTCATGCTTGCCAAGTCTGTCCTTTTGTAACAAAAAAACCCAGCAGCTTTATCAAGCAGAATTCCACCTGTATTTCTTAACTTGCCAGAGCTGAGTCTCATGGCCACCCTTAGCAGGAGTTGGGGAGGTATTTTTAACAAAGCACATTATCATCTCCCCCACCCAAAGTGGAGCTATTGCTAATGAAAAAGATACAATGAGATGTTTATGAAATTATCTGTAGCTATTAATGTCAGGTTTTTGAAATTTACTGACCTGGAAGAATACTCATAATGCAATGTCAAGTGAGAAGCAGGACAAAGAACATTTGCAATACAGTTGTATTTATAAAATTTTGTTTACACACACAAAAAATGTATTTTGCTTAGAAATATAATTTACATATATATACAACCACACAAGGGAAATAACAAAATGTTAATACTAGCTAATTTCTATAGAGTTGGCATTTTAAGTCAGAGGGGTATTGATGAATAGATGTAGTTTATTAAATTTTTTTCTCTATTTCCTAAACTTTCTATAAAGAACTTGTAGTATCTTTATAATAGGAAAAAAATGTGATTTTAATGAACACTCCATATACTTTCAAAGTAGACTGAATTCAAAATATTTACACTTACTCATTTTCGTCTTCGTTGTCAAAAGAAAGGAGGCTACTATTTTTAATTTGTTTTTGTGAGTTCTTTTTGACCGAGTCCTGATTTACTTCATCTTCATTTGGCTTCTTCTTTTTTGAGCTTGCTGTTAAACCTGAATATTTTTCATCTGAGGGATGCTTGACTGGTTTTCGATATATGACTCTTCCATCGGCTGGAGTTGGTTCTTCATCTGCTTTGGCAGCCTTTATTTCTGCTTTAATTTTCGTGACTTCTTCAACTGACAGGTCTCCCTTTTTTAAAACCACCACTTGAGGCTGTTCATCTTCTTTGTCACTGTGATCCCCATCTTCATCTGGGGGCTGAGGCTGAATTCTCTTAGTCTCTACGGTGGGTCCCTCCCTGTAGCCGACCCGTTCCTTGAAGCGGGCCAGAAACGCCGGCTCGGCTGGCCGCACGTACGATACCTCGACATAATCTTATATGTAGAAAACTTTAAAGACTTAACAAACTGTTACAACCAATAAATGAATACAAAATCAACATACACATGAAGCATCCAAAAATGAAATCAAGAAAACAATAACAGAAAAAAAGTCTGCAAGGAGATGGCCGAATAGGAACAGCTGCAGTTTGCAGCTCCCAGCGAGACCGATGCAGAAGGCAGGTGATTTCTGCATTTCCAACTGAGGTACCCAGTTCATCTCACTGGTTAGGCAGTGGGTCCAACCCATGGAGGGCACACAGAAACAGGGTGGGGTGTCGCTTCACCCGGGAAGTGCAAGGAGCCAGGGGAACCTCCCTGCCCCAGCCAAGGGAAGCCATGAGGGACTGTGCTACCTGGCCGGTTACTATGCTTTTCCCACGGTTTTTGCAATCTGCAGATCAGGAGATTTCCTTGTGTGCCTACACCACCAGGGCCCTGGGTTTCAAGCAGAAAACTGGGCAGCTGTTTGGGCAGACACTGAGCTAGCTGCAGGAGTTTTTATACCCCAGTGGTGCCTGGAACCCCAGCGAGACAGAACTGTTCACTCCTCTAGCAAGAGGGGGCTGAAGCCAGGGAGCCAAGTGGTTTCACTCAGTGGGTCCCACTCCCACGGAGCCCAGCAAGCTAAAAACCACTGGCTTGAAATTCTCACTGTCAGCACAGCAGTCTGAAGTTGACCTGGGGCGATCGAGCTTGAGGGAGGGGCATCTGCGATTACTGAGGCATTAGTAGCTGGTTTTCCCCTGACAGTGCTAAAGAGGGTGGGAGGTCTGGCCTAGTGGGATTCACCACAGCACAGCAAAGTCACTATGGCCAGACTGCTTCTTTAGATCCCTCCTCACTAGGCAGGACACCTCTGAAGGAAACGCGGCAGCCCCAGTCAGGGGCTTACAGATATAACTCCCATCTCCCTGGGAAAGAGCAGCTCGGGGAAGGGGCGGCTGTGGGAGCAGCTTCAGAGGCTCTGAAGAGAACAGCTGGTCCTGACAAGGGATTCTCCCAGTACAGCACACCAGCTCTGCTAAGGGACAGACTGCCTCCTCACATGGGTCCCTGACTCCTATGCCTCCTGACTGGGCGAGACCTCCCAACAGGGGTCAACAGGCATCTCATACAGAGAGCTCTGGCTGGCATCAGGCTGGTGCCCCTCTGGGAGGAAGCTTCCAGAGGAAGGAGCAGGCAGCAATCTTTGCTGTTCTGCAGCCTCCACTGGTGATACCCAGGCAAACAGGGGCTGGAGTGGACCTCCAGCAAGCTACAGCAGACCTGCAGAAGAGGGGCCTGTTAGAAGAAAAACTAACAAACAGAAAGCAACAAGCAACAACATCAACATCAACATAAAGGACCCCCACACAAAAACCCCATCTAAAGGTCATCAGCCTCAAAGATGCAAGGTAGATAAATCCACGATGATGAGGAAAAACCAGCGTGAAAACACTGAAAATTCCAAAAAACTAGAATCCTTTTCTCCTCCAAATGATTGCAACTCCTCTCCAGCAAGGACACAAAACTGGACAGAGAATGAGATTGACAAATTCACAGAAGTAAGCTTCAGAAGCTGGGTAATAACAAACTCCTCTGAGCTAAAGGAGCATGTTGTAATGCAATGCAAGGAAGCTAAGAACCTTGATAAAAGGTTACAGGAACTGCTAACTGGAATAACCAGTTTAGAGAGGAACATAAATGACCTGATGGAGCTGAAAAACACAGCACGAGAACTTCGTGAAGCATACACAAGTATCAATGGCTGAATTGATCAAGAGGAAGAAAAGATATCAGAGATTGAAGATCAACTTACTGAAATAAGGCATGAAGACAAGATTAGAGAAAAAAGAATAAAAAGGAACAAACAAAGCCTCCAAGAAACACAGGACTATGTGAAAAGACCAAACCTACGATTGATTGATGTACCTGAAAGTGACGAGGAGAATGGAACCAAGTTGGAAAACACACTTCAGGATATTATCCAGGAGAACTTCCCCAATGTAGCAAGACAGGCCCACATTCAAATTCAGGAAATACAGAGAATACCACTAAGATACTCCTTGAGAAGAGCAACCCCAAGACACAATAATCATCAGATTCTCAAAGATTGAAATGAAGGAAAAAATGTTAAGGGCAGCCAGAGAGAAACGTCAGGTTACCTACAAAGGGAAGCCCATCAGACTAACAGCAGATCTCTCTGCAGAAACCCTACAAGCCAGAAGACAGTGGGGGCCAATATTCAACATTCTTAAAGAAGAGAATTTTCAACCCAGTATTTCATATCCAGCCAAACTAAGCTTCATAAGTGAAGAAGACATAAAATTCTTTATAGACAAGCAAATGCTGAGGGATTTTGTCACCACCAAGCCTGCCTTACAAGAGCTCCTGAAGAAAACAATAAATATGGAAAGGAAAAACCAGTACCAGCCACTGCAAAAACACACCAAAATATAAAGGTCAGTGACACTATGAAGAAATTGCATCAACTAATATGCAGAATAACCAGCTACCATCATGATGACAGGATCAAATTCACACATAACAATATTAACCTTAAATGTAAATGGGCTACATGCCCCAATTCAAAGACACAGACTGGCAAATTGGATAAAGAGTCAAGACCCGTCAATGTGCTGTATTCAGGAGACCCATCTCACATGCAAAGACACACATAGGCTCAAAATAAAGGGATGGAGGGATATTTAGAAAGCAAATGGAAAGCAAAAAAAAGCAAGGGTTGCGATCCTAGTCTCTGATAAAACAGACTTTAAACCAACAAAGTTCAAAAAAGACAAAGAAGGGCATTACATAATGGTAAAGGAATTAATGCAACAAAAAGAGCTAACTATCCTAAATATATATGCACCCAATACAGGAGCACCCAGATTCATAAAACAAGTTCTTAGAGACCTACAAAGAGACTTAGACTCCAGCACAATAATAGTGGGGGACTTTAACACCCCACTGTCAATATTAGATCAATGAGACAGATAATTAACAAGGATATTCAGGACTTGAACTCAGCTCTGGACCAAGTGGACCTAGCAGACATCTACAGAACTCTCCACCCCAAATCAGCAGAATATACATTCTTCTCAGCACCACATCACACTTATTCTAAAATTGACCACATAACTGGAAGTAAAACACTCCTCAGCAAATGCAAAAAACAGAAATCCAACAAACAGTTTCTCAGACCACAGCGCAATTAAATTAGAACTCAGGATTCAGAAACTCACTCAAAACCATAAAACTATATGGAAATTGAGCAACCTGCTTCTGAATGACTACTGGGTAAATAATGAAATTAAGGCAGAAATAAAGAAGTGCTTTGAAACCAGTGAGAACAAAGAGACAACGTACCAGAATCTCTGGGACACAGCTAAAGCAGTGTTAAGAGGGAAATTTATAGCACTAAGTGCCCACATCAGAAAGCTGGAAAGATCTAAAATTGAGACCCTAACATCACAATTAAAAGAACTAGAGAAGCAAGAGCAAACAAATTCAAAAACTAGCAGAAGACAAGAAATAACTAAGATCAGAGCAGAACTGAAAGAGATAGAGACACGAAAAACTCTTCAAAAAAATCAATGAATCCAGGAGCTGGTTTTTTGAAAAGATTAACAAAATAGATAGACCACTAGCCATACTAATAAGAAAAGAGAGAAGAATCAAATAGACATGATAAAAAAATGACAAAGAGGATATCACCACTGATCCCACAGAAATACAAACTACCATCAGAGAAGACTATAAACACCTCTATGCAAATAAACTAGAAAATCTAGAAGAAATGGATAAATTCCTGGACACATACATCCTCCCAAGACTAAACCAGGAAGAAGTGTAATCCCTGAATGGACCAATAACAAGTTCTGAAATTGAGGCAGTAATTAATACCCTACCAACCAAAAAAATCCCAGGACCAGATGGATTCACAGCCGAATTCACCAGAGGTACAAAGAGGAGCTGGTACTATTCCTTCTGAAACTATTCCAAACAATAGAAAAAGAGGGACTCCTCTCTAATTCATTTTATGAGACCATCATCATCCTAATACCAAAACCTGGCAGAGACAACAACAAAAAAAGAAAATTTCAGGCCAATATCCCTGATGAACATTGACGCGAAAATCCTCAATAAAATACTGGCAAACTGAATCCAGCAGCACATCAAAAAGCTTATCAACCACTATCAAGTCAGCTTCATCTCTGGGATGCGAGGCTGGTTCAACATGTGCAAATCAATTAACGTAATCTATCACATAAACAGAACCAATGACAAAAACCACATGATTATCTCAATAGATGCAGAAAAGACCTTTGATAAAATTCAACATCTCTTCATGCTAAAAAGTCTCAACAAACTAGATGTTGATGGAACTTATCTCAAAATAATGAGCTATTTATGACAAACCCATAGCCAATATCATACTGAATGGGCAAAAGCTGCAAGCATTGTCTTTGAAAACCAGCACAGGACAAGGATGCCGTCTCTCACCACTCCTATTCAACATAGTATTGCAAGTTCTGGCCAGGGCAATCAGGCAAGAGAAAGAAAGAAAGAAAGAATATTCAAATAGGAAGAGAAGAAGTCAAATTGTCTCTGTTTGCATATGACAGGACTGTATATTTAGGAAACCCCATCATCTCAGCCTGAAAACTCCTTAAGCTGATAAGCAACTTCATTCAGGATACAAAGTCTCAGGATACAAAATCAATGTGCAAAAATCACAAGCATTCCTTTACACCAATAACAGACAAGCAGAGAGCCAAATCATGAATGAACTCCCATTCACAATTGCTGCAAAGAGAATAAAATACTTAGGAATACAACTTACACAACATGAAAGACATCCTCAAGGAGAACTACAGATTACTGCTCAAGGAAATAAGAGAGGATACAAACAAATGGAAAAACATTCCATGCCCTTGGATTGGAAGAATCTGTCTTGTGAAAATGGCCATACTGCCCAAAGTAATTTATAGATTCAGTGCCATTCCCATCAAGCTATCATTGACTTTCTTTGCAAAATTAGTAAAAACTACTTTAAATTTCATATGGAACCAAAAAAGAGCTCATAGAGCCAAGACAATCCTAAGCAAAAAGAACAAAGCTGGAGGCATCATGCTACCTGACTTCAAACTATACTACAAGGCTACAGTAACCAAAACAGCATGGTACTGGTACTAAAACAGAGATATAGACAAATGGAGCAGAAGCAGACCTCAGAAATAACACCACACATCTACAACCATCTGATCTTTGACAAACCTGAGAAAAACAAGCAATGGGGAAAGGATTCCCTATTAATAAATGGTGTTAGGAAAACTGGCTAGCCATATGCAGAAAACAGAAACTGTTTCCTCTTGCTGCCTTTCCCAAAATATTCTCATGGCTCATTCTCTCACTTTTTCTGTGTCTCTGTTCAGATGTGACCTTCTTAAGGAAGCCTACTCTGACCAACCTATTTAAAATCACAGTCATTCTCCTCTGCATTCCTGATCCCCTTTAACCTGCTTTATTCCATTCTTTTTCCATAGCACTTATTACCTAACATAGGATATAAATTATTATACTTAATTTTTATTATCTGTCTTCCTCCAATAGAATGTAGGCTATCGGGGAAAGGAATTTTACTATCTTATGTATCTGAAGCAATGTAACAGTGCCTGGTTCTAGAAGATGCTTAATGCTTGATGGGTGAAAGAACAGGCTTTCCAGGTTAGGAAACTAAATAGAATATTAAACCCTATTGCCTGGGACCACAACAAATGTCCTCACAGTTTACTGTCTGGTTAGAATCTTGTATTCAAAACTGACCAATCTTCACCCAAGCTAAATCAAAAGCATACTTTTGTTAGGGCCTTTTGTCAGGGCCAAGATCAAAGAGAATCATGTTTGGTTTGTGCCTTCAAGGACTCGGAGTCTAGTGGCTGGAGGCACGCAAATACATGCCATAGATTATCTTTTTCTGTCACCCCCCTTTTTTGTATGGTAGAGGTAAGGCAAGGGATGGATGCTCGTGAATGATGACAGGGACAGTTAGATTTATCTTGCTTCATTTAGTACAAGAAGAGATTTTTGATGTCATGTGGCAGCCTATTTCGGGTGTCATACTTAGAATTAAAATCTTCCTTCCCCCACGTTGTATCTAACCAAATAGAGTAGATGTCAGATAAAAAAAGATGTCGTTATCTGGAATATAATTATTAACCTATTTAAAAATGCAGAGAGATTTCTATTGATAAAAAATTATGGTCATTGTGCAAGCTTCTGACTAGACCTAATTGTCTCCAGGTCAATTTACAAAACTTGTAATAAAAAGCGCTCCTGGCAGCATTGTTCAAAAAGGAGCCTCTAAACAGGATTTAACTAAGGCTGGTGAATGCAGTGAAAGATGAAAATGAATTAGGTGTTATCTTATTTCTAATCTTAGGTAACAAAATGGTTATTTGTATTCCTATTCAGTAATAGCCAGGATTTTAATTCTGAAATTTCTTTTCATGATCTGTCAAAAGATAATATTTTAAAAAATCGATCCATGTCTGAGAAGCTTTGCATTTTGTTTAATTGAATTATATTTTCCTTTAGTTGAATTTAAAAATAGTTCTTGCTATTCTTTGATGTGACAGAAATCTTGAGTGATATCTCAAGGAAAAAGTAGCATTTTAGGTGCATGCCTATTTTTCTGTTCATTTGATTTCTTATTGTTTGTTGAGTGCCTATCATGTACTTGCCTGGATTATAAAGATGAGTATCTCTCCATTTATGGAGATCGTAGTTCTCAGATCTCTCCTGAACAGGGCAGACAGAAGGAATTGCCTACCTTGTATTAATTGTGGTAACTTTGAGGGAAATAGTTTTTATACCTCTTTCGGCTGAAAATTATTATTATTATTGTTGCGGTAAGAACACTTAACATGAGATGTACCCTCTTAACAAATTTTTAACTGTACAATACGGTATTAACTATGGGCATAATGTTGTACAGCAGATCTCTAGAACTTACTCATCTTGTGTAACTGAAATTCTGTACCCATTGAACAGCAACTACCCATTTCCTCCTCCTTTCAAGTTCTGGGAACAACCATTTTTTCTGTTTCTATGAGTTCGACTATTTTAGATACCTCACATAAGTGGAATCATCCAGTATTTCTTTCTGCAAGTAAGACTACAGACAAAAAAGCTTCTGCACAGCAAAGGAAACAATCAACAGAATGAATTGGTTGAAGATTTTTGGCTGGAAAGGAAAAAAAGCCTTGTATGTAATTGAGGGAAAGAATAAACATTGTCAACCTGCATAATTTGTGGTAGTGAGGAATTGTATTTACAATTTTCCGTGATTTTTTTGCTGAAAGAAAAATAAGTTTTTAAAAAATTGTCAGAATTCAAGGTTTGAGAAAAACATCTATATTTTTACCTCTAAGTGACAATTATTATTTGCTTTAAACTATCAATTTCTCCATTTTTATTCATTTTTTTTTTTTTTTTTTTTTTTTGAGACAGAGTCTCACTTGTTGCCCATGCTGGAGTGCAGTGGCACAGTCTCTGCTCACTGAAACCTCTGCCTCCCGAGTTCAAGTGATTCTTCTGCCTCAGCCTCCCGAGTAGCTAGGACTAGAGGTGCGTGCCACTGCTCTGGGCTAATTTTTCTGCTTTTTAATAGAGACAGGGTTTCACCATGATGGCTAGGCTGGTCTTGAACTCCTGCTCCTGTCCTCAAGTGATCCAACTGCCTCGGCCTCCCAAAGTGCTGGGATTACAGGCGTGAGCCACCATGCCCGGACTGTATTTTTATTCATTTCTATTTTCCTCCAAAAGATAGGCTACCTTTTTTCTTAATGGTTATTTTCATTGATGTTCCTTCCCTTTTTTCTTCAAGATGATAATTTCTCAAAACATTTTCTTCACCTCTATTTTCTTATGATTTTGTGACATTTCTACGTTTATTGTCTATATTCTCACTTTTAAAAAGCTGTAGAAGCTCATGTCAACCTTTCCTTGAGTAAATCAAGTGATTCTCAAATTACTCCCCTACACCCCTGCTTTTTTTCCTCCCATCTTTTGTTCTTTGGCTCCTCTCTCCAAAGACATCATCCTATTTTCACTTTCCTTTCTTCCTTCCGATATGTAGTTAACCTACCTCTTGCTGAAATATTTTTGGTCCCATTGATTTTCTATATTTGGAAAATCTTTCAATAGATTTCAAAGACTTGTCTAGTCTATTATATTCCTAAGAAAGATATTCTTTACTGAAACTTTATTTTTTCATCTTTCTGGATGTCTCCATTAATTCTGTCTTATTCTCTTTTTACGTTTTTGTCTTCTTCATGGAGTATACAAAACTTTCCTCTTTCTGAATTATCTTTGATTTATCAAAAGAGTGATTCTAACACAAAATGCCAGAGATTTCTCCTCTTATTCTAGGAAGATGACCCTAACATAACTTCTTCTCTGGGCCTCTGGTAGGTCCCCTTTCTTAAATTCCATTTTCTAGTTTTCCTTAAAGAGTACATAAACAGGCAGGGTGTAGTGGCTTATGCCTGTAATTCCAGCACTTTGGGAGGCTGAGGCAGGTGGATCACCTGAGGTCAGGAGTTTGAGACCAGCCTGGCCAACATGTTGAAACCCAATCTCTACTAAAAATACAAAAATTAGCCAGGCGTGGTGGCACATGCTCTTAATCCCAGCTACTCAGGAGGCTGAGGTAGGAGAATCACTTGAACCTGGGAGGTGGAGGTGCAGTGGGTCAAGATGGCGCCATCACACTCCAGTCTGGGTGACCAGAGTGAAACTCTGTCTCAAAAAACAAACAAACAAACAAACAAAAAACAGAGAGAGAGAGTACATAAGCAGTCACTTGTGAAGACTGATTTTTCAAAGTTTGCCTCCTCTTTTGGTGAGACCGGATGGCTTACTCCATATTCTCATGTTAGAGAGGCTCACCTAGTTAAGCACTACATCAAGAATGTCAAAATCTGGTGGTCTTGGGATGTTTGAGTTTGTTCTGTCAATTTATCTGAATTAGACAATTTATGTTATAGTGAATCTCTTAGATTTCTCTAAATATTGATTTAAAATTTTCTCCAAGTCCTTTTCCAACTTTTTAGCATACCAAGACATTACAGTGACACTTTTGGAATTCTCTTCTCTAGTCAACTTGAGAGTTTTGATGGTATCTCCTTTCTGTTAATCCAGTTTCAGACTCCTCAGCTGTAACTTCAATAAGAAATGTTTCAAAACACAAATGTTACCTACTACACCTATCCACCTACCCACCAATTCCTTCCGTCCCTTGTTTCTGTCAGTTAAATTTAGGAGTTTTCTGCTCATTCTGACACTATTTGATTGAAAAATCAGTTCTTGGGAGTAAAAGTTTTTATTCATTGTAATTCTTTGGTGTCAAGTTATGACCAAAAGACATACCTACCCTATTTTCTCATGCTCTTCACCTTTTTTTCCTTACAGGATAGATTCTTAAATAAGTTCTTGCTCCTGAAAACCATCTTGACTGTCCCTCACACACAAAAAATTTCACCTTATTTTTTTGAAGTGTGAAACAATTTGTTCTCAATTCAAAAGTGTCTTCTCTCCTCACCTTCAGTAATAAACGCTCAAGAAAAATGATTTCTCTGCACACTAAAGAGTCATCATTGGAAATGCAAATCATAACCACAATGAGATACCACTTCACATCCACTGGGGTGGCTAGAATAAAAAAGACAGATAATAACAAGGGTTGGTGAGGATGTAGAGAAATTGGATCTCTTTGCACTGCTGGTGGGAATGTAAATTGGTGCAAACATTTGGAAAAACAGTCTGGTAGTTTCTCAAAAGTGTAAACATAGAATTACTATATGACCTAGAGATTCCACACCCAGGTATATAAACAAGAGAAGTAAAAACATATATCTACCCAGAAACTTACACACAGATGTTTATAGCAGCACTATTTATAATAGCCAAAAGGTAGAAACAACCTAAATGCCTATCAACTGATGAATAGGTAAATAAAATGTCATGTATCTATACAATGGAATATTATTCTGTCCTAAAAAGGAATGATGTACTGATAATACAACATAGATGGACCTTGAAAATATGTTAGGGGAAGGAAGCCAGATGCCACAAAAAACCACATATTGTATGATTCTATTTGTGTGAAGTGTTCAGGATAGGTAAATCCAGAATACAGAGAGTGGATTAGTGGTTGCCTAGCACTGGGGTGGCAATGAAGGAGTGATGATAATGACCACTAATGGGTATTGGGCTTCTTTTAGGCATAATTGCATTTCTTACATTTATTTTAATCTATGGTCCCACCCACCTCCATGTCTTTTTTTCCCTTTGCAAATTTTTTGTTGTTGAAGTAATCAGGCCTGAAGAGTTCCCATGGTCTGTATTTTCTGACTGCATCTCCATGGTGTTGCTGGCATGTACCCCTCTGTGCCCTGTTTTTCCTATAAATTGGTAGTTAAGGCTGGGTGTGATGACTCGCACCTGTAATCCTGGCACTTTGGGAAGCCAAGGCAGGCGGATCACTTGGAGTCAGGAGTTTGAGACCAGTTTGACCAACAGGGTGAAACCTTGTCTCTACTAAAAATACAAAAGTTAGCCAGGCATGGTGGTGCATGCCTGTAATCCCAGCTACTCGGGAGGCTGTGGCACGAGAATCTCTTGAACCCAAGAGGTGGAGGTTGCAGTGAGCTGAGAATGTGCCACTGCACTCCAGCCTGTGTGACAGGGTGAGACTGTCTCAAAAAGAAAAAATTGTTAGTTAAATTTAGTGGTTGATCAGATTCAGATACTTCATAGATTATTGTATTGGGTACTCTACCAGGAGGTATATAACATTTGATATTGAGCCTTTTAAGAGGATGTTAGCAACTGCTGATGATTATTTTCTACTTTCATAAGGCATATTCCGCATATTCTAAAGGGGGATATTCTGTTTTTACTTCTTCCTTTATTAGTTGGAATACTTACAGCTAAAGAAAAACTTCCCTTCAACTACTACTACTAGCATTCTCTGAGCTACAATTCACAAAGGAAAGGCAGGAGAGATGCTTGATTCTTTCCCTCTATTGACCAGCTTTAAAAATGTGAAGTGGTTCCCCAGCATGCATCAGTAATCACCAGAGCTTTTGAAAGTATCCTTATGAACTTACAGATTTAAACATATGTATTTTGTTCTAATCCATTGCTGGTATAATCCTTATTGGTGCCTAAACTTCCCATATTTTGCCAGTGGGAACATTCAAGTTGGCTCCTGGGTCCTTTAACTGCAACTCCAGTAGTGTTTGATGACTTGCTTATTTTCTGGTGTAACAAGTTGTTCCAGGCTCATCTTTTACATTTCCTGCTCTAGACCTGAATCTGCCATTTCTCCAGGGAGTCCTGAAGTATTTCAGAGACCATTACCTGGGTACAGTGGTTACCTGTGGCCTCTATCTAGTTTGGTCGTTATTTCTAGGTCTTTTCAGTGGGCAGATAGCGGAAAAATTTTTTTAAGATAAAATGCATTGATGCTTCTAATAAAAAAATAGGGTTTTTGCTTAATTTTGTTGATCCATATTTCCTTTCTTCTATATTGTAATCTGTTCTTAACACCAATGTAAGTACGTATTTTCCTTATCCCATGCTAAACACACAGGTGTCTGAGAGTAGTGTTACAAATGCTACTCCCAATAATATGATTGGTTTAAAACTTTTAAAATTGTTTGCAGTTATTTTTATAATTTGAGTGTGTCACCAAAAAAATGACCAGATGCATTACTGTGTTTTAAAGTTACTTGAAATGCTTTGTTTCTGATGGTAGTGCCACCAACTGTACATATGTTTAGGTTCTTTTTTTTACTTTTTATTATTAAGGATTGCTTTTTTATACTTCTTCAATTAAGATATAATTTACATGCCATGAAACTAATCCTTTTTAATGTATAGTTCTATAAGTTTTGACAAATGCATAAATATAACTTCCACCAAAAATCAAAATATAGAACAGTTTATCACTCCCTAAAATTGCCTTGAGCCTCTTTGTAATCACTCCTCTCCCTACCCTCAAATCTCTGGCAACCACAAATCTGTTTTCTTTCTCTGTAGTTTTGCTTTGTTCCAGAATGTCATATAAATGGGATCATACAGTATATAGTTTTAAAGTATAGACTGTTAACATGAAAGGACTGCTTTTACAAATTTATATTTTCTTATAATGATATAAAATGTTTACGTGATTCCACAGTCAAATCAACAAAACAAAGTGTATGCAAAGAAGTCTAGCTTTTATTCTTGTCTCCTCCACTTTATTCCTTTCTTCCCTCTATAGATAGCCATTTTTTTTCTTTGAGACAGGGTTTCACTCTGATGCCCAGGCTGGAGTGCAGTGGCATGATCTCAGCTCACTGCAGCCTCAATCTCCAGGGCTCAAGTGATTCTTCCACTATCCCCTGAATAGCTGGGATTAGACGCACATGCCACCACATATGGCTAATTTTTTGTATTTTTTTTTTTATAGAGACGGGTTTTTGCCATGTTCCCCAGGCTGGTCTTTAACTCCTGGGCTTAAGTGATCTGCGCACCTTGGCCTCCCAAAGTGCTGGAGTTACAGGCCTGAGCCACTACACCTGGCCCACTTTGTATTTTTTGATCTCTATATATGTATCTTACTATCTACATATCTTATATCTCCCTGTCCCTTCTTAGATAAACAGTTAACTTACTACACTCATTTTTCTTAAGTGGTATATTTTAATTTAAATTAATTTCAAGGACCAATTAAAAGGGCCTAAGGATAACAATTTATTTGACTAGCCTCTAGTTTTAAGTTGGAATTTTGTGCTTGATAAGGAGTAAATCATCTTTCCTTTCTTCTCTCCCTTTCTTACTCCCAAATGTTATGAGTCAGTGCTGGAAATGTGTCTGTTGCTGTGGACTCGGAGTGTGGTGTCTGTACTGCAGTTTTTCAGGATTGGCTAAAATTTTCTGAGTCCTTCATGTCAAAATGGGTTTTGTGCAAGCTTATGCAAGCAAAAAACAACAAACATTACTGAGTACATTTTGGTGCAAGGTATATGCAAGATGTGGGGGATAAGGCTGGGAACAAATCAGATACTTTCCCTGACTTCATTATCCTACAGTTCTGAGAAAGGAAAATAAAAGGGTCAGGAGTGTTCACCATGTTAAGAGATAAGAGAAGCTGGGGCTTCTCATTTTCTGGTGTGGTGGCCAAAGCTTACCACAAGAGTAGTCACAATAGATGGACATTTACCTTGGTGCCTTCTTTTGCCATAAAGCCTGATCTGGTGACTGAAATTTCCATTTCTGCAGAAGTCATTACTTTGAGCTGTTGTTATCTTCAGAAACACTGGTTTAAATGAATAGGAAGGGGCAGTACATTAATATATTAGATCTCATTTCATTATTGCCCAATGCCTTTAATAGATTGCTAGAAGATGGAAGGCCTCCAGAAGTATTAATAAGAAGAGTATGAGGAAAACAACAAGGAGTCAGATTATAGGTATAACAAAGCTTAGGTTGCTAATGTACACAATGACAGATAATCAAAATGATTTTGATAGGTTGGGGGATGGGCCTAGTATCAACAGGATAAAATAATGTATCGATAAAAGTAACATTTAGAATTCTTTGTTACACAGATAAACATATACACCTGGCCCAGGAACTGGAGCAGCTGAAGAAAGATCCATGGGAAAGTAGAGCAAGTTGTAGGCCCAGCTGCTGCTTCACACCAATGAAGTGCAACAGCAGAGGTAAGCAGCAACCTGTGTGAGCAAAAAATGGCTGCTGCATCATTTCTGTACACTAAATTGCCCACAGGAATCATTCTGTCTCTGATGCTCATCAGAAATACACAGGACAGGGAATTCTGGGAAATGTAGTTCAGCATAGCCAATTTGATACGTTACAAATCCCACTAAAGATGTGTACTACTGTGATTGTTTTGGTGTCAGGAAACAGACTCGAAAACTAGTTAAGGAAAAAATAATTTTCAAGATACAAGGGCAACTCAAGTAATCCAGAGCAAGAATGCATCCAGGCCTATGGAGAGCCTGGAATCCCACCAATGCTGCCTCTTGGCATAGCTTCTTCATTCTCTTTGTAAGCCTGTTTCCTCTGCCTTTTTGATCTACATAGCAAGTGCAAGATGGCCAGCCCACAGGTCCCAAGGTTATATTTATGGTAACTAGAGGAGGCATCCCAAGAGACTAAGCCAGTCTGTCTCTGTCTTTCTCTTCTTGACTATTTTAGTTCAAATATTGGTAAATGGATTCTGATTGGTCTAGCTTAGACATTGTGCTTATTCTTGTCCAGTTAGGGGATAGAGTCACATTATACAAAATGCTTCCAGGAGCAGTATCCACCATTGTGAGAGAAGCAGACCATTAATGAGAGTGCACTCAAGGAGTTTCTAGAATTGGTTTGTCAGCTAAATTTGTTCTAAAATTTGTTCCTCAGCAAGCTGTGATACCACAAGTGAAGCCTAGATAACCCTGTGGTTTTGAGTAGTGCAGTGTATTTTTGTTTTCTTACTTGTCACTCTTTTCCCTTTTGCACTACTCAGCTTCGATGCCTCAGTCCCTCCAGGACTAGGAAAGCAATCAATATGTTATCTTCTGATTCCCACTTTGAACTAGAGTTATCTGCATTTTTAGAGAGAAATAACAAAAGGCAATTATAGGGTTTGGCTCTGTGTCTCCACCCAAATATTATCTTGAATGGTAATAATCCCCACACATCAAGGGCAGGACCAGATGGAGATAAATGAATCATGGGGGGTCGTTTCCCCCATGCTATTCTCATGATAGTGAGTGAGTTCTCACAAGATCTGATGGTTTTATAAGGGGCTTCCCCCCTTCACTTGGCTCTCATTCTCTCTCCTGCCACTCAGTGAAGAGGTGCTTTCCACCATCATTGTTTAAGTTTCCTGAGGCCTCCCTAGCCATGTAGAACTGTCAATTAAACCTCTTTTCTTTAAAAATTACACAGTCTCAATTACCCAGTCTCTTTATAGCAGCATGACAATGGACTAATATAGTAAATTGGTACCATAGAGGGTGGGGTGCTGCTATAAAGATACCCGAAAATGTGGAAGCGACTTTGGAACTGGGTTACAGGCAGAGGTTTGAAGAGCTTGGAGGGCTCAGAAGAAGACAGGAAGATGCGAAAAAGTTTGGAACTTCCTAGAGAACTGTCACATGGTTTTGACCAAAATGATGAGAGTGATATGGACAATGAAGTCCAGGCCGAGGTGGTCTCAGGTGGAGATGAGGAACTTCTTGGGAACTGGAATAAAGGTGACTCTTGCTATGCCTTAGCAAAGAGATAGGCAGCATTTTGCCCCTGCCCTAGAGATCTGTGGAACTTTGAACTTGAGAGGGATAACTTAGGGTATCTGGCAGAAGAAGTTTATTGTTTTTAACTTTTTATATTATTTATTTATTTTACTTTAAGTTCCAGAATACAAGTGCAGAACGTGTAGGTTTGTTACATAGGTATACATGTGCCATGGTGGTTTGCTGCACCTGTCAACCCGTCATTTAGATTTTAAGCCCACATGCATTAGCAATTTGTCCTAATGCTCTCCCTCCCCTCGGCACCCCCTTCCCCCGACTGGCCCGGGTGTGTGTTGTTCCCCTCCCTGTGTCCATGTGTTCTCATTGTTTGACTCCCACTTATGAGTGAGAACATGCAGTGTTTGGTTTTCTGTTCCTGTGTTAATTAGTTGAGAACGATGGCTTTCACCTTCATCCATGTCCTTGCAAAGGACATGATCTCATTCCTTTTTATGGCTGCATAGTATTTCATGGTGTATATGTGCCACATTTTCTTTATCCAGTCTATCATTGATGGTCATTTGGGTTGGTTCTATGTCTTTGCTATTGTAAATAGTGCTGCAATAAACATATGTTTGCATGTGTCTTTATAGTAGAATGATTTATAATCCTTTGGGTATATACCCAGTAATGGGATTGCTGGGTCAAATGGTATTTCTAGTTCTAGATCCTTGAGGAATTGTCACACTGTCTTCCACAATGGTTGAACTAATTTACATTCCCACCAACAATGTAAAAGCGTTCCTATTTCTCCACAGCCTTGCCAGCATCTATCGTTTCTTGACTTTTTAATAATCATCATTCTAACTGGCATGAGATGGTATCCCATTGTGGTTTTGATTCGTATTTCTGTAATGATCAGTGATGTTGAGCTTTTTTTCATGTTTGTTGACTGCATGAATGTCATCTTTTGAGAAATGTCTGTTCATATCCTTTGCCCACTTTTTGATGGTTTTTTTTTCTTGTAGATTTGCTTAAGTTCCTTGTAGGTTCTGGATATTAGACCTTTGTCAGATGGGTAGATTGCAGAAATTTTCTCTCATTCTGTAGGTTGCCTGTTCACTCGGATGATAGTGTCTTTTGTTGTGTAGAAGCTCTTTAGTTTAATTAGATCTCATTTGTCCATTTTGCCTTTTGTTGCAGTTGCTTTTGACATTTTTGTAATGAAATCTTAGCCCATGCTGATGTCCTGAATGGTATTGCCTAGGTTTTCTTCTAGGGTTTTTTATGGTTTTGGGTTTTACATTTAAATCTTTAATCCATCTCGAGTTAATTTTTGTATAAGATGTAAAGAAGGGGTCCAGTTTCAACTTTCTGCATATGGCTAGCCAGTTTTCCCAGCACCATTTATTGAATAGGGAATCCTTTCCCCATTGTTTGTTTTTGTCAGGTTTGTTGAAGATCAGATGGTTGTAGATGTGTGGTGTTATTTCTGGGGTCTCTGTTCTGTTCCATTGGTCTATATGTCTGTTTTGGTACCAGTACCATGCTGTTTTGGTTACTGTAGGCTTGTAGTATAGTTTTAAGTCAGGTTGCATGATGCCTCCAGCTTTGTTCTTTTGCTTAGGATTGTTTTGGCTGTACAGGCTCTGTTTTGGTTACATATGAAATTTAAAGAAGTGTTTCTAATTCTATGAAGAATATCAGTAGTAGTTTGATGGGAATAGCATTGCATCTATAAATTACTTTGGGCCGTATGGCCATTTTCATGATATTGATTCTTCCTATCCATGAGCATGGAATGTTTTTTCATTTGTATGTGTCCTCCCTGATTTCCTTGAGTGGTGGTTTGTAGTTCTCCTCAAAGAGGTCCTTCACATCTCTTGTTAGCTGTATTCCTAGGTATTTCATTCTCTTTGTAGCAATTGTGAATGGGAGTTCATTCATGATTTGGCTCTCTGCTTGTCTATTGTTCGTCTATAGGAATGCTTGTGATTTTTACACATTGATTTTGTATCCAGAGACTACTAAAGTTGCTTATTAGCTTAAGGAGTTTGGGGGCTGAGATGATGGTGTTTTCTAAAGATAGAATCATGTCATCAGCAAACAGAGGCAATTTGACTTTCTTTCTTCCTGTTTGAATACGCTTTATTTATTTCTCTTGCCTGATTGCCCTGGCCTGAACTTGCAATAGTGTGTTGAATAGGAGTGGTGAGAGAGGGCATCCTTGTACCAGTTTTCAAAGGTAATGCTTCCAGCTTTTGCCCATTCAGTATGATGTTGGCTATGGATTTGTCATAAATAACTCTTATTATTTTGAGATATGTTTCATCAATACCTAGTTTATTGGGAGTTTTTAACATGAAAGGCTCTTGAATGTTATCAAAGGTCTTTTCTGCATCTGTTGAGATAATCATGTGATTTTGTCATTGGTTCTGTTTATGTGATGGATTAAGTTTGTTGATTTGCATATATTGAACATTCCTTGCATTCCAGGGATGAAGACTACTTGATCATGGTGGATAAGCTTTTTGATGTGCTGCTGGATTCGGTTTGCCAATAGTTTACTGAGGATTTTCACATTGATGTTCATCAGAGACATTGGCCTGATGTTTTCTTTTTTTTTGTGTCTAGGGCAGAATAAATTTCTAAGCAGCAAACCATTTAAGAGGTGACTTGAGTGCTCGTAAAAGCATTCAGTTTTGGCTGGGTGCAGTGGCTCACGCCTGTAATCCCAGCACTTTGGGAGGCCGAGGCGGGCAGATCACCTGAGGTCAGGATTTCGAGACCAGACTGGCCAACATGGTGAAACCCTGTTTCTACTAAAAAACAAAAATTAGCCAGGTTAGGTGGTGGGTGCCTGTAATCCCAGCTACTAGAATGGCTTGAACCCAGAAGCAGAGGTTGCAATGAGCCAAGGTTGTGCCATTGCCCTCCAGCCTTGGCAACAGAGTGAGACCTGGTCTCAAAAAAAAAAAAAAAAAAAAGATTCAGTTTTATGCATTCACGAAGATTGATTTGGAATTGGAACTTATGTTTAAAAGGGAAGCAGAACATAAAAGTTTGGAAAATTTGCAGCCTGACAGTGTGTTAGAAAATAAATACCCATTTTCTGAGGAGAAATTCAAGCCAGCTGCAGAAATTTGCATAAGTAATGAGGAGCCAAATGTTAATCACCAAGACAATGGAGAAAATGTCTCCAGGGCATGTCAGAGGCCCAGAGGCATAGGAGGAAAAAGTGGTTTCATGGGCCAGGCTCAGGGGCTTTCTACTTTGGGCAGGCTCTGGACTTGGTGCCCTGTATCCCAGCCATGGCTAAAAGGGGCCCAGGTACAGCTCAGGCCATTGCTTCAGAAGATGGAAGGCCCAAGCCCTGGCAGCTTGTATGTGGTTTTGGGCTTGCCAGTGCACAGACATCAATAATTCAGGTTTGGGAACCTCCACCTAGATTTCAGAGGATGTATGGAAAAACATAGGTCTCCAGGCAGAAGTTTGCTGCAGGGGTTGAGGCTTCATGGAGAACCTCTGCTAGGGCAGTGCAGATGGGAAATGTGTTGGTGTTGGAGCCACCACACAAGAGTCCCCACTGTGGGGCACTGCCTAGTGGAGCTGTGAGAAGAGGTCCACCATCCTCCAGACCCCAGAATGGTAGATTCACCAACAGCTTGCACCTTGTGCCAGAAAAGCTGCAGGCCTTCCTCAATGCCAGCCTTTGAAAGCAGCCAGAAGGGGAGCTGTACCCTGAAAAGCCACAGGGGTGGAGCTGCCCAAGGCTGTGGGAGCTCACCTCTTGCATTAGCGTGACCTGAATGTGAGACATGGAGTCAAAGGAGATCATTTTGGAACTTTAAGGTTTAGTGACTGCCCTATTGGATTTCAGACTTGCATGGGGCCTGTAGCCCATTTGTTTTGGTGAATTTCTCCCATTTGGAATGGGTGTGTTTACCCAACGCCTATAATCCCACTGTATCTAGGAAGTAACTAACTTGCTTTTGATTTTACAGGGTCATAGGTGGAATAGACTTGCTTTGTCTCAGATGAGACTTTGGACTTGGACTTTTGGGTTGATGCTGAAATGAGCTAAGACTTTGGGGGACTGTTGGAAGGGCATGATTGTATTTTGAAATGTGATGACATGAGATTTGGGAAGGGCTAGGGGCAGAATGATACAGTTTGGCTCTGTGTCCCCACCCAAATCTCACCTTGAATTGTAACAATCTCCTCATGTGAAGGGTGGGACCAGGTGGAGATAATTGAATCATGGGGGTGGTTTCCCCCATGTTGTTCTTGTAGTAGTGAGTTCTCTTGAGATCTTTTGGTTTTATAAGATGCTTTCCCCCTTTGCTTGGCACTCATTCTCTCTCCTGCTACCATGTGAAAAGAGGTGCCTTCTGCCATGATTGATTGTAGGTTTCCTGAGATCTCCCCAGCCATGCAAAACTGTGAGTCAATTAAACCTCTTTTCTTTTCTTTTTTTTTTTTTTTTTTGAGATGGAGCCCTGCTCTGTCACCCAGGCTGGAGTACAGTGGCATGATCTCGGCTCACTGCAATCTCTGCTTCCCAGGTTCAAGCGATTCTCCTGTCTCAGTCTCCTAAGCAGTTGGGACTACAGGCATGTGCACCATGCCCGGATAATTTTTGTATTTTTAGTAGAGATGGGGTTTCGCCATGTTGGCCAGGCTGGTCTTAAACAGACCTCAGGTGATCTGCCTGCCTCGGCCTCCCAGAGTGCTGGGATTAGAGGCGTGAGCCACCATGCCCAGCCTAAACCTCTTATTGTTATAAATTACCCATTCATGGGTATTTCTTCATAGCAGCATGAGAATGGGCTAATATAGGCAATTTAATATTTAATATAAGGGAATTAAAACTAATGTCTGGGCGCAAAACAAAACAAAATTGAAAATAACAAAAACCCTCTGGGCCGGGCGCGGTGGCTCACGCCTGTAATCCCAGCACTTTGGGAGGCCGAGGCGGGTGGATCACGAGGTCAGGAGATCGAGACCATCCTGGCTAACAAGGTGAAACCCCGTCTCTACTAAAAATACAAAAAATTAGCCGGGCGCGGTGGCGGGCGCCTGTAGTCCCAGCTACTCGGGAGGCTGAGGCAGGAGAATGGCGTGAACCCGGGAAGCAGAGCTTGCAGTGAGCCGAGATTGCGCCACTGCAGTCCGCAGTCCGGCCTGGGTGACAGAGCGAGACTCCGTCTCAAAAAAAAAAAAAACAAAAAACAAAACAAAAAAAAAAACAAAAAAAAAAAACCCTCTGAATCAGAGGAGCCTTGGATTTAGGAGAACCAAAAGGGTAAAACAAGGCATGGAATCTGGACAAGCCAACAAATCAACATAGTTATTTGGTTTAGTCCTCAATGGAAGTTTTGAAAAGGGTCCTAACATTGGGATAAATACAAAGATACAGCTCAACCTTATCACCACCAAATATTACTTGTTAAGCAATTCATTGTTTTGTCTTTACTGGAGGATTGCACAGAATGATGAATAGCTAGGTTTGATTGATGTGTGACTGCTGGTTTGAGACCATCTGAGGTGTAACAAAATAAATTTTATGGCTCCCTATGGGCTCTGGAAAGACTGGAGTGAGAAAAAACAATTGGAATGCCTGGACACTATGTGCTTGTTAATGATAATTGGGCTGCTAGTGTTTTCAGACCTGTTTCTAAAGGCCAAAAATGCCCATCAAAGAACCACTAACATAGGCAAAGTGTAAAGGAGATGAATTTTGCATTCTATGACTTACGCCTCCAAGTCTATCGTCTTAGTCCATTTGGGCTAATAATAACAAAATACCATAAACTGGGTAGCTTATAAACAACAGAAATTTGTTTCCTACAGTTCTGGAGGCTGGGAAGTCTCCAGAATATCAAGGCACCAGCAGATTTGGTGTCTGGTGATGGCACACTTTCTGGTTCACAGATGCATTTTCTAGCTGTGTCCTCATGTGGAAAGAGAAGGTAAGCTTGGGCCTGTTTTATGAGGGCACCAATTTTGTTCATGAGCACTTTTCCCTCATGACTTACCTCCCCAAAGGCCTCACGTTCTAATACCATCACTTTGGGGGGCTGGGGGACACATTCAGACCATAGTACCTACTTTACTCAATTATTCAACATAATTATGTAGTACTTACTACATGCTAGGCACTGTGCTACTCTCTAAAACTCTTCTTAAAATATACATCAATAAAGACTTAGACTTAGAAGGGATTTTAGAAGAGGTAATTGAGACCCATTGTATCTAGGAGTCTCTTCCAGTGACACTGAGTACTCGACATCCAAAGGCAGCACTCTCCAACGGTGCTCATCTCTTACTGATAAAAAGCTTTTCCATATATTGTGATTTCCACCTATGAGTTCTATTTTGTCCCAGGGAGAACACGGTCTCAGTTCCATTTTCACATGATAGCCTCATAAGGATTATAGATATTACTGCCTTCCTTCAAGTCTCCTCCAAGGCAAGCATCCTGAGGGCTGTCATGTTCCTGTGATGTCACATGAGCACTTCAGTTTGTAAGTGTTCCTCTTCAGTATGGTGCTCAGAACTGGACACAGCAATCCGTAAGTGCAGAATTTAGTAGGAGTGTTACACTGGGCTAGTAATGTGGTCTATGTTTACTTTAGTAATTATTTTGAACGTACTGAATTTGGGTCAACTAGGACCCCAAGGATAAGTCAGATCTCTTCTACCTTATTTTACTCCTGCCAATGATTTCTTGAGTTCGACTGGATCAGCATTGTAGTCAAAGAGTACTCTATTACTTTTCTATTGCTGTTGAAACAAATTAGCACAAATTTAGTGTCTTAAAACAGTACAAGTTTATGCTATTTCTGTAGGTCATATGTTTGACATGGGTCTCATTTGGCCAAAATCAAGGTCCCCATGTCTGCATTATTTTTTGGAGGCTCTAAGAATCCATTTCATTGCTTTTCTAGCTCCTAGAGGCTGTCCACATCCCTTCGCTTGTGGCCCATTTCCTCCATTTTCAAGACCATCAATGTTGCATTTTTCTGTGCCCTTCTTTCATAGTCACATCTCCCTGTGCCAGGGCACCAATTTTGTCTGCCTTCCTCTTTCATTTTTAAGGATCCTTGTGATTACAGTGGGCCCACCTGGATAAACCAGGCTACTCTATTTTAAAGTCAGCTGACTGGCAACCTTAACTCCATTTGCATCCTTAATTTTCCTTTTCCATGTAACCTAATTATTCACAGGTCCTGATGATTAGGATGAGGACATCTGTGGGGGTCATTTGCCTACCATAAGAGCTACAATAGATCCAGATACCATCTCCTCACACAATAACATCTGAAGACTGAATAGGGGCTGATTCTTCTTTTAAGAAGGAGTGGGGGAAAATTTCCTAAAGCTTTACCATCATTTCACTCTCCAGAATTATGTTACGTGCTCATTTCTCACCTAATCCCTGGCAAAGAAAATAAATTATCAATGCTTGGACTAGGTCTATCTCCAGCTGGGCGTGGTGGCTCACGCCTGTAATCCCAGCACTTTCGGAGGCCGAGGTGGGTGGATCACGAGGTCAGGAGTTTGAGACCAGCCTGACCAACATGGTGAAACCTTGTCTCTACTAAAAATACAAAAATTAGTTGGGCGTGGTGGTGGTGCACGCCTGTAATCCCAGCTACTCAGGAGGCTGAGGCTGGATAATCTCTTGAACCCGGGAGGCAGAGGTTGCAGTGAGCCGCCGAGATAGTGAGTCACTCCAGTGTGAGTGACAGAGTGAGACTCCGTCTCAAAAAAAAAAAAAAATCTATCTCCTGGGGCTGAGGAGGGCCCAGGCTTTTGTGAGGAAAGTGGGCTTCTGACACCTGAATCATATTGGGTTTCTGGTAACAAGAAAGGTAGAAAATGGCTTTGGGTATACTTTATTCTATAATGTCACCATGATAATGGCCACTAATTATCCACTAATTGACCGAAAAAAACTGAAGGACAGAGAGGAGAGAGAGAGAGGTGTTTTTTTCTGTTTAATTATTTAGCCCTCACCTCATGTTGAAGAGGGCAAAAAGATTTGAGATATCTAGAGAAAAGAAAGGAAAGAAAAATAATATATTTTAAATGTATGGATGTTATTATCAGTCAGGGTTCCATCAGATAAATATATATATATTTTGATCCCCAGCTTCCACAATTATATAAGGCCACATCCTTGTAATAAGTCCCTTCATATATATATATACACACACACACACACACACACAATGCATATATATGTACAGATTATACATACAGATGCATACATGTACTTACATGTATACACATACGCATACATAAATGAGGGATTTGTTATAGGGATGTGACTTTATGTAATTGTGGTAGCTGGTCAAGCAGTATCTGGAAGGCTGTCATCTTCAAGTCTGGTACTGAAGCTTGTGGATACAGTGTAGGCGGGGAAGGAAAGATGGCTACAAAGTACAAAATGCAAGAGAGCAAGAATAAGCTGGAATCACCACTCTGAGTGGGATCCAGATCCATCAAGGAGGAACAGAACCTGCGCAAATTCTTGTTGCTTCTGATCTTTCTTTAAAGCCTGTTCAGTCTTACTCAGATTCCAGTATTTGAGGTACTCAGTATCTGTTGCTATTCCTGGCTTTTTTCCCCCTGCATTTGAACTTTTTTAACATTTAAAACACTGGCAGATTTAAACATTAGAATAGGTAATGTGCATTGATTAGGGGCCTCTACTAAAACTTCAAGGGCTTGGTTTTCTGGAAGCATATTGGGGAAAGGGAAAGTATTAGTTAAAAAAACCATATATTTCAGGTGTTTTATCAGGCGGCTTCCTTTGTTTACCTTTTCTTTGCTGTGCTAAGGCATATGAGTGATTTAAAAATCAACTCTCTAAGTCATTTGTTTCTCTTCAGTGAACAGGAATGATACATAATACTTTAACAATCCTGGTTACGGTCCGTTTTACATTTGATATTACTTTTTGGTCACTTAGGATAAACTCCCTCTCTCTGAATTATTGTGGTTGGTAAATGCAACACAACATAGTGCTTAAGGTTAAGTGGCTATATATTTAACTCAGAGTAATGATCTCACAAGGCAAATATTGCAAAAAAATTCAAATTGTGTTTATCAACAATATTAACTATAGTCAATTATTAATAAATGTACTTATTAATAAATGTAGGAAGCATTTTTGCAAAAATCATGTTTGAATTAAAGGGAAGGGAAAAAATTTATTGAATGCGTAGGATTTGTCTGGCACATGGTAGGTGTCCTCATCTCACTAATTCACATCACAAGCTTGTGGGGAGTAGTCTCCAATGTACAACAGAGAAAACCATGCCTTAGAGTCTCCCTTTACATCCCAAATGCACTCATTTGTCTCAAGTCCTGAAGAGTAAATGGTGAGGCCCAGTGCAGTGGCTCACACCTGTAATCCCAGCACTTTGGGAGGCCAAGGTGGGTGGATCACCTGAGGTCAGGAGTTCGAGACCAGCCTGGGCAACATGGTGAAACCCCATCTCTACTAAAAATACAAAAATTAGCCAGGCATGGTGGTGCACACCTGTAGTCTCAGCTACTCTGGAGGCCGAGGTACAAGAATTGCTTGAACCCAGGAGGCAGAGGTTGCAGTGAGCCAAGATTGTGCCACTGCCCTCCAGCCTGGGCGAGAGTGAGACTCCATCTGGTGGCTCATGCCTGTAATCCCAGCACTTTGGGAGGCCGAGGTGGGTGGATCATGAGGTCAGGAGATCGAGACCATCCTGGCTAATGGTGAAACCCCATCTCTACTAAAAATACAAAAATTAGCTGGGCGTGGTGGCGGGTGCCTGTACTCCCAGCTACTCGGGAGGCTGAGGCAGGAGAATGGCGTGAACCCAGGAGGTGGAGCTTGCAGTGAGCCAAGATCGCACCACTGCACTCCAGCCTGGGCGACTGAGTGAGACTCCGTCTCAAAAAAAAAAAAAAAAAAAGAGTAAATGGTGGAACTGGGATTTGAACATGGTTCTGTATGATTCCAAAACCCTTTTTTTTTAGTTTAATTTAAAAAAATTAGGACTGATTCTAGTAAGCTTGGGTTTCCTTAGTAAAGTTTATTGTAGGTATATTACAAGATAATACATTTAAATACACTGACTTGAAATAAAACAGTAGGCTGTGTTTATGTATGTATACATGCACATTCACACACTCACATATTTTCTGTTAGGGAGAGGGATTATCCAATTTGTCTCTACATTAAACAAAATGTTAAGAGGGCATGGTGGTAAAACAGCACTTTTTCTTTCCTTTTTTTTTTTTTTTTAGGGAGTTATTTGTAAGGTGTGTGTTTATATACATAAACTGTTATGTAAGCATTTGTATGCTAACATTGATGTCTGCTCATGGCATTCGGAATACTGTTCTCTTTTAAATTCTCTATGTCAAATTTAACTTAAAACTGTGATTATCAGCATTCTCATCAAATTATTATATGAACTCCAATAAATTACTTAATTAATTGTATCATATTTCTAATTTGAAAATGAAGAAAGGTACTGACTCCCCAAATTACCTTATTCAAAACCCAAGTCTATCCACTCTTAGAAGTTTCCTTTCCTTCTCCTTCTTTTTGGCTTTTTGTTGTATTATCTTCAGTTTACACAGAGCTTCAGTATAATCAGTAGTCATTACTTTTGCACCACACTTTAAAACGTTTAAGTTGTGAGTAGAAAAAGTAGATATATAAGGTTAAATAAATTTATATTGCTGTTTCCCAAACACATCCATACAGCACATTATTTTGTTTTCCTGTTATTACAATACTACAATTTTTATAGTCTATGAAGACTGAAACATGCTTGGATGAGAATGGATGCACCAATTGTTTCTTCCATGGTGTTACTTGGCTCCTGTGATGTCAAAAGCTGCCATACCGACCTCTACTAGTCACACACACCAATTGGGATTGGATCCAGGCTACTGTGTATTGGAGAGGGTAGCTCAGCAGTGACTTAGGAAAGTGAGGATACAGACCTGCCCCATTGTTTATGGAGCGAGGGAAGTTAGGCAGGCAAAAAAGAGCTGAATTTTGGGTGAGTTGCAGATTTGCGGTCCCAAGAAGCAGCAGTTTGGGGCTGGTTCTTTTGGTTTCTTTTCTCCATCTGTTCCAGTGTAAAGACAGAGATATCACTGACACCCTGATCCCATGCCCAGGGCAGGAACATCTAGCATCTACCTAAGTGAACTGTTTGTCAGGTAGAGGACCTTTCTCATTTCATATTTATTTTATTTCAGAGGACCCATTCTTTTTTTCATGCCATGAGTGGGGAACGTTATCTTTTTTTCCTTATAGATCCTGTTTTATTTCTGGTTTCCAGACTACCTGGAACTGAATTTTTTATAGAAACATAGAGGGGCAGGATTTGTATTTTAAAAAGAGTTAACATTGTACAATTGTGAATATTTTCCAGGATCAGAAATTGAATATAAAATTATACAAGTGATTTGTCTGTTCACATAGACATTTATAGCTCTGTCTATTTTGAGTGGATTCTCTGCTTATGGTCATGCTGACTGTTTCCATAGCCACATGCCTAGATGTTGAAAACAATTATCTAGGCAGGAACTTTTTATTTTATTATCATTTTTATTTCAGTAGGTTTTTGGGGAAACAGGTGGTGTTTGGTTACATGAATAAGCTCTTTAGTGGTGACTTCTGAGATTTTCATACACCCTTCACCTCATCAGTGAGCTCTGTACCCAATGTATTGTTTTTTTATCCCTCAACCCCCTCCTACTCTCCTCCCAAGTCCCCTAAGTCCATTGTATCATTCTTATTAGGCAGGAACTTTTCTGGTGATTTTATTTCATGACCATATCATTCAAATAACTTGCCCTAGAGTTGATTTGGAAACATAGTGAACAAAATATTAAAATATTACAATTTGACAATGTCTATTAAAATAGAAAAAAATACACATACACACACAGAAATATATATTCCCTTGACCTAGCAATTCCTCTATCAAGAATTTGTTTTACTAAAACCATCTGAAAAGTGTTCAGTGTTACTAGTTGGTAAAAGATTGGTCAAATAAAGGCATAAACTTGGAATCAGATGCTATTCGGCTATTAAAGTGAATGAGATAGAGCTATAAGTAACTATAATAACTGCAAAAAAGTAAGTTGCAAAAGAGTATATTATATGGTCAATTTTGTCTTAAATATCTAACATATACCGAATAACACACACAGGTATCTTTGTATATCTATTTAGAAAAGCTAAATAAACATAATTGTTATCCTCTGGGGAGGTAGGTTTATGGGGCACATTTTCTTTCTCTGTTATATATTTTTAAAGTGTTTTTTGATTTCTAATAATTATCATGTATTCCTTTTGAAATAAAAAAATACTTAAAATACCCTATTTATTTATTTTTTGGCTCCATCAAAGCAAGTCAGGAGGTCTAACCAGGGGGAATATTGGGTCTGAGATCCTGGGGGATCTGATGAATTAGGCCTTGGACATCCCTGCTCACTATGACATTTTATCTAAAAAGTCTTATTCTGACTAGACCATCAAGCCTAATTAAAAATGGAAAATTCATGGAAGGAGAGGCCTCTCTGTATGCCCCAGGGGACCCATTCTTCCTTGGCTCCCTTTGGATCCTTCCAGTTCATTAGCTAAGAAGGAATTAGGGGAGCTGGCTCTAGCCACAGCTGCTGCCTTCTCGAGTGTTGCTCTGATCTGGTCAGCAAAACCCCTGGTGGAAAGCAGCAGGCTCTGAGTGGCTGCCAGCCCAGCCTGCTGGCTGCCTCCAAAGCAGGCCTGCTGGCCTGGACCACCATACCTTGGTCTTTCCCATTCTCTCTCTCTAAGTCATTGTGCTGCAGATCATCAATTGAAAATACAGGGAATTGGGGGGCTTTATTCTTTAGGGTGTGGTGTGCCAGGAGGGAGGCATTCAGACCCTGGGTCATTACTAGGGATAATCCCAGACCTGAGATCTTAGAGGTGACCAGAGCCAAAGATCTTATTTGAGTGAGAAACATTATGTACTCTAACAACTGGACGTGATACTCCTGGGGTGTTTAGATTATAAAAGAGAACTGCTCTTCTTTGGTACTCTTTCCTGTGGGCCTAAGGCCCCCATTATGGGATGCTCTCACATTCACCACAGCCCATGAGAAGCCCGAGAAAGAACACAAGACGGAGAACAACGATCTTACTAATTTGAAGGTGGCAGAGCAGAATGAGTTACATAGCAATTAATCACATAAGGAACACCTGAATCTGGTTTAGTATAGTGACTACCCACATGACAATGGAAATGGAAGAGGGAGATTCAGAGGGTCTATTAGAAGACAAGAATTTCTGCTTGAAAGGTTCCTCTCTGCTCCTTAACTCCAGAACTGTGCTCCCTTAAACCATGTTACATCACAATTGGAAAATTGTAGCTTACTCTAGTCATTTTCTGACTACACCAGAGTTTCTATAATCTTGATTCTCTGCCCCCCCACCCCTTTTATTGGTAATTATTATTTTGAAATCAAAAGAGATGGGGTAAGCAAAACCAAACTGGCTCTGTGAAAATAGCCTCTTTCTTCACTTGAGGCCTAATCATTCAACTTTCCTTAGATTTTAGTCAGTTTTTGCCTTCGTTGTTTAATAAGGAAAAAAACTTGCATTTTTTTTTTCTTTCCAACTCTTAGGTTCAAGGGTGCATGTTCAGATTTGTTACACAGGTGAATTGCATATTGTGGGAGTTTGGTGTACAGATACTTTTGTCACACAGCTAATCAGCATAATACCTGATAAGTAGTTTTTCAGTCCTCACCCTGGTCTCACCCTCCACCCTCAGGTAGGTCCTGGTGTCTGTTGTTCCCTTCTTTGTGTCCATGTGTACTCAACAAAACTTGCATATCTTGATTGCTGAGATTGCTTTTCTTGTGTCATTGTAGAAATCAAGTATTTTAAAAACAATATCTGTGTGTAGCTAATTCAAGTAGGGAAATCTGCATTTCAGTAGGGATAAATTACACTAAAATTGATCTCACATAGCTTCCCCCTCATCTTTTTCAAGCCAAGAAATTTTCTGCTTATGGCGAAGCCCACTGGAACTCAGTAATATCTGTGTTCTTTCCTTCCTAGGCATACAGTTAGACCTTCAGGGACTGTTTACACAAGAGTGCTGTTAGCCTCAAGGTCAAAATATTGACTTTCCATATATCAAGACTAAGAACAATTAAAATAATTTTCTTTAATTACAGCATAATGTTTAGAAGTAAGAGACATTGTTATTAAGTCGTTTCTAAGATGCCTTCCAAATACGATGTTCTGATCCTCTAAGTTTGCTTGTAACTGAAATTGACTAACTTTAAAAAATAAATTTATTAAATAGATTTGTGAAGCTCACATGGTTACAGAAAACAGAATCTCACAAGTATAGAAGCCATGGTAGCTCCAGGTAGTTCCTTTGGTGGAACTCACAGAAAGGATCACAGAAAGTGATTGCTGTCGTCAGAATGGATGAGTTCCACTAACCTTCCATCTGTTCCTTCGTTGGCCCAATATTCCAATTCCTGGGGGAAAGGATCAGATCTTGATTGTCTATATACCTACCCCTTGGCCAGGATAGGATGTCAAGGCTAAGAGTAACACACGGAAGATGGAAGGGCAACATCCCCCAAAGAAAGACAGGATTCTAAAATATCCCTTTAGAAATGTAAAAAGTGGTAGCAGGAAAAGTAGCAGCAAAGTTAGTTGGCTGTTACTCTGTTTCACCTGGTTGTGTCCTCTGAAGGATCTGTGTATTCTTTCTTTGTCTAATATCTGAAAAGATTATGTTAACACATAAAACTTTAATAGGGTAGAGCCCACACGACTTACCACCTAAATGTGCCATCCTTTAATGCTATCACATTGGGTCTTAGCTTCCAACATACGAATTTTGGGGAGACGTGTTCAAACCATAGCATCACTCCAAAAGCTTAAATGGCGCACATCTTCTTTCTCTGTTTTATATAATATATATTCTGTCATAATAGAATATATATTCTGTATATATTATATATTTAAGACAAAATCGACCCTATAATATACTCTTTTGCAACTTACTTTTTTACAATATTTAGTTGCTTACAATATGAATGAGATTCCTGGGCATATCTCTGTCTCTCTCTCTTTTTTTTTTTTTTTTTTTTGTGATGTCTCTCTTTGTTGCCCAGGCTGGAATGCAGTGGCATGATCTTGGCTTACTGGAGCCTCTGCCTCTTGAGTTCAAGCGATTCTCCTGCCTCAGCTTCCCGAGTAGCTGGGACTATAGGCGCGCACCACTGTGCCTGGCTAATTTTTGCAGTTTTTAGTAGAGACAGGGTTTCACCATGTTGGCCAGGCTGGTCTTGAACTCCTAACCTCAGGTGATCCACCCACCTCAGCCTCCCAAATTGCTGGGATTACAGGCATGAGCCACTGTACCTGGCCCCTGGGCATATATCTCAAAGCAGTGAGGTATAATCATTATATGCATGTGGCATTGTAAATAATTACAGTTTTTCATACTATGCTTAAATTAGCAACATTAGCAGGTTTAGTTGGGAAATATCTTAAGGTTGAGAGCAGTTTTTAAAACATTTATTTTAAATCTTAGTGAGAAAAAACATTTGGGCTTATTAGCATCTGAGGTCAAAAGGACAGTGAGTAAATTATATAATGTTTGTTTATTGATCCTTAAGTCACTGGACTTTCAATCCACAATATCACCAGCTCCTTGTGTGGGCTACATGTGCTCTGTGAAGTGCAGTTACTTCATTAAAAGAAAAACTATTTATTTTGAAATAATTTTAGATTTACAGAAGATTTGCAAAGCTAGTACAGAGAGTTCCAAAAAACCCGTCACTCAGCTTCCTCTAAATGTTAACATGTTATGTATCCATAGTTATATTCATTTTTTTCAGTGGCTTAGGATGAACAATCATTTAGACTTAGAAAGTGATTCGTTTAAAAGAATGAGATTTTATATAGACCACACTTGAATTTAGGTCCTATATCATATTTGTTAGCAAAATTAAGCAATTCCAGGCAAGTTACTTTTCTGTAAAAATGGGGTGCCATCTTTCTTACTAGGTCCTAGTGGGGATTAAACATACATGGAATCATCTTGTAAGGTTTTGTGTACTATAAGGTACACAGTAGACGCTTAGTAAATGTTCATTTCTTCTTCCCTCTCCCTCTCTCACCATTCTTTTTTTTTTTTTTTTTTTTGAGCAAACACGACAATGGACGTTCTTTTTGCTCCCTTCTATCCCTTCCTTCTCTCCTTTCTTTCTTCATATCATTGGACAATGTTACTTTTTTCTAGGCTTTTGGTTTCTGCTTTTGTATCTGTCCCCAACCATACTGCTTTGTCAGTCCTCCAGTTCCAGCACTTTCTGATGCTGAGTGAAGAGATGACCTTTTTGACCTGTTTCTCAGCCTCTTGCTGATTTAGCCTGAAAGCTTCAATGTTCATCAACCTGAGTCTGAAGTACAAAATGTTTCCACATCAGTAACAAGGACACAGAGTAGTTGTAAGGAAGAAAATGAAACCAACTATAGGTTGCAAAATATGTGACTGTAGGGGCACCCAGACAAGAATATAAACTCTGAAAGACAACTCAAGCCCCCCTACACTTTAACACTGGAAGGGATCCCTAGTACATGAAGCTTAAGATCCTTTATATAAATAATCAAAATTTTAGCCGGTGGGACTCAGATCCTTAATGGGCTAATCTACTCTTGTCATTTACTCTGACAAATGTCCACAGGGAAGGGAAACAGTACAATACTGGCACCATTTCACCTCTCAACAAAAATCTGCTTAAAACCAGATGCCTAGTGGCCATATGACAGACGTTCCACCCTGAGGAGGAGGCTCCCCTCAGGGATCCAGGAGAGACAGGGGTGATTATGCTGCACGCCTGCTTCCAAGCATAATAGGCAGACAGGGAGGGAGAGATGGAGCCCTGAACATCTTGGAGGTGACACCCTCTGGGCCACAAGTACTCCATACAGGATTTAGCACAGCTCAGCAGCTGTCCCATGGTGGCAGCCCTTTCTGCCATATGGGGGGAGCAAGATTGGGCATGGAATTGGCATCCCCAGGCTGGTACAAACACCATTGTGTATGTGAAAATGTGGGTCAGAGGCCTGATTTGAGAGTGAGGGAGGAAAAGGGGGGAGAATAGGTACTGTCAATAATTCCCAGTGGTTCTTTAAAAAAATTTTTTTTAATTCAAGGACTAGTCATTCTGGTCCCTAAGTCACAATAGAAGAGAGGGGTGAGTGTTACTTTGCCATCATCAAGGGCTACAATAAGGAAAAACAATAATCAGTGTCAGGATGACAAGGAGTTTCACTAAGAGGAAATGTTTGCCCATGGTGGGTTTGTTCAGAAGTCTACCAGGAATCGTTGGAAAGATCACCAAATGAAAACTCCACCATTTAGTAAAGAAAATGGAAGCTGGATGTGAGGAAAGTAGGATTTCTGTAACAGCCACATGTTCAAATGTGTAGCAGGGCAGGAAGTAGGGTGCTGAGGCCTGAAAGTATCCTTGACTGTGGAAGCTGTGGCTGGGCCAGGAGGACCAGAAGGCTCCTTCTTTTACTGAGTGATGCTGGCAGCGGAGGGGGAGAAAAGGGGCAATCAGGGACCTATTTTTTTATGGTTAGAGATTAAGTCATTAGCATTAAAACATATTGGGTATTTGAACTTTGTAGGGTGGTAGAAATATAATCATTTTGACTAAGGGCTCAGTGTTAGGAATATTTGAGTTTGTGGAAATATAATTTGTTGTCTTTTATTTTAGAAGAAAAACACTAACATGTCATATCAGTACAGCCATATGACCTAGTGGAAAAATGGCTGAGAAACAACAAACTTGATTTGTGGTCTAGATTCTTCACTGATTTAGTTTTTTTATCCATCACTGGGATGACAATAACAGCTACTTAGCCATGTGCCAGGTACTTCCTATGTATTAGCTCATTTAATCCTCCAGAAAGCCTTTGATACAGGTGCTCTTATCATCCTCTTTATTTTATAGTGAAGGAGGTGAGCCCTGAGTTAAGTAACTTACCCAGTGTCATATAGCTAATGAATGATAGAGCTGCCTTCGGATCCTAGGTTGCCTGGCTCCAGAGCCTATATGTTCAACTTTCATATGATACTGTCCACTCTATTTACCTAAGAGAGTGTGGCAAAGATAAAATTAGGTAATAGAAAGGAACAGGCTAGTTTTGAGATGGCTACCAGACTTGAAAGAGCCCACCCCTTGGAGCCTGAAAAAGCTTACCATCTTCCTGTAACTAGCTGCAAATTATTTAATTTTATAATTTTTTAAATCTTAGATGGGAATGGTAATACTTATTTTGCTGGTTGCTCAAAAAACACTATAGCGTTAAATTTGTAGTAGGAACTCAAAAATTGGTGGCTATCATTGTTTGCTCCTGTTTTCATATATCAGTCTTGAGAACCAGGGCCACATGTATATTTTGGTATCCAATTTTAGTTATAATGGGACTGAGCACAAAGCTGTCATTCAACTATTAATAATAATGGCTAATGGCTAATGCTTACTGGGGGCTTCCCGTGGGCCAGGTGCTTGGTTCCTGGAAGGTTCTTTATATACATTAACTCATTTTACCACCATAAGATGAAGAAGATACTCTTGATGCCACAGTTTTACAAACAAGGAAACTGATGAAGAGGTGTTAAGTAACTTGCTGGTAGTTACACAGCTTGTAAATGACAGAGCTGGAATTTGAAACCAGTAGTCTGGTTCTTGATTACTAATTAGTGATAGAATCATAATGTTGGAAGACGAAATAAAGATTTTATAGTTCAACCTTATGCCCCACAGTGGGAGTTAATTAATATTAAGTAACTTAATATTTTTGAGGGTTCCTTACTCACCTTCTGCTTGTCTGTCTTCAGTAATAAAGTGCTCACTGGCCCAATGAGAAACCCTGTTAATTTTTGGGCAGTTCTTTGTGTCAGCTTTCCAATGTTAACCTAAAACCAGCTTTACCCTTCCTTTTTTCATTGATCTAGTTTTTGAGGTACGCAGAACAAGGTTAGCTCCCTATTTATGACATCGCTTTGCTACTTGAAAACAACTACCTCCTCTTTTCCAAGCCAGCAACTCCAATTTTCATCAATGGTGACTCATCACCCTGGCTGGGCTACTGACTGTCTTTTTTTATGGCTGGTACAGTAAAATATGATTATTATTGTCCATCAATACTACTTTATTCCTTTCTCAATGCAGGTTGAGATTGCATTAGCTTTTTGGACAACGTATCCTCACAGTTTGCTCCTATTGGCTTTAGGTAACTACAGTAGTCCCCCCTTATCTGAGGGGTATATGATCCAATACCCCCAGTGCATGCCTGAAATTGTGCCCTATACAGTATATGCTATATGCTATGTTTTTTTCCTATACATACATACCTATGATAAAGTTTAATTTATAAATCTGGCACATAAGATATTAACAATAACTAATAAAATAGAACAATTATAACAATATACTTAATAAAAGTTATGTAAATGTAGTCTCTCTTTCTCTCAAAATATAGTATTTTTGGACTGAGCTTGACTACAAGTAACTGAAACTGCAGAAAACAAAACTGCAGATAAAGGGGCTACTGTGTAACCTCCTATGTATTAATTGGCTCGAGCTGCCATAACAAAATACCATACATAGATTGGATGCTTAAACAACAGAAATTTATTTTGTCACAGTTCTAGAGGCTAGAAGTCCAAGATGAAGATTCTAGCTGATTTGGTTTTTGGTGAGGACTCTATTCCTGACTTGTGGACAGTTGCTTTCTTGCTACACCCTCACATGGCCATTTCGAGGGTGTTTCTCCCTCTTTTGTAAGGATGCCAGTCCCATCGGATTAGGTCCCCACCCTTATGACTGTACTTAAATTTATTATCTCTGTTTAGGCCCTATCTCCAAATACAGTTATATTGGGGGTAGGGCTTCAACATATGATCTTGGGGGGACACAGTTCAGCCCGTAGCATCTTCTCATCATAGACTGTGCTACCAATCTGTGATGGAGAACTGAAGGAAAAAGGGCCATGGTTGTTTAATCTTGGGCTACGGTGCAGTGTAAGAGGAGTTGAAACTGCCCCTCTGCCTTTGGGGGCTGTGCTCCTTGTTTCTGTAATCCTACTGGGTCCCTAATCTTCTTCTTTCTTGATTTTGAGTAGTTGTGATACTGACAGAGTGGGGACAGAAAAAGCTGAAATCTGTTATTGCAACAGTAACAGAGCTTCAAGTCTAGGAATTTCCCCAGTTATCTCTTACGGGGCATTTGCCTTCCTGCCATAGGAAACAGATGCAGGGAGGGCAAGTTGTAACCTGGGGCCTTTAATCATAAAGGCATAGGGAGCCCTACCCAGGACATTCACTCATGGCAGGGTGACTGGTGATCTGCCAGAGAAATCCCAGCAGCCCTTGCTGAAAGGCATAAGGTAGGGAGATCCACAGCTCCTGTGACCCAACCTGTTTCAGCCTGGAAGATAATGGAGGACAGAGCGAGCAAGGCATGTGTGTGTTCATTAGTATTCTTTAGAATACAAGTGCTAGAAAAACCCACCCAAAGTGCTTTAAGCAAAATGGGAATTTATTGGTTCACATAAATTTATTGCTGCCAGTGTACTTTGATCCAGTACTCAAATATTATCACCAGGATCTGTCTCTATGTTTGCTTTGTCTAGCTGTCAGCTTTACTGGCTCACTTGGTGATTTAATCCTCACATTACGAATTCCAGAAGAAAAGTAAATATGTTTTCTTGGCTGTGACTGGGTTATGTGCCATACTGGAACTAATCAGTGTAGCCACAGGGATGGGTATGGTATTATTATAAGCCAGTCCAGGACCCCCCTGTTGCTAGGGATGGAATCAGTTCCATGGAAACCATATGACTGGAGAATGGTGGAGGGTGGTTTCCCAAAGGAAATTTTAGATCCTCTTTTCCAAAGGAATCTTTGGATCCCTTGGAAACTTTGGAAATGCTTGTTGGACAGAAATAATAGGTGTTTATTACAGACATTTTTTCACATGGCCCCACAAACAAATCACAGTATAATGTTACCGGAATGTCCCTGGAAATTACAATAAGGTGTCACTTTCTCTTCCTATTTTTATTACAGCCACTTTGTGTTTTTATATGCTGAAGTATAGGACTATAGTCACCTCAGATTATCTTCCACTTATTTCTGAGCTTTCCCCTCTGGTCTTGTCACTTGTGCGCATCCATCCATCCATCCATCCATCCATCCATCCATCCATCCATCCATCTGTCCATCAAACAAGTACGTATTGAGTGTCCCCTTAGATGCAGCAGTGAACAAGAGATTGTTGTTGCCTTCATGGGGCTTTTAGTTTAGTGTTCCAGTCTCCTCATCAAGCTGCCATCTGGCTCTTGCCATCATGCCCCATAACCCAGAAATCTCTGATCTCCTACATGCTGTGGGTGCCCCCACCACCACGCTGGCCTTGCCCCGTTCTTTACTGTGCCACAAAAGGAGCAGCATCTTCCCTTAATTCTGCACAGCATGGCAGAGATTACAGTATGCTCTCATATGTGCAGGAAACATTTCTCTTTCATAGCACTTGTCACAATTGTCATGACTTACTTGTATATGTATTTGTTTAATATCTTTCACTCTAGACTTCTCATAAGGTTAGGGACTGTGATTATCTTGTTTATCATTATTTTCCCTTATGTAGTGCAGTGCCTGGAGCATACTAGCCATTCAAATACTCGAATGGTCTGCTATACTGTCAGATTTAACAGGACCCCTTAAGGTGAAGGAATAATAAAACCAATACAATACAAAAAGCATCCTGAAACAGTTACTAGATGTGTGTCTTATTCTGCTCAAGCTGCTATTACAAAATATCATAAACTGGGTGGCTTACACAACAGAAATTAATTTTCTCACAGTTCTAGAGGCTGGGAAGTCCAAGATGAAGGTGCTGGCCAACTCAGTTTTGGTGAGAGTCCTCCTTTTGACTTGCACACAGCTGCTTTCTCCTTGTGTCCTCACGTGGTGAAGAAAGAGTGAACTCTCTGGTGACAAAAGGACACTAATCCTATTGGATCAGGTCCCCAATCTTAAAATATCATTTGACCTTAATTATCTTCTTATCGGCCCTGTCTCCAAATATAGTGACTTTGGAGATTAAGGCTTCAACCTATTAATCGGTGGCAGTGGGGAACAGTTCAGTCCATAGCACTGTGGGTACCTTCAGCATACATAGCTAGGGTACCTTCAGAAACCTTTCTAGTGCCTGCCTGCTTAGTTTTCTGCATGTTTCTATGTGGCAGAGGCCAGCTGATGATACACATATTCAGTGCTCTGAGTATATCTACTCATAAGAATCTAAGCATACGTGCTCCAAGGTCCAGAAAGAGAAGGAAGTTCTCCTCCAAGTCTAAGGTTGACTTTCTGAGTCCCTATGTTTTGTCCAAGTCTCTGTCTCATCCCAGGATTGTGAACTTACTTTAGGGGAACTTTAGTCTCAATCCATAACTCCCCTCCAAAAAAAATGACAAAAATGTCTCTAAAAAACATGCAAGCTCAACCCAAAATGAAAATATTCTCTACCAAACAAAATACTTGTATTTTTAGTTTGAAACAACTGCATTTAGGTTATTTCACTTTTTTTTTTCTTTTTTTTGGTGTGGAGTCTCACTCTGTCGCCCAGGCTGGAGTGCAGTGGCATGATCTCAGCTCACTGCAAGCTCCGCCTCCTGGGTTCAAGCCATTCTCCTGCCTCAGCGTCCCGAGTAGCTGGGACTACAGGTGCCTGCCACCATGCCCGGCTAATTTTTTGTATTTTTAGTGGAGACGGGGTTTCACTGTGTTAGTCAGGATGGTCTCAATCTCCTGACCTTGTGATCCGCCCGCCTTGGCCTCCCAAAGTGCTGGGATTATAGGTGTGAGCCACCGCACTCGGTCTATTTCACATTTTTCTTCAAGAAAAATTGGTAGATGTAACCTAGGGTTCTTTTTCTTTTCTTTTCTTTCTTTCTTTTTTTTTTTTTAAAGAACGGCTATGCCTATTCCAAAGAGAATTCAAGTCCCTGTATCTGAGCAGATAGAATTGCCTCCAGTACTCACATGCTAGCCTCCCTTTCATCATCCCCTCCACTCAGATTTTATGCCTCAAATATTGGATAATCTTAGGAGTGGTCAGAACTCACATTATGCTTTACATTGCCTGAGTCTAGTACTGAATTGCATAGTGCAATATTTTAGTCTCTGAAGCTGGATCTCTGCATCTCTGAAGTGGCTGAAATGAAGGACAAAACTCCTATACTAAAGCTTCCAGAACTGTGTTTTCTGTGTATGTAATGGGTGGAAGCAGGAATAATATTCAGAGCACAGTTTTTGTTTTGTAAGCCCTCTAGGTCATAGAGCTGTAATAAAAGAACTGACTCCTTGTTGCTTGGAATAGCCTTGAATATTGGTAAAGTCATCCACATATAAATATTTCAGGCTGTGTGGTAAGTGTTCTGTTTAGTAATGGAAATTCAATGTCTTTTAGAGGGAAAGACACATTTTTAAAAGTGTTTTCCCCCTTCATTGATTGATTGATTGCTCTAGAATTTCTGTAGAGAATATTTGACATGACTAATAAATGCTCCAAAGTTCAATGAAGAAACCACCGAGACCATTAATAGCTTAAAAACAAAAATGAGTAAAACACAATTTCCAAATGGTTGGGTCTGGATGTTGCCTCTTTGGTAACAGTAGTAAAGATAACAAGTACATTTATATAGTGCTTTAGAGTTTACAGAATGTTCTGTGGGTTGCCACCAGGTCTATTTTAGGGATGAGTACTTTGCTTCAGCCCAAGCTGGTAACTCCAGATCTTATCATTCAAATAACTAGTGGGTATTTGTTGTGGGGGTGGGCATAGTTTGCCTCATCCTATGCCCCAGTGTTCCCTCAGCTTCTAGTAGGTTACTTTATTCTCTCTGCCCTGCCACTACTTGCCTTTGGGACCAACAAGGGATGAGGGGGTCTTTGCCAACATTGTCTGTGAGACAACCATGTTACTAGACTGAACTTGAAACTGTTAATCCAGATCCTTGTACTTAGGTATTCATCCTGGCTCACAATCAGCCATTTGATGGCTATTTGCCAGTACATATGCATTCGATGCCACCACTTTCTGTATTTTTCCATTACCCAGCTGAGGCCCACTGTTGGCAAATACTGAGCTTGGGAAAGTTAGGAATCTAGAATCAGGAAATCCATTCCTGTGGTGGCCACAGGAAGTTTCAAGATCTGTGAGCCCTTACTGACCTCGGGGACATGATGATGGGATAGAGATGGTAGGTAGGTTTTGCTCTGTGAACACTTTCTTTCAGTGGCACTCCCAGGATCACTACTCATGTGTATCCACTGCAGAACTGGAGAGAACTCGAGCATTCTATCCCTTGGTCTGACTGCTCAGAGAGTTCTGATCAAAACTGCTCCTCCCTTTGGGGTTCGGCCAAATGGAATCTTCTTTGTGACCTCGGTTTCCTATTACTGAGGGAAGAGGAAGATGCAGGGTAGTGGAGAGCTCATCGGCCTGTGCAGAAAACAGGGCTTCTGACTTGTTTGTTCTCAAAAGGCAAATTGTTGTTTCTCACCTGCATGTTAATAAAAATACTATCCAGTAGTGGTGAGAGTTTTCCTGATATATTTTGTTCGAATTAATTTATTTCATTAGGATATTTATTTCATGGTGTGTTGTCGTTTTTCATGTGCTGTATTTACTGTGCTGAGCCTTGTATACATCTACTGGGATGGGCATACTAGTGTCTTTATATACACATTTGCTAAGCAGAAAGTGTGTTTTTTCCTTTGGAATTGCCCTTATGGGAAGGATTTTAAAAAATATGTGGTTCATGATCAAGCTTTGCTCACATTTTGCTCTTTGCAGTTGTTTTCTTTTTAAACATATAGCCAGGTATATATTGTTAAATAAACTTCCTCCCCTCCTCCATTTTCCCTAAGGGAAGCCATATATAAAAGGAATGCAAGAAAAAGAGGAAATTCCATTGCATAGGTGCATCTATGCTCTTGGTTACTTTCTCAAGCAATGATTAAAATCTTCCCCATAGAAAGAAAACTTTGCATGGGAGGATGGATGGAGGAATGATCCAGTATTTTATTTTCTTGTCTGCACTCTGGTCACTCTCCCAACCTCTTTGTCATTTTCCCCAAGGTACCCTGGACCAACTTGGGCCTCTCATTCAGCTGGTGATCTGGGCCTTTCTGTTCCTTTTATGATACTTGAAAAATGACTTCGAGCCTGCAGGAGTATAGCCTCTTAAGATTTGGGAGTTTTGAAAGTCAGAAAAGAAAGATCCGATCTAGGCTGAAGTTTGAGAGCACAAGTGCCAGGATTCTTTTCTCCTCACATATTAAATGAATCAGGTTTGCCATTCTGTTCAAAATTCTACCAGCTTATTTCGTTAGTGTCTTCTACATTTAATAATGGCATAAAGATGCTGCATTTGGTACTAGTGGGAATGATAACTTACTAGACTAGAATGGAGAAACCTGTATTTAACATCCATTAGCATTTGAGCTTCCTCAACTTGTAGAGTTTGCTCGATTTCTTATTGATCAAAGTGCCTATAGATCAATGCTTATTTGCATGGAAGACTTTATCTTCTTGTTGTAGGGATAGATAATCCATAGCATAACAAGGAACAAGCTGTGACAGCATTGCAATTATTGCAACTGTTATTATTGCTGCCCTACTAGTATTGCTACTGCTATTATTGTTGCTGCTATCTGCTGCACTAATAATGATTGTTGCTGATGCTGCTGCAGCTGATTCTGTTGCAGCTAATACTGCTCCTTTTGCTACTGCTGCTACCAGTCACCATTCACATTTTTAGTTCTATGCTAGATGCTGTAGGGATTTAAAACAATTCATTGTCTAAGCCTTCAAGATGTTTAGTCTACATAAAATTAAACTAATGACTGGCAAGCAATAATTATCATTTATGTAGCACCACTGTGTGCCAGATGCTTTATATAATTAGCTCATTTAGTTATCTTGACAATCCTAGGAGATAGGCCTTGCTATCCCTTTTCAATAGATGAAGAAACTAGATTCAGATAGGGCAAACAACTTGCCCATGTTCACACAACAAGTGAATGGCAGAGCTTGGATTTAAGCCTAGGTATGTTGGGCTCTAAAACCTATGCCATTTTCATTACACTGTCTTTAAACTCAGAAAGCACATTTCTGTTTACAATACTCCCCAGAAATGGCAGAGCATGTATCATGAAAAACAAACAAACAAACACAAGGAGAGAATATTGATGAACCTCAGAGCTAGTTACAGGAGTGAGACTCAGGGCTCCCAATTCCTTGCCCTGTGCTCTACTTCTCTACGGAGCAACAGTTGTTTTACTGACTCTGTCTTTATACATTAATCCTGCAAATTAACACAGGCCTGGAGCCTGAAAATTATGCCAGGGCAACATAGCAAATATTGAGATTGTACTTCCTTGTCTGTTTGCCATGTTGCGTACTTTGTGCAGCCATCCTGACTTTGATTAACAGCGTCATCTTTATAGCATCTTCGTCCTTTGAGCAGTAATTGGTACTATTGTGTGCAAATGAATACCCAGTGGGAATTGGTCTGGTGGCTGAATAGTCTGGAAATCTGCCGATTGCTTTGATCAACAAGACTTTACTGAAAACTTAGTAGGTGTCCACCAGTGTCTGTACCAACAAAGTTTTCTTAAGCAAGGTTTATTTCAATTGGTGGCCTCTAAAATGTGAGGATTCACTGGAAGATGTTTAAGACACAGTATTCTCTCTATGTATGTAGCTAACATATTATGGATTACTGGAGTGAGTGCTGCCTCTTCTTTCCACTACTGGCTAAATTCTGTGCTCCTGCTGGGGACAGAGGTAGTGAGGGCAAGATGCCTGGACAGGTGTTAATGAAGGTGGGTAATGAGGGTGTTAATGAGGGTGAGTTCCAAAGGTAAATACAGTTTGGGGATTATATGTGGTGTCTTGAAGGTTAGGAGTATAGACTCTGTAGTTAGCACATCTGGGTTCAGATTCTGACTCTGCTACTTATAGCAGCAAGATCTGGGGCAGCTCTGGGGGCCCCTGTTCCTTGTCTGTAAAATGAGGTTCAATACTTCTTTCACAGGATTACTTAAGGATTAAATAAGCTAATACATATCCTGACCATGCCTGTTATATAGATAGCTATAATAATAGTTAATAATAATAATAATTTTTAAAATCTCATTTATGATTCCTTTCTCAAAAGATACTTCACCCTGTGGTCTAGTGGCTTGGATTCTGTACTTTCACTACCACAGTCTGGGTTTGATTCCTGGTCAAAAAGTAACTCATATTTGATTAAAATATTTGAATGCCTTACTCTTCTACCTCTTCCATGCATATGCTTCCTTAATAGTTTAAGCTGAGAGTTTGTCTTTAAAAAATAGCTTTTATTTTAATTTTTATTATTTATTTTTAATTTTTACACTAGGTACATAGTAGGTATATATATTTATGGGTTACATGAGATATTTTGATATACGCATGCAATGTGTAATAATCACATCAGGGTAAATGGGGTATCCATCCCCTCAAGCATTTATCCTTTCTGTTATGAACAATCCAACTATACGTTTTTAGTTATTTAAAAATATACAATGAAATCATTTCCAACTATAGTTACCGTGTTGTACTAGCACATACTAAGTTTTATTCATTCTTTGCAATTGTTTTTTGTATCCATTAACCATTCCCACTTCCCCTCAACCCCCTGTTATCCTTCTCAGCCTCTGGTAACCATCATTTTACTCTTCATCTCCAGGAGTTCAATTGTTTTAATTTTTAGCTCCCACAAATAAGTGAGAACATGTGAAATTTGTCTTTCTGTGCCTGACTTATTTCACTTAACCAACAACCTCCAGTTCCATGCATGTTGCTGCAGATGACAGGATCTCATTCTTTTTTATGGCTGAATGGTACTCTATTGTGTATTTATGTATACAGTGCATTTTCTTTAACCATTCCTCTGTTGATGGGCACTTAAGTCACTTCCAAATCTTGGCTATTTTGAATGGTGCTGCAATAAATATAGGAATGCAGATGTCTCTTTGATATACTGATTTCCTTTCTTTTGAGTATATACCTAGGAATGGGATGTGTGGATTGTATGGTAGCACTATTTTTAGTTTTTTGAGGAACCCTAAAACTGTTCTCACAGTGGTTATACTAATTTATGTTTCCACCAACAGTGTATGAGGGCTCCCTTTTTTCCACATCCTCACCAGCATTTGTTATTGCCTGTCTTTTGGATAAAAGCCATTTTAACTGGGGTGAGATGCTATCTCATTGTAGTTTTCATTTGCATTTCTCTGATGATCAATAATGTTGAGCATATTTTCATATACTTGTTTGCCATTTGTATGTCTTCTTTTGAGAAATACCTATTCAGGTCTTTGCCTATTTTGAAATCAGATAATTAGATATTTTTTCCTACAGAGTTGAGTTCCTTATATATTCTGGTTATTAATCCCTTGTCAGATGGGTAGTTTACAAATATTTTCTGTCATTCTGTGGGTTGTCTCTTCACTTTGTTGATTGTTTCCTTTGCTGTGAAGAAGCTTTTTAACTTGATGTGATCCCATTTGTCCATTTTTTCTTTGGTTGCCTGTGTTTGTGGGATATTACTCAAGAAACCTTTGCCCACTCCAATTAAAAGATAGCTTCTAGATAAAATTAAAAATGAGAGAAACATACCAATTTAGAGATTAATAGAAGAGCCCGGCCAGGCGTGGTAGCTCACACCTGTAATCCCAGCACTTTGGGAGGCTGAGACGGGTGGATCACCTGAGGTCAGGAGTTTGAGACCAGCCTGGCCAACATGGTGAAAAATGCTGTCTCTACTAAAAATACAAAAATTAGTCAGGCGTGGTGGTGCACGCCTGTAATCCCAGCTACTTGGGAGGCTGGGGCAAGAGAATCACTTGAACCTGGGAGGCGGAGGTTTCAGTGAGTCAAGATCATGCCACTGTACTCCATCCTGGGCAACAGAGTGAGACTCTGTCTCAAACGAAGAAACAAACAAACAACAACAACAAAAAGAATAGCCCATTTATAGGAAGCCTAAATGAGAAAGAAATATTTGGAAACTCTGTTAGAAGAATAGTATTCAGATTATGCTTTTTCCTGGTTTAAATGCTAAATGGCTCCCCTTAGAATGAGCCCTCTGTGAGGCACATTTAAGATCCATTCTGCCCCGCTATCTAGCCTTATCTTGCACACTCCCCCTCACCTTCTATAAGTCAAGTGAACAAAGAAAGTATGTCAATGCAAATATGTCATGCTTAGTAGAAAACCTCAAAAGTTCCTGTTCTAGCCAAACAAAGTTTGGGTTGATTCTTCATGTACACTAATTATCTACTTATACTTCACATAGTGTGACAAAGTATCTCTCAATTATTCACACATTAATTATTTAGTTCAGTGTTTCTTAGTCCTGATTGATCTTTAGAATAACCTGGGGGTCTAGGAAAATAAGTATAGCAGCTCAAATACAGCTGGTCTCCTACTTAACAATGGTTTCACTAATGATTTTTCGACTTTGGGATGGTGTAAAAGTGGTATGTATTCAGTAGAAACTGTACTTTGAGTATCCATACAACCATTCTGTTTCTCACTTTCAGTACCATATTTGATAAATTACATGAGATAGTCAACACTTTATTATAAAATAGGCTTTGTGTTGGGTGATTTTGCCCAACTGTATGCTGATGTAAGTGCTCTGAGCATGTTTAAGGTAAGCTAGGCTAAGCTATGTTGTTTGGTAGTTGGGTGTATTAAATGCATTTTCTATTTACAATATTTTCAACTTACAATGGATTTATTGGGGTGTAACCTTATTGTAAGCCAAGGAGCATCTGTATTGTGGTAGTTTATTTCTCTTCATTTAATTGTACACAGTGGATGTTTCTGGTCAAAGAGCAATTTCCTCCTACTGATGATGCAGGGCTGTCCTTCCTGGGGTACACAGGGCTCTACCTCAGTCTCTCCCAGGCACCATCTGGTTTGCCAGACCTTTCTTCCCCTACACATCAAAGTTTACCTCTTCTAAGTTTCATTTCTCCATAGGAATGCAATCTGGCTAATCTGATTAATTTGGGCTAAGAATAATATTTTACATTTCATAACACCTTATACATTATTAGTCTTGATGAAAATGTTAACCAATATCTATTGCATGTCTGATATATGCCAGGCACCATGCTGGATACTTTAACTTGTACTAGAATATGAGCTCCCCAAGGACAGGGATCATGGCCTGTTTTGTTCACTGATGTATCCCAAGCACCTGGAACAGTGACTGGTACATAGTAGATGCTCAATAAAGATTTGTCGAATGGATTTATGATTGCTAATCTTTATAATAATTTTGTAAGGCAGGTATTATCCCCATTTCCCAGAGGGGAAAAAACATAAAGCCCAGATAAATTCTTTGTCCCAGAGCAGATTTTAGGTGGGAGTAACGTCCAGAAAGAAATTCAGATTTTAAAGCCTACCTTCTTTGATTCCTCCCCCAACCTTTACCTCTTTCCCTTCTCTTTGCTCGTCTCCTTCCATTTTCCCCTGTTGGTCCCCTTTTCTTCCCCTCTCCTTTCCTTCCTCGCTTTTCCCTGTCCTTTTTTCCTCCTTTTTTCCCCTAATCTCTTTCAGTCCCTTTTCTCCCCCTTTTTTCCCCTCTTTTTTCTTTGCTTTTCTATGCCCCTTTACTGGTTTCCGTTTTCCCTTAAAACACAAATACAGCCTTTTACTTCTCAGTGGATGATAGCAATGTTAGGTAAGCAGAGCAGTTATTTTGATTTCCCGTGGCTAGTTAGTGCAACCTAATTACCTTCCCACTAGTCTAGTTAGCATCTTTCCCACAGCATGTGCTGCTTTGCAGATATCAGTGGTTGTGGATGGCCGACGGTGATACCTATCCTTTAAAAGCTTCCTTAGCTTCCAACTGAGTGGACTGAATTCTGAGGTAATTTAGGAACCAAAGCAGGTTTGTGAGGGAGACTGTAGGGCAAACTAGACTCAGATTCTCCTCAGATCCCACCATTTGAGTGATAGTTACTCATAAGGCTGGTGCCTGCAGAGGAAGAGGACTCCAAAGCTGTTTTCAAAGCCTGCAGTGCATGGGAGCCTTACAGAGCACCAGAAATAGCGCTTCCTCAGGAGTTCAGAGTGGCCCCTCTTTGGGTGGGGGTGGGGATTTAGTATTTACCTGCTTTAAGATCAACACTTGAAATATCACATATGTAAATAGTGCTGGCTCATTTTCACCTTGGGACATCATCTTTTTCTTCAGTCTAACTCACCTGGTATAGTATATTAGTGATATTCTACAGCATCCCATTAACAATTCAAATCCTAAACCACACATTATTCTAGTGCTGGTCAACCACAGTGGGTATGCTTCAGTTACACCACACTTCTTAGGTGGTTTAAGACACTAAGCCAAGGCCGGGTGCAGTGGCTCATGCCTGTAATCCCATCACTTTGGGAAGCCGAGGCTGGCGGATCGCTTGAGGTCAGGAGTTTGAGACTAGCCTTGCCAACATGGTGAAACCCTGTCTCTACTAAAAATACAAAAATGAACCAGCATGGTGGTGAATGCCTATAGTCCTAGCTACTTGGGAGGCTGAGGTAGGAGAATCTTGCTTGAACCTGGGAGGTGGAGGCTGCAGTGAGCTGAGATCAGGCCACTGCACTCCAGCCTGGGTGACAAAGTGAGGCTCTGTCTCCAAAAAAAAAAAAAAAAAAAAAAAGACATTAAGCCAAGTCAACATGCCAGTAAAACAGGTCCTGAATTGTTTTAATCTTATAGTGTTGGGAAAAAGGTTGATCTCTTTGGCCAACTTCCAAATAAGAGCTGGGTAAGTAAGCACTATAAATATAGAACTGAGTAAAGCAATGATTTTATTACTTGATTTTGTTCTTTTTATATCTCAATGTATGTATTATTGTATATGTTCTTTTTGTGACATGTATTATATATTTACTTTTATGTTTGTGTCTGTGTAATCTTTTTCAGAAGAATTCTATGAACAATAATATTTTGTATTATTGTGAAATGTTTTCATAATAAGTATATTGACAGAATGTTTATTTCAGTAGTAAATTAGTAAACAAATGTAAAATGATGTCATTAGTATGAGAAGGAAAGATTGATATTATATGCAAAAATTCATTCTCACATATATTTTTAAATCTATATGTGCATGTGTGTGTATTTATATGCACACATGTTTATGTTTGACTGTTGACTTTGGAATTTTTTTTTTTTGAGACAGAGTCTTGCACTGTCACCCAGGCTGGAGTGCAGTGGCACAATCACAGCTTACTACAACCTCTGCCTCTCGGGTTCAAGTGATTCTCCTGCCTTAGCCTCCCAAGTAGCTGGGATTACAGGCATGTGCCACAACACCCAGCTAATTTTTGTATTTTTAGTAGAGACAGGGTTTCACCATGTTGGCCAGGCTGGTCTCGAACTCCTGACCTCAGGTGATCCACCCACCTCAGCCTCCCAAAGTGCTGGGATTACAGGCATGAGCCAATGCACTTGGCTGGTTTTGGAATTTTTGATTGCATGTCTTTAACTGGCCAGGGGTGGAGAATAGGAGGGAGGATTAAGTTGCTGAGTTTGGCAAACTCAGATAAAAACATTTACTAGGCGAGGTGCCCAACAAGTGCTTGCTACACAACCTATGCTACTCTGGAAGACAGTTCTTGACCCAAAGGAGGTTGAAGTTGTTTCTGTGACAGACAAACATCTGTTTAGTGGAATACAAGGCAGGCTGATGTAAAGTCTCAGCTAGAGGTAAAAGGAAGTTGATACTTATCATAGGATGTAGGATTTCAGCTCTTGTTTATTTCATAGAACCCTAGCAAATGGAAAGACTTGTGAATAGTGTACAACCCTACACTTCATAGAGCTGATTTTTAAGAGTGTATTTGTCAAACTGGATTATTCACTAAAGAAAATGTTTCTACCCCATAAGTAAATCTTTTTTGTTAGAGCTGCTGTGATTTTGTTGTAGTGTACCCTTTAATATATTAATTACTGAAGGATTTTTACCTTGTAAGCATGATATAATTATTTTCCTTAGAAAAAGGAACGCCTTTAAAATTATCTTGGAAATTTCCATTTTTCTATAATGTAATTTGTTTATGCTGGGAGACTATTTGTAAATGAGGATTGATTATCAATATTTTTTCTCAGGTAAGGGGCAGAGACTAAATTGAAAGAACTTGTTGGGTGAAATTGCTGTGTTAGTTACAAGACAGTTGTGAATAACTTGAAAACAGGTATCATGAGCACCACTTTATTTCCTGCAAATAAGAACTCTGATGACACATAGTAGGTGTTTTCTTGCTGACTTGCTTTGTCATTTTAGGTCTAATCTTTTCAGTAGCAAATTATATTTTGGTATTTTAGGCAGTAAAGGAAGGGATAAAGATTTACACATATAAACCTTAGTAGAATCTTACAACGTTTCAAACACTGGGGTGATAAAGAGAAAGCTTGCAGGAAGCTTATCATTGCCTGGAATAGAAATAATGCTATTTTTCTCAAATAATTAAGAATTAAGAAGGACTTATTAAGAAATTGCTTATGCCTAGGAGTGTGACCAAAATAGCAGTACCATAAAGAGCTGTGTACTTGAGGAGGCAAGATTAAGACCTATGAAAACATCGAATGCTAAAACAGGAAAGCCCCAGTTCAAAAAGCTTGTAAACTCCTGTCTAATATGTTCGTCCTCAGTGTTTTCCTTTGCCTGTATAAATTAGCAGCACAATTGTGCTTCCATTAACACATTAAAGCCAGTAGGTTCCATGTCAAATGTTTGTGTTTGTAGTTAAATTCAAAATGAAACAGCAAAACACTGGTCGGCCAGGTGTGGTGGCTCATGCCTGTAATCCCAGCACTTTGGGAGGCTGAGGTAGGCAGACTGCTTAAGCCCAAGAGTTCAAGACCAGCCTGGGCAACATGGTGAAACCCTGTTCTCCAAAAAAACACAAAAATTAGCTGGGCATGCTGGCATATCTATAGTCCCAGCTACTCAGGAAGCTGAGGTGAGAGGATCACCTGAGCCTGGGAGGTTGAGGCTGCAGTGAAGTGTGATTGCACCACTGCACTCCAGCCTAGGCAACAGAGTGAGATCCTGTCTCAAAACAGCAAAACAAAAACAAAAACAAAAACAAATAAAAACACTATAAAGTTCCATAAAGTCAGACAAGAGAAAATCTTGAATTCAGAAGGACGTCAGAGAAATCTCTGAACTGGTTAGGGCAAGTTTCTATGGGCAAAATCACCCCAAGGTCTATTTCAGATTCCAAATCTAATGTTCATTCAAGATCTGATCTACCCTCCCTGGGCTTGTTGAGGTTTTCGTCTTTGCCAATGGAAATTTTGCCTGGGAAAGGAGAGGAATGGAACTCAAGCTCATTGAGATGGTGGTCACTATCATAAATTTGGGAATGTTCAGGAGTAAGGGAGGATAATATCTTGCATCTACCTTGTGAGTAGGTCTTACCAGTTCTGGCCCTGAACCTAACCCTTTGAAGGGTCTCAGCTCTGAGGCTGTGAACCCCTCTGGGACCTAATAGCTTTTCTTTTCCCTTCCTAGGAAGCTGCATGCTACTGGTGCCTACTTATACATTACACAATTTCTCAGATGACTTTGTGAATCAGTTAGGCCTCTGTTTACTGTGACTGAACCTCCAAGCCATACATTGCCTTAAGCAGAAACAGGGACTTTTGGACTCATAACCAACAGAACCAGAGTAAGGCTGATTTCTGGCATAAGTGGTGAGAGGAAAGTGTTCCTTTCTCTCAACTCAGCTCTGCTCTTCTCCTTGTGTTGGCTTTATTCTTAGACAGGTTCTTCATTCATGAATACAAAATGGATGAGCAACTTTAGACTTGACATCCTTTCCTATTCAAAATCAGGAGCCAATAGTGATTTTCAGTAAAATGTTTCATTGCTTCTCAGTGGCTTCAATGGTATCCCATGTACACCTCTGAACTAATTTCCGTGGGTCATGGGAATAGTAATAAACTGATTAGCTTAAGATTGATTGGGTCACATACTCCATTCCTTTCGTTAGATTCCCACCCAAAGCATGTAAGTTTGAGTGTAGAAAAGGTGATATCTAAGAGGAAATAATAAATGCAAAAATTAGGTAACAAAATAACTGAATTTGTATACCATTATTGCTGCTGCAAGTTCTGTTCTGATTGCCAATGATTGATAATCATCAGGTAATAATTTCTTCTTTACATGGCTACCTACATAAAGCAGAGGGATGATGAGCATTCAATAACAATAGCAGCCACACAAATGCACTGTGCCTAAATATCTGATGTCCAAATATTTTTGGCCTCCAAATACTCTCAGAAAACATAGAAAGTGTATGGGTTGAAGCAGCATCCACAGTCAGCATGGGCTTATGATCATATAGGCATGTGGTTAGAGTGTTTGAATACTTTTCTATTTTGTGAATGAAGGTCTTTTTTAAAGCCAAAATTGGGCGCTATTGGTAGAGGATTCACTAAACCCTTTCTCCTTCTGCATAAGATTTTGACGTTTGGTTAACTCTGTAACTCTGTTCCCTTGAAAACAGTAAAATGTCAACCATGTTATTGGGTAACATTGGTTAGGGTAAAAATGACCCTTGGTTAGTGAAAATGACTGCCTTGGAGAAGGGGAATTTACCTGGTCTGGCCCTGACTCTGCTCTCCAAGACGGGCTGTTTGTTTACTCTGTCATAGCCCTGTTCCATTCATTATATTCCCTGGCTACATCTGAAATGGGAGATGAGGAGTAAGCCCTCCTTAGTAGCTAGTTTGAGATAACTATAAATTCTAAGAAGAAGCTGTAGTTTTGGGCTTCTCTGAGTGCAATGACTCTTGTAACCAGGTGTGTCTCTTGGAGGGATCTGGAAGTTATGCCTATGAAGTTGTTACAAAGATATTGGTTCCTGTGAGGAATGAGGTTTTCAAGGCCGGGCACTCTTGAACTTGCCTAATGTGTTCTTACCTGAGTTCTTAAACTGTCACCAGGGGGCCAGATAGAATAGCTTTGGACACTGTATAGATTGTTCCATGGATTACCACAAGACTCCAGAGAAGAGGAATGCCTGATGCTGCTCTGTTGGCAAACTCTCTGAGTAGGCTGGTGCCAAATGTTGACTGTGATAGTCTTATACACCTGAACGTTCAGTTGAGCTTCAGAAGACTCAGTGAAGGTATTGCAGACACATAGGTAAAATGCAGCCTGAAGCAAGGATCATATTCCTGATCTCATGATGTGGCAGAACTGGATAACTATGCATTTTAGCTGTTTCCTTTTCTCTCATGGCACAAAGCTAAATTCTATTTTCCAGCTTATCTTGCAATAGGTATGGCCATTTGACCAAGTTCTAACCAGTGGAATGTGGGGTGGAAGTGAAGAAGGGTACTTCCAGACCTAGCCCATGAAAACCTCCCCTATACCATCTCCCATCTTTCCTCAATTGGTCAACTTATGCCCAGGAATGTAAGGCATTAGAGGAAGGTGAAACCTCAAGAGAGAGGTCTTGAATAACCACATAGAAGGTCATCTGCAGTCAGGAATATTCAGTTAGAGTTCAAATGAATAAGACATACACAACTATATTTAGCCAGAGTAATTTAGCAGCTTAGCTGTGAAATCCATTAGTACTTCCTTAACTAACAGACACATTCCTCAGATCTACAAATTTTCTCATTGTATACCAAGAGATGCAGGCCTGCTGCATTTTCAGAAATGGCTTTAAGATTTTTTAAAACCCTAGCATGCAAACACAAGATGTATGTTTACATCATGAGTTAATGATTTGGAAATAATACTAATTTGCTTTTGAAATAATAAGAATTTGGAATACAACTTTGTCTTTGTTCATATTTTGCTGCTATAACAATATCTAACACTGAGTAATCTATATACAAAGAAGTTTATTTGTTCTGGAGGCTGGAAGTCCAAGATCAAGGGGTTGCATCTGGTGATGACCTTCTTGCTGAATCATAACATTGTGGAAGAGATCACATGGTGAGAGGGTGAGAATGCAGAGATGGAAAAAGGGGGCTGAACTCCTGCAGTCACTAAATTACTCCTATGATAGTGGTATTAGTCTATTCACGATGGCTCCACCTCTTAAGTATCATCACAAGGGCAATTAAGTTTCAACATGAGCCTATAGTTCCAGCTACTTGGGAAGCTGAGGCAGGAGGATTCATTGAGCTCAGGAGTTTGAATCCAGTCTGGGCAGCATATTGAGATGCCTCCTCTTAAACAAACAAATAAACAAACAAACAAACAAAACCAAACCCAGAAAACCAAACCCATGAATTTTGGAGGGAACACTCAAACTATAGCCAATGCCTACTTACAAATAGGAAAAAAATGACCAGGAGGAAACATTTCTATAAATGTTGCTGTCTGCAAATGATACTACCAGATTTCTGTCTTGTCAGTTCAGGATGGCAGAGAAAGATTGGAGGCAGACTGAGTTGTGCTGAAGGTGAGAGAAGTTTTATTTTTTCCTTCTTCTGCAGCCGCAGGCTGAATTGGAGGTTTAGTGGTGTTCTAGCTCATTGCTGTTTACAGTCATATTTACTATGTTGCAGATGGACACCCAATGGAACATTAGTCTATGAAAAAAGGATTCTGTGATTAAATATAAATTAGGAAAATACTGCATACTATATTTCTACAGGAGAGTCTCAATGCATATTAGCAGATTGAAAACTCTTAGAAAATCTGCAACCTATTTAATAAATGCTGATGGGAAAACTGGCTAGCTACATGCAGAAAACAGAAACCGGACCCCTTTCTTATACCTTATACAAAAATGAATTCAAGATGAATTAAAGACTTAAAACCATGAAAACCCTAGAAGAAAACCTAGGCAATACCATTCAGGACACAGGCATGGGCAAAGACTTACTGATTAAAGCACCAAAAGCAATTGCAACGAAAGCCAAAATTGATAAATGGGATCTAATCAAACTAAAGAGCTTCTGCACAGCAAAAGAAACTATCATCAGAGTGAACAGGCAACCTACAGAATGGGAGAAAATGTTTGCAGTCTACCCATCTGACAAAGGTCTAATATCCAGAATCTATAAGGGACTTAAACAAATTTACAAGAATAAAACAACCTCATCAAAAAGTGGGCAAAGGATATGAACAGACACTTCTCAAAAGAAGACATTTATGTGGCCAAAAAACATATGAAAGAAAAGCTCATCATCACTGGTCATTAGAGAAGTGCAAATCAAAACCACAATGAGATACCACCTCACGCCAGTTAGAATGGCAATTATTAAAAAGTCAGGAAACAACACATGCTGGAGAGCCTGTGGAGAAATAGGAACGCTTTTACATTGTTTTGGGGAGTGTAGATTAGTTCAACCATTGTGGAAGACAGTGTGGCGATTCCTCAAGGATCTAGAACCAGAAATAGTATTTGACCTAGCAATCCCATTACTGGGTATATACCCAAAGGATTATAAATCATTCTACTATAAAGACACATGCACATGTATGTTTATTGCAGCACTATTTACAATAGCAAAGACTTGGAACCAACCCAAATGCCCATCGATGATAGTCTGGATAAAGAAAATGTTGCACATGTACACCATGGAATACTATGCAGCCATAAAAAAGAATGAAGCTGGAAGCCATCATTCTCATCAGACTAACACAGGAACAGGAAATCAAACACTGCATGTTATCACTCATAAATGGGATTTGAACAATGAGACCACATGGACACAGGGAGGGGAACACCATACACCAGGGCCCTTCGGGGGGTTGTGGGCAAGGTGAGGGAGAGCATTAGGACAAATAGCGAATTCATGCAGGGCTTACAGCCTAGATGATGGGTTGATAGGTGCAGCAAACCACCATGGCACATGTATACCTATGTAACAAACCTGCATGTTCTGCACATGTATCCCAGGACTTAAAGTAATATAAAATAAAAAAAGAAAGTCTGCAATAAAGGAACATGTTTTTAACACTGTCACTTTATCATAAATAATGATATATAATATAATCTTGTTAGAAAATTTATATTTTATTAAATTATAATTTTATCTATAAATGGATAATTTGTTCAGAATAAACTACCCCAAAATCTTGGTGGTGTTTGTTTCTCACTCATTGCAGCCCAGTGTAGGTCAATAGGTAGTTGGGAGAGGATGGTTGAGCTCCATGCAGTCATTCAGGGACCCAGGCTCCATCCACAATGTGTGGCCATTATCTTTCTGGGCTTCAGAGTTCCACTGGATTCTTTGCATCCAGCTAGCAGGACAGGAAAACATGAAGAAGAGACACTTGGTCTTAGCCACCTTTGGAGTTGATGGTTTCCACTTCTACTTCCGTTTCATTGGTGAGTGCCATTTTGTGGGCAAGCAATTTAGCTAGTCCAGGTTGCTAAAAGTTTGACCTGGCCTCAGGTTTGATGAGCCATCCATTTCTTCCCATCAAATGATTGACTTGCTTCTGGCAAAAAAGATTAACAAGATTCTTACCATCTTGAGAAGCCATATTCAAATCTGGAACACCTGCTCCCACCCTGTCCTCTCCTCTTTATAGCATGTGGATTTCAGCTCTGGAAAGACTAATCTTGTTCTGTAATAGGTCCATGTCTCTTTATCTTCTCCAGAGACTGAAGGGTTCTTCAGAGGTATCTTAAAGAGTCAGCTTACAGCAAATGAGGTTGGAGGCAGTGGTTGAGAATGGCTCATCAGTCTGGGCTCTGGGCTTCTTATCTTGCCTCAACCAAGGCAGTCCAGCTTTGATCTGTATCATTAAAAGAAAGGTTATATTACTAATGAAAAACCTGAAAACTATGGTTATTAGCTAAATCAATCATCTCTGCAGATGAAAAACTTGAGGCCCCAAGAAGTTAATCAATTGGCCTGATATCACACAGATGCTCTAGGAGGACCTGACATTTACAGTTGGGTTTCCTGACTCTCAGATCTGTACTCTTTGTACTGGGGTAGCTGCCTGCTACTTCTCCCCTTGTGTGTGGCATGTGGTCTGAGGTCTAAGATAAAGGGAGGGAGTCAGGCTCTGCTGATGCCACAAAGGACCTAAGCAGGCAGATTCACCTCCTGCTTTTGGTCTCTTAATTCCTCTCTAGATGAAGCAAGAACAAGTCTGTCTTCCCATCTAGGGCAGGGTTGCTCTGTGCGAGGCTGATGGTGCACGCTGCTGGGATATTGGCACTTCTCAGGCATTTTATTAGCTCCTGTTTACAGAGACACTGCCTGAATTCCTTCTGCCACTCATCCCACACCGCCTATGCTGGTGGTTAACAGTGCCATTTTAAAATCTCAAGCAGGAGGAGACAACATAATTGTCTCATGTTTTAAGCTTTTGGAATGTTGTTCTTTTTCAGAGTTGTGAAGACGGAGTGGATACAGGTCAACTTGATTCTGCTTTTCTCTATCAATGGCCTGCAAATATTAAATATGCAAAACATAGGCTGCTCTGTCCATATCTCCTTCTCCCCAGTTCTCACCACATGACGTTGATTTCTGCTCAGGACTGGAAAGAAGTGATTGCTTTAGATTTGCTTTTCTTTTACCAACTGGAGAAATGCCTTACCGTGTCTTGTTTAAATGTGGCTTTTCACACAGTTCCAGCTTTTGGGGTTGGGGAGGGGCACAAATAATCTGTGTGGTAGGCAGTTTTATTGTTCAGAAAAGAAGAAAACAGACCCCAATGTTTGGAATGCCAACGATTTAGGAAGTTTCTAGCAGGTCTGCTACTTGTTCCAACCACTAGGTTTGATCCCAGAAAAGACTCACATGCGTTTTGGCCATGAGAAGGAGGGGTTCCCTGCAGGCCAAAGGAAGGGTCAGTAGAAGTTGAGGGTGGTGTGTTGTGCCCCTCTAGATTCCAAACTTCCCTTTGCTGCCTATCTGATGACCAGGTGAAAGCTGGGTTTATTCTGCATGGGAAGGTTCTGTGGGTTGGTGTTCATCAGGGAAAATAACCAGGACAGACTTCATTGGCCAAGGGTTTGCCCATGTTTTGAGAATTAAAACTTGTTTACTTGAGAGTTAGAGTCATTTGGTCAGCTGTTTATATTCCATTTTTAATTATTTTTGTGCTCGCTGTTTTGTTCTTTTGGTCTTTGACAGATGAGCAAAAATTCTTTTTAATAACTTTTAAAAAGCTATCCCAGTGCTGACCAGGGAGGAAAAAGTGATCAAATTGTCTAATAAGGAAACATTGTACATTTCAGTTTTTATTTGCTTAGTACTAATTCTATTTTCTCCTCCCACCTTTTTTTTCTAAATGTATAACAACAAAGGGGGAGATAATTTTTGTTTTTTCCAAAATGCTTTCAGGGAAATCCCTTTTAAACCTATGGATTTTAGTCCAATGAGGAATCCTCTTCCTTTGGTCTAAATTTTGCATATCGTCTGTTTCTTACAGGGCTTCCGTATTGTCTCAGGCTCCACTGGAAATGCAGCAAGGATTCCTAGCACATCCCAGTTGCCATAGCAACAGCAGTCTTTCCCATAATGAGCTGCATCATCTGAACTGATGTCACAGCATCATGCAGCAGGTCAAACAAGGCATCTCCTAGTATTGCATCCTACAGATGTGCTGTAAACATCAAAAGAAGACGGTGGGATCAGGAGATGGTGAGTGTTAAATGTCTGGGCCTTAATTGCACGGCTGTTTTGTTGGTTAGTCGGTGTCTGCTAAGGCGGAGATTGGGGGATGTTGTCTCTGCTTAAAATGGACTGGGGAAAGAAGGGCTGTTTTACCTAAATCGTTTTTCAGGCTGCCGGGTTAAGACAAAGGCCTGTAAGAGTCATATAGGAATTAAAATATGTAGAATTATTCTTGCTCCAGCTCTGTCTGTTATTTTTAAGTGTTCTTACAGAATTTTTCATAAACATAAGATGATTTTTCAATTGCAAAACCCCAGATAAGCTTTAAAATGAGTAGTTAACAGTATTTAAGCATTGTAAAAATATAGATTTCTTTTTGGGAGGCAGAGCTAATTGGCCCCCTCTTTGCTCTTGTGAATTATGAAATATTCAGTGATTTGCAGTATGAAATTCATTATTTACCTCGGTTGGGTTTCAGTTTCTTCATGGCAAGGAACAAATGCTGAATAAGCATTTGACATAACCCTGATGTGAAAGGGGATCTCTTGCATATTCAAGACAGAATTTATTAAAAGCATAAAAACCTAAACCAAATGAAATTATTTGAGCCTTTTGATCTATATGGTAGTTCTTCAACCCATGTCCTTCAGAGTTAGTTGAAAGACTGCCACATATTTTTCCATCTCTAGCTAGTCTCTGAAATAGCTGGAGTTGTTTGCAGGCTGACTTGTAACTGAGAAAGGAACAAGTCTCCTCTCTGCGGCAGTTGCAGTGAAGGGTAACCCTGGGAGAGCCTCTGAAGTGGCAGTGGTGTTGCCATCCCTTGCTTAACTTTAACAAAAATCTGGGTATGATGAATAAATATCAGGGTCCTCAGTGGTTGTAGGGATTACAGACCTCTGGACTCAGTCATAACCTCAACTCAATTCCAAAACTCTAAACACGTATCATTTTCATTTCAACTCCTAGCTCTGTTTTTAGGCATCTTTATTATTATTATTATTTTCTAAAAAATTAGTCTGACAGTGTCAGATAAGGAGCAGAATGTTGCCTTTTGTTTTGGGAAATGAAATGGATTTCCCTGGTACAGCTGATTGCTACTAGGGGAGAGAAAGGAGGAGGCACATGTCAGTTCAATTGATCAATATGTCCACTTAGAATCAGGGAGTGGTCTTGTGGCTTAATGCTGCCAAATTGATAGTTTTTACTCAAAAAGTCTTACACGAAAGAATGGCAACCATTGAATTCCTCTTCTTTTAGTCTGTTTATTGGGGCTAAAGAGATATATCATGGAAAGCAGGAAAAGCAATACCTTTAGCTAGCTTGGAGTGATTTTTTTTTTTTTTTTTTTTTTTTTTTTTTGCACAGAGTTAAGTATGCTAGTCCCATTAGGCACCAGCCAGAGGAAAGGCCTCAGGTTTTAATTTGTTTGTTTATACCACATCACGCACATGCTTGCTACTCTCAGTCCTTTAAGCTTATGTTTCTGACATGCAGCTGTATAGGATGGGAGAGGTCAGCTCAGCCTGGCTTTATCGCAAGCACTTAGAAGCATGAATTGTTCATTGCCTGCTTTTTTATGTCATATAATGTGAGCAGAAAGCTCTGCTGGGACTGCTGGGTGTGAACACATCTAAGTCGAAAGCTCTAAGGTGACAGGGAAGAGTGCTAGATGGTGATGGGGGAAGGGAAAGTATGTCTTGTAGCTAGATTATAAATCTGGATAAAATCACTTAGTGCCTTTTAGAATTTTCTTAAAGTATTATTTCTGAAGAAGAGCAATGAAGAAAGACTTGTTTGGTAACATGAATTTCTAGGAGTAAAAAAAAGCAAAAGGCAGCATTGTAATGAGTTTTCTGTTTGCTTAATTCTTGTCTCTTTTGTTTAAAGTGCTCTTCAGCTGCTTCATCATGGTTGATTTGTTCAATTACTGGAAGTCACAAAAGCTAGATTCCTTAAGGGCAGTGTTAGAAAAAGTGGAGTCATGCTTTGAGGGTGGGGAAGGGCGCTGGTGGGTGTGGACTGACGCAGTTATCTAGTGGAACATCCTCCCGGTTCAGACAACCCTGTAATTTTTCCCCCCGCAAATGTTCAAAATGCAATTACAGTTCTCCAACTTTATGCTTTTGTGCTCTTTTTGCTCCAGGAGAACAAAGCCCTGGTAATGAGAGCTATCATCCTAATGTTTTGTTTCTTCGTTTCTTTGTAGAGGGCCACAGCCTGCGCTGCTCTCTGATTAGCTGCATGTCTTAATTACTGGCTAAGGCTATTTCAGTTGTCTTAGTTTTAATATATCCCCAAGGGGTAGATGGTGTGTGTGTGTGTATAGGGGAAGGGAGAGATTTCTCTATGGCTGTATTTATTGGTGCCTCACTGAAACTTTCTACAGTTTAAGGAATTTTGTTTCACAGTAATGATAGATCATCAAGACCATGTTTATTGGACAGAGTTTAGGCCATGGAAGCCTCACAAGAAGTTAATGTCCTCTATACTTTTGGTCATGGCTTTCACAAATACATTACAAAGTTACAAAGAAGTTAATTCTTTGCCGATAACTAGGCCGCATAGGGATGATAAAAATAATAATCATAATAACAATCATAGCTATCATTTATTCAGTTCTTACTGTGTATCAGTACTGAATTAAGTTTTGTGTATATCTTATTTAGCCCTTATTATTATTATGAAGTAGAGAGTAATAATCTCACTTTATAGGATTAGGTGTTATTATTCACATTTTGCAAAAACCAGTCCTTAGCCAGGCGAATAAACTTGGCTAAGGTTATGTAGTTAATAAGTGATTGGGCCAGGATTCCAAACCATTGCGATCTGGCTATGCAGCACACATGCTTACCCACGGCCATCTCAGTTTTATGACATCTTTACTGTATATACCATACAGATCAGTCATCTATACTCTATCACACGTACCCCACCCCTCCTCATTCTAATTGGAAAATCAGATTTCATATGTAGAATGAAATGTCATTTGCAACACTAAGGTTGATTTCACTGTAAGGATGAGCATGAATCTTGATCAGATGTGAATATTTACTTTGTACCCAGAGATTTAAGTAATGAAGAGTTGATGCTTAGACTTTTGCCACTGCCCTTGCTTGATATAACTTTCTAGCAGGATCTCTGTATGGAAAATGTTACATCAATAATTGTGGGCATGATGGAGTTGCACTCAAAGCAGGTCTTACCTGAGTCAGTAATGATTCAGCTTTGTTATAAACCTGTCTTATCAGCTATATTTGTGGTGCTTTGTTAACTTTAAGATGTTTGTATTCCCTGCTGTTGCACCAGGTTCTGTTCTCAACCTGGTGTTGAGAACAGAAGCAGAAACTTCTCTCACAGTCTGGAAAGTGTAATCTGAATCTATCTCTTAGGTTAAGAAGATAGAGGATTTATTTTGCTGAATGTATCAGTGGCTGAAACCAAACTCTGTCTATCTCTGACAAAGTACAAGAATGACAGTCTTGTGTAATAACCTGGAAGCCTTGTGTTTGAGGAGAGCTGATATAGTCATTTCTGTATCATCTTGCTCATCCCCAGCTATCCACGCCCAGCGTCATTATTGGGCTCTAAGGGCTGTTCTTTGTTTGAGTGTGGGGCTAATGCACACACTGACAGCATGTTGATATTGATTCCTGTATGGTGAATACTTAGAAATATTATTCCACAGGGCTCATTAGCCTTTTCTAGGTTCCAGGAAGAAGTTAACCTTTGTCCTAACCTGCTCCAAAGAGGCCCAAGCTTGTGTCTGCATGAGGTACAGGAATGAGAGGCTGATCAGAAAGCATCAAAGCTGCTAGGTACAATGACTACAGGAGTTAGGTTCCAATTAGGAAATAAAATAGCCAGTGGAATTTAGGGAAGTTGGTGGTCTTGCTACATGTCTCTGATTTTCTTCTATTTATAATCCTAGAACCCATGAATGGCAGTTTGTTTTGATCGCATGGATTCAATTCAATTCAATAAATATTTATTGAATATCTCCTATATGCCAGGCATTGTCAGGGAATCTATAGCAATGAGCAAGACAGATGCAAATCTCTTCCCCAGCTACATTCTAGAGGGGAAGGGAAAAATGGGTAAATTGGTAAAATAATTTATTTCCTCTAATACTGCAATACTATTTCTATTTACTTTTTATTCCATGTGTTATTAGAGAAGCCCATTATCTGTGCACATTTGTATAGGTACATATAGCTATATGGTTTATATGTGGAGGTAAACTTACTGCATTAAATAATAACTTTTTTTTTTCTTGCATGGGTTTGGATTAGAATCTTTCTGGATGTGGACAAGACCAATATGGCAATTAGTATTTTTTTGGTATAAACTATTTTGAGAAATAAAATTATAATCAGTCAAATAGTGCATGTCTATCTCAGTTGACAAACTTGACATATGGAAATATGAAATGTGTGTGGCAGATCAGTTAAGGAGAGATATTTTTGTTTTTATAAAAGATATTCATCACCTTTAAAAATTGTCCAGAGAGCCCTCTAAATTGAGCATTCCAGCCAGCCTGCTGATGGAGGTATGTATCATACAAGGTACCAACTACACACTTAGTTGTACAAGGACAGGTATACCAGTTACCTTCAGTCTCATCTAATCGCCCTAGTGTGCCTTACAGTATTGCTTTAAATGGGAAGCATTTCTCGAAACAATCATATTGACTGAACTCTGTAGATGGGCCCTGAGTGTGGTTTTTCAGAGGAATAGCAATCCATATAGGACTTTGGCCATGGCAACAGAGTTTTAGGTACAGTAGCCCCTTCCGCGCCCTTATTTGTGATTTAGCCTTTTGTGGTTATGGTTATCCGTGGTCTGAAAACATTCAATGGAAGATTGCAGAAATAAACAATAAGTTTTAAATTATGCGCTGTTCTGCATAGTGCAGTGAAATCTCTCACCATTACTGTTCTGTCCTGCCTGGGATGTGTATCATTCCTTTGTCCAGCATATCCATGCTGTATATGCTACCAGCTTGTTAAGTCACTTAATAGCCGTCTTGGTTTTCAGATCAACTATCTCGCTATCATAATGCCCATGTTCAAATAACCTTTATTTTACTTAATAATGACTCCAAAGCTCAAGATTAGTGATGCTGGCATATTGTTACAATTGTTCTGTTTTATTATTAGTTATTGTTAATCTCTTATTGTGTCTAATCTATAAATTAAACTTTATCACAGGTATATATGTATAGGAAAAAACATAGTATATGTAGGGTTTGGTGCTATCCATGGTTTCAGGCATCCACTGGGGGTCTTGGAACATATTCCCTGATAATGAGGGGGACTATTGCAGTTTGAATTAATAAGGCATACAGTTTCTTCTCCACGAGCACATACCGGTCAGTAATTGAATTCCTGAGTTGGCTTTAAGATTTGGTGAAGATAAAGGACAGACTTTGTTTTCCTCATAAGCCACCAGCCATATTTTTCTCTGTTCTTCAGCCATGGGGCATGCTCCAAACTCTTCCAGCCATCTTGCAGTGGTGTGCTTTGAGTCACAAGGGTAAGTAGGGAGAGAATGTGGAACCTTTATTTTATTTTCAGATTTTTTTTTGGAGACAGGGTTTTACTCTGTTGTTCAGGCTAGATTGCAGTAGTGCAATCATTACTCCCTGCAGCCTTGAAATTCTAGGCTCAAACGATCCTCCCACTTCAGCCTCCCAAGTGGTTAGGACTGCAGGTGCACATCACCCCACCTGGCTAGTAGAGCCTTTAGAATGGGGTCTCAAACTGGCTAATACATGAGCTAAACCTAGCCTGCAGCTTGTTTTGTATGGCTGCTGGGCAGGCTTTATGGGTGTGCAACCTGTGTAGTTGCATAGGGCCCTGCACTGAGAAGGGCCCACACTTAGTTTAATACTCTGCTGTAACCATCTTGGAATTCTTAATAATTTTTTAATAAGAGGCTCCACATTTTTATTTTACAGTGGACCTTATGTAGCCAGTCCCATATGGCCCTTTTGGTGCCCCCACTGATACTGCCTGAGCCCTGTAGATGTTTGAGTTTCAGACTCCCCACTTCCTCCTACTCTGGAACAATTCAAATAGAAATTGTAGTGCTTAGAAAAACTAAGGGACCATTGTCAAAACAACCCAGAGCAAGGCCCTTGTAGATGGTAATTCAGTGGCATGCAAAGGAACTCAGTGGCATTTCTTTTATAGGCAATGGGGGATATATTACATTATACTTGAAGATATTTGGTAGGTGAGGTTTATTTGTCACCACCATTGCTTTCAGGGGAGAAATCAAATCTTCTTTGCAAAGCAAGCTAATTAACCATCCTGTTGGTTCAATGTTTATATTAATTCTCTTGCCCTTTGTTTACTACTTGATTACTTTTATCACCTGCTTTGTTTAACTCTCATTTAAATTACACAACATATTTATGCTGTCTGGGTATTTTTTTTTTTAATACTATCCTTTTCTCCTTTTTTTTTTTTTTTTTTTTTTTAATTCTCTCTCTCCAGGAGGCCAGAGGGCCTATAATTCGAGGTTATATTACTACAGGAAAAGTTCATTTTTTTTTTTCAATTTAAAAGGGAATTATAGTCAATATTTATAATGAACCCTTCTCCAGCAAGGTAGTTCCAGCCATGCTAATGTTCAGAAGTCCATATCTGCCATTACTGTTTATAATAATGAGATGCTGGTGACCAACTCCTGGACCTTATGGTGGGTGAAACATTCCCACCCATCATGTCACAGTGAGAAGTGGCTGTGTTAATCTATTAATCTACAGATTTGCAGAGAGTTGTTAGAAAATGGGTATGAATGATGGCACTTGCTGCACAGGAAAAAGGTAAGTTTTTTTTTTTTACTGTGTGAGTAAACAGGAACCTGACAAATCCAGAAAGGGCTCTTGCCACCTCTTAGAAGCCTAAGAATAGAGTCTTCTTCAAGGATCAAGCCCCAGGAATACAAGACCTTGTACCCCTGAACAATTCTGATACTCACTATGTCCATCACTGTACAAGCTGTAAAACTATCTGTTTCAGATAATTTCACCAGTAGTCAACAATTGACAAATGCATCAGATGTCTACCATGTACAATATCATATGCTAAGAGAACAAACATTTTACAAATAACGATGACTATAGGCACACACACATGTATATTACTTGGAGAACTTGACATACATTTAACATGGTGTTGGCTGGGCTGTGCATACAGATGGTCATGATTAGTTCTTCCTTTTTTCTGAACATACCTTGACATGGAGCTCCAAGCATATCTGTGGAGGCTCTCTCATCTTCTGTTCTCATCCAATTTCTTGATTTAAGTGTTTGTCTAATAACTCATTACTTTTGCTGGCCCACTCAAAATTCTTGTTTCTCAGCCCTTTCTCAGCTTTCTCCATCTTGAGTGCTCATAGTTTGTTACTACTCCACCTCGTCTCTTATCAGTGTTACCTTCTGGGACTGTTCTGAACTCATTACAGTCCTCCCCACCAGCAGCCCCTGAGGCCCTCATCTCCCTGCCACTGTTTATTCCTATTACATTAGCATAAAAGTAGCCCATGGAAAACCAAATGACACTGCAGTTTCTCTGATATGTCCCTTGGAAGAAATCCGCTTGCTTTTAGCTTTTAATAGTTAATTCAAATACTTCCTTGTATTTAATCTGTTTTTGTCTTTGTGTGAATTGAAAGGGAATGACCTTTTAAAACTCCTATTAGTCAGTCTTGCAGGCAGCCTATATGGAGAATCAACTAGAAATAACTGAAACAGCAGGGGAGGTGGTATATGATGTGGTAGAAGACTATATGCAACAATGAAAACAGGCGTGCAAGTACAGTTTAAAAAATTTGTCCTTTAGGGTTATTGGTACATTTCATTTTAAATTAAAAGTAAATAAGAATAAGGGGGTGGTGATGAGAAGATGGGCAGCACAAGAAGAAACTGAAGGATGCACATTTCTTCAGGCTTGGCTAGTAGGAGCACACAGCTTCTAGAACACTGTAGAGGAACACCTGCCTCAGAAGGGCAGCTTCTCCAAGAAAAAAGGACAGATCTGAAAACAAAGGTAACAATAAAAACTACCACAAAAAGATATGATTCCTCTGAGAACAAATAAAGAATCAGATTGGTGAATTAAGATGTTATGGTTTATATTCATTTAGTAATAAATAATTGATAACAGGATTTTTTTAAAAATTTTATTTTATTATTATTATACTTTAAGTTTTAGGGTACATGTGCACAATATGCAGATTTGTTACATATGTATACATGTGCCATGTTGATGTGCTGCACCCATTAACTCGTCATTTAGCATTAGGTATATCTCCTAATGCTATCCTTCCCCCCTCCCCCCACCCCACAACAGTCCCTGGTGTGTGATGTTCCCCTTCCTGGATAACAGGATTTTTAAACATTTGAATTTTGACTAAACTGAAAATAAGTTGAAAGGCAGAGGATGGAGAAAAAGATAACATAACCAGCATAAGGAGAGAAACAGGCCTGGCATGGTGGCTCATGCCTGTAGTCTTAGCACCTCAGGAGGCTGAGGGGGGAGGATTGCTTGAGCCTAGAAGGTCCAGGCTACATTGAGCCATGATTGCATCACTGCACTCCAGCCTGGGCATCAGAGCAAGACCCTGGCTCAAACAAAACAAGACACGTTTTACTCTGTTTTTTTTGTGTTTGTTTGGTTTTTTGTTGTTGTTTACTTAGAGAGTTTTTCCTTTTGTTTTTTGCTTTAGTTAATATCATTTGGTTGATTTGTTGTAAAGGTGAATATACCCATATATTTTGTTTTTCTTTAAAAAAAATTCTTTAAGAAAATAACATAAATTATTATCTTTGGTATGATGTTTTTCTCTGGTTCTTAGACCTTAACACCATCCTGCCTAAATACCATATATGCTCAGATACCCAAACAAGAAGTAGTAAATTGAGTGCCATCAACCAGCTTGAGGAGAAAACAAGCTTTCAAAAAAAGTCTACTCTAGAACCTTAAATGGTGGTGGAAATGTTACATGCCCAAATCTAAAGTGATATTTTTGCAATAGCTTGCATCAAATAGGGGGTTTCCATTTTGGATTTGGAATCCTAACATCCAGCAATTTATACATATATATATATAGACTGAAATTCTCTGAGCAAGAGATTAGTGGTAGGGAAGGTGAGCAGGGAATAGGCAGTACCATGAGAATAATCATCATGTTTCCCTTCTTGACTTACTCCATCTCCTGACACCCTATACCTAAACACTGAACAAAAACAGAGCCTGGCAGGGTGGATTTTGGAGCCAGGTATATTTACCTTTGAATCTTAGCTCTACTATAAAATTATTAGAGTTATGATCTTAAGGTTCTTAGAGCCTCATTTTTCCCCATATGTAAGGAGAATATCCATTTTACAGGATGAAATGAAGTATTTTATGTAAAGTTTTTGGCACAAAGTGAGAATTTGATAAATGAAAGTTATTGTTTCACATACTTAGAAGTAGTGGGGTAAGATTATTACTCTCTCAAGAAGAAAATGCAATTTCTCCTCAACTCCAGCCCTGAAACCAAGAAAATCATTCTTAGAGCTTTTAAGAGAAGAACTCTTTAATATATTTTAAAT